>NC_000002.12:616060-919090 GCF_000001405.40 Homo sapiens | reverse complement strand
GCAGGAAAAGTGTTCACAACCACAGAGCCTCAAATAATATTACATCCCTTCAAAGACTATCTTTTTAATATCAGAAAATATTTTCCTTCACGAGTGGAAAAAGCATTACATTTCATGGACATTTTTGCATGAGTCTAAAACATCTCACCCCAGTGCCATGAAGGACACATCCCAGGTTTTGTTCTGACACAGGTAGATTAGGTAAATATGAGCACCTGGCACGAACCCCCTTCCCAGATGCTCTGCCGTGGGAAAAGGATGCAAGTTCAGTCTCGTCTCATTGGCTGATGATGCAGTTTGTTTTTGTCCACATTAGAAGGAGCTTTTCGATTTAGCAGTGGCTCTTCTGAAGACACGTGGGAGCACTGTTTAGCTCAAAAGGGGATGTCTTTAGGTTGCTTTCTGCAACAAGGATCCTTTTTTGTGTGTGTGTGTGTGTGTGTGTGTGTGCGTGTGTGTGTGTGTGAAAGTCCTTCCAAAATTAAGGTTCCAGCTACCGGCATTCTCTAATAAAGTGGCTGTGATGTTGCCTTCTGAGGCACAAGTTCCCAGCTGATTCGCTTGTTTAATCTACAAAGATAAATGCCATGCCACACTAATGGAGAAAGACATTATTCATATTCGCAAGGCATTTTCCAGAGAGAAAGAACTTTTGAAAGGCTTTCAAGAGCCATATTGAATTTACTATATGTTTCTGTGGGTAGAAATCATAGCCAGAAATAGACATTCTCTGATTGACTGCCTATTTTCCATGAAGTATGACTGGTTTCATAGGACAAAAGAAGCTCAAGAGTCTGTTTTGAAATGTGCATCTTCCACAGTTAGAAATAAATTTCAAGGTTAATCATATTGATTTTTCATGAGAAATTGATAGAATAAAGCATCTTCTGGGTGGTTTCAGGGAAAGTTAATCTCATGATTGCCAAACTCTATGCACTTCAGCATTGTGTAAGCATTATTTAGAATAACTTAAAGGCCACTTCCAGCCAGATCAACAGAAGGTTCAGCAATTTAACTCCTAAGCTCCCGCAATCCTGCTTGTATTTCATAATCAGAGGACACACTCCAGTAACTGTGAGGAATTCCAATATTTTGTGAAAGTCCTTCCACAATTAAATAAACTCATCACAAGTTGGATTAAGAAAGAAAGTCTCTCGGCAGTGCTCACTGAAGAATCGAACTCTTTATGTTTTTCCTTGGATAAGGATGTCGTAGAATCTTCTTGTAAGACAATTTTGAGCAATATTTTAAAATGACAGAGCATTTAGTGTTTTCCTTGAGGAGGGAGACAATGTTATCCTCCTTCTTCAACCAACATTTTGGAAGTGCCCACAGTATTTTAAATAATGGAGGTAGAAAAAGGATGCATCCCCAAGCAGGAATTTCCATGAACACAGAATGGGTGATTAATAAAGTAGAAAGTCTTCATGGAAAAGGAGTCTAAACAGATTAAACTTTTAAGATAAAAATAGTCACGACTCATAATTTGTGAATGTCTGCTCTGAGTTAGACTTTGGGTATATCCTCTCCTCCGTTACCTGAAAAATCGTCCTGCAGTATTTGTTAGCATGTAAGTGCCATAGAGATGAAGAAAATTCAGAGGTGTGGCTTAAAAGCTTATAGTCAACTATGTAGCTTGTGTAAAGAAATTACTTTACACAAGTAATTATGGCCCCTGTAATAAGTAATGCTGGCCCCTGTAATAAGCAAATCCACAGGTTTCACTGGCCGAAGATCACAGAACATTATTTCTGACTTCTGTGTCTGCTCAGGGAGACTGGCTGCTTGGCCTGGGGGGCAGGAGGCCTCCACCCTGGTGGTCTGCGGAGAATCAAGTACATCTGAGCCTGAGGCGGGCTGGGGACTTTCTCTGTATCCTGGGTGAAGAAGAAATGGGCTGGGTCATTAGCTAGTCTCACCGCAGAGTCCTTCTCCCCCTTCTCCTAAATGAGACACCCAAAGCCCCATCCAGCCGCTGCACCCAGCTCAAAGTCCACACCCTCTGGGCACTGTGCGGTCCTCTTCATCAGCCCACGATGGCACTTCTTGTTCACCACACTGTCAATTAGACACATTTTCCATCTCTCAAAAGGCAGAGCGAGGTAGGTTAGGATGCTCCCATGGATAAAAAAGAATAAGATTGTGAACATGGACCCACAGCGATCAAAGCCCCACCAGGTGGGCAGCGTGAGGCTCTATGCTGTGGATTTGGCGGTTGGATTTGGGGGCCCCTTTGGTTGGGCCCTGTTTCCTGTGAGATTATTCCTTCTCCACCCCATGAGTCATTGATGAGCCTGCCTTCGGTGGGGTGGTGGAGATTGAACATCACTAATCAGTGAGTGACCACCAGCCCAACACAACCATGCACCCAGCATCCACCTCGAGAGACCGTTACAGCCATGTACAAACTCCCACCCCCGCCTTCAGCCACTATCCCGAGGTTCACAATCACCCAGTTCCTAAGAGCCCAGATCAGCTGGGCCTGTGTCTGCCTGAATATAAATGGAATCACGCATCGTATTTTGCTTGTGTCTGTTTTATTCTGCTCCATGTTTGGTCTGTGAGGTTGCAGCCCCACTGCTGTGTGCAGTTGTAGGCATCTTGTGTTCATGACTGCATGGTGTGCCATGGTGCGAAAATATTACAGTCTATTTAATTATCCATTCCACTGCTGAAGGACCTTCTAGTAGTTTCTAGTCGTGTTTTGTTGCTAGTGTGGATGCTGCATCTATAAGCATGTTTTTGGTAAACTTACTTGTACACCTTCGTGGGTAGGTAGGCGCGTGTTCAGCTTTGGTGGATATTGCTACACTTTTTCCCCCACGTGGTTTTAGTAATTCATACTCTACCAGTAGCATATGCGAGTCCTGATGGCTGCAAACCTAGCACGTCCTTGGAACGTGCCGCCTCTGCTTCCCTCACATCCTGTCCTGGGTGGTGGATGCGTGGCTATCGCATAGCGTTTCCACTGTGCAGTTTCTGATGTGGGGACCATGTTTCGGGATCCTGTGTCCTGTGCTGGGCTCCATAACCGCACTGAATTTGTTTCTCTACACATAAGAAGGAGCTTGTCCCCATACCGTGCATTTTCAACTTAGCAGTGGCTCTTCTGAAGACACATGGAAGCACCGTTTAGGTCAAAAGCGGATGTCTTTAGGTTGCTTTCTGCCACAAGGATACATTTTCTTCTTCAACTAGAAACTTTTCTGGGCTTTTAACATTTTTCTCAAAGCATTTCTTTTTTATTTCCGGTTTTATTTCCTATTATTTGAGTTCTAGAAGAAGACAATGTTTCCAAGCCTTTGAGGATCCAATTATTTCTGCTGGCAAAATGTCTAATATTTTCAAAGATAATTTTCCCTTGGTATAACTTAACACAGTAAGCGAAACACAATAGTCTCTGTCACTGGCCCCTCTGGTGGTTTTCTGAGAGTGGCACGTTGGGTAGAGGCATGGTCGCCTTCGCAGCCCTTTGGAGACAGCTTTAGTGAGTTTTCCGCGGTGCAGGTCTGGAGTCCGCATCGTTCTATGCCTCGTGTAATTTACACATCAACTCCAAGTAAGTAACTTGTATTATTATCATGTCAGCATTCAACTTCAATATGCTGATCTGTATTCATTAATTATAGCTGCTGTAAAAACCCCCAAATGGCAAGGGTTTCACACAAAAACAGTTACGGAAGAATGCAGTGACCCTGGGGAGCTCTTCCTGTTTGGCAGTGAAGGGTGGAGTCTCTGTGGTGCCCAGTCATTGGGGGGCGTGGACAGGGCCTTCCATCTTCTGCATGTGGGTTCTGGATCACGGTCAGCACCGGCATCCCTGTGGTGCCCAGTCATTGGGAGGGCGTGGAAGGGGCCTTCCATCTTCTGCATGTGGGTTCTGGATCATGGTCAGCACCGGCATCCCTGTGGTGCCCAGTCATTGGGAGAGCGTGGATGGGGCCTTCCATCTTCTGCCTGTGGGTTCTGGATCACGGTCAGCACCGGCATCCCTGTGGTGCCCAGTCATTGGGAGAGCACGGACGGGGCCTTCCATCTTCTGCCTGTGGGTTCTGGATCACGGTCAGCACCGGCATCCCTGTGGTGCCCAGTCATTGGGAGAGCATGGACGGGGCCTTCCATCTACTGCCTGTGTGTTCTGGATCACGGTCAGCACCGGCATCCCTGTGGTGCCCAGTCATTGGGAGAGCATGGACGGGGCCTTCCATCTTCTGCCTGTGGGTTCTGGATCACGGTCAGCACCGGCATCCCTGTGGTGCCCAGTCATTGGGACGGCGTGGAAGGGGCCTTCCATCTTCTGCATGTGGGTTCCTGGATCACGGTCAGCACCGGCATCCCTGTGGTGCCCAGTCATTGGGAGAGCGTGGAAGGGGCCTTCCATCTTGTGCCTGTGGGTTCTGGACCATGGTCAGCACCAGCATCCCTGCAGGTACAACACTGTGCAGGGGCGTTCAGAAGCCAGGTCTGGGAGTTGCATGGATTATTTCTACTCATATCCCATCGACTGGGACTCAACTCATGGCCATACCAGACTTTGAAGAGTGGGTGGAGGTTAGATGGAGATTATCTCTGTGATCAGGAGAAGAAGGAAGGTGATTTGAGGAACAGCCAGTTAGTCTCCGTCACACTTTTACTCAAAATAATTTCCACATAAAAGATTTTTCAGTGCGGAAACACACATACTGTGTTTTGAATACATGTGTGTGTAAGTCTGCCATGAACAGCTTTATTTTCCCTCTGAAGGATCACACACATGCATCTGGTTTGCCATTCCACACGGAGGCTGGAAGTTTGTTAACTTGCAGAATAAGAGCAATAACCAGCTCTTCAGTGCCTTTTGTAACATTTCCAGTGTTTCTTGTGGAATCTAAGTGTTGACATTTATGGGATTTGATTACTAATGTTGTCTCCAAAATAAACATCAAATGATGATAGTGATGACGAGGAAAAGAATGACAATGATCATTGAATTAGCCAACATTCTCTGCAAGCTTCCCATGTTCTAGGCACTTTACGCACATTTCCTCTCAATGCTAACTTATGACATAGATATTGATATTACCCCCGTGTTATGAATTTAGCATACTGAGTTTTAGACTGTCCGAATAACTTGTCCAGTGTCATTCAGTGGTGAAACCATAACCAATACATGAATACTAAGGTCCTTCCCCCTCACATACATGAATACTAAGGTCCTTCCCCTTCACATACATGAATACTAAGGCCCTTCACCCTCACATACATGAATACTAAGGTCCTTCCCCTTCATATACATGAATACTAAGGTCCTTCCACCTCACATACATGAATACTAAGGTCCTTCCTCCTCAGATACATGAATACTAAGGTCCTTCCACCTCACATACATGAATACTAAGGTCCTTCGCCCTCACATACATGAATACTAAGGTCCTTCCCCCTCACATACATGAATACTAAGGTCCTTCGCCCTCACATACATGAATACTAAGGTCCTTCCACCTCACATACATGAATACTAAGGTCCTTCCTCCTCAGATACATGAATACTAAGGTCCTTCCACCTCACATACATGAATACTAAGGTCCTTCCCCTTCACATACATGAATACTAAGGTCCTTCCCCTTCACATACATGAATACTAAGGTCCTTCGCCCTCACATACATGAATACTAAGGTCCTTCCCCCTGACATACATGAATACTAAGGTCCTTCCCCCTCACACACATGAATACTAAGGTCCTTCCCCTTCACATACATGAATACTAAGGTCCTTCTACATCACATACATGAATCCTAAGGTCCTTCCCCCTCACATACATGAATACTAAGGCCCTTCACCCTCACATACATGAATACTAAGGTCCTTCCCCTTCATATACATGAATACTAAGGTCTTTCCACCTCACATACATGAATACTAAGGTCCTTCCTCCTCAGATACATGAATACTAAGGTCCTTCCACCTCACATACATGAATACTAAGGTCCTTCCCCTTCACATACATGAATACTAAGGTCCTTCCCCTTCGCATACATGAATACTAAGGTCCTTCGCCCTCACATACATGAATACTCAGGTCCTTCCCCCTCACATACATGAATACTAAGGTCCTTCCCCCTCACACACATGAATACTAAGGTCCTTCCCCTTCACATACATGAATACTAAGGTCCTTCTACATCACATACATGAATCCTAAGGCCCTTCCCCCTCACATACATGAATACTAAGGTCCTTCCCCCTCACACACATGAATACTAAGGTCCTTCCCCTTCACATACATGAATACTAAGGTCCTTCCCCTTCACATACATGAATACTAAGGTCCTTCTACATCACATACATGAATCCTAAGGTCCTTCCCCCTCACATACATGAATACTAAGGTCCTTCCACCTCACATACATGAATACTAAGGTCCTTCCACCTCACATACATGAATACTACGGTCCTTCCCTTCACATACATGAATACTAAGGTCCTTCCCCCTCACATACATGAATAGTAAGGTCCTTCCACCTCACATACATGAAGACTAAGGTCCTTTCACCTCACATACATGAAGACTAAGGTCCTTCCACCTCACATACATGAAGACTAAGCTCCTTCCCCTTCATATACATGAATACTAAGGTCCTTCCACCTCACATACATGAATACTAAGGTCCTTCCCCTTCACACAGATGAATAGTAAGGTCCTTCCACTTCACAGTGTGCATTACTGATCAGATACGCCACTTCACGAGGCTCCAGGAGTTGATTCCCTCCTTTCTAGGCAAATATGTTGGGCCACCTTCAAGGATTTATGCACAAATAATAATTCCTGATTACTCATCCTGTAACCTGTAATGTGGGATTCTGGTAAAAGTGAATGGGAGACGGCAGCTTACGTCTGAAGCATCAAATGGCCTCTGCCTCCAGTCCTAGACTTTCTGGGGTCCCCTTCCCAGTCCTCTGTCTGAGATCAAGGAGCCCTTTTTGTTTTTACCAGTTAGTGTTTCTAGGTTTTAGGTTTCTCTCTACAGAGAAAAAACAAACTAAACTATAAAAACAAGAAGAAAAGGCAGATGTGTTGTCCCCTGGATCCGAGGCCTCTGTCCCGTCTGCTGTCACCCCTGCCCCTTCCACAGCGGCCTTCGGTGTGTTTCCTGTGTCACGTCCAGGTGTGTCTGTGGAACTGAGGTGGAGAAATAGGAATCATGTGTCTCCTCTATCTTGTCCAGAGCTGAAAGTTCTCTATGTTGTTTTATTTGCATTTCCCTACAAGGCTGATCAAATAAGAAAATTGTTGGAGCTTATTGCAAATTTACTGAAACCTGAAGAAGAAACAAATAAAACACATCAAGCAGAGACTATGGACACATACCCCAGGCAAGAGTGGTGGTGAAAGTTCTCAGCAGCCTGAACCGCACATGTGTGAACTGATTGGAAGAGGTGCTGGCCTTTGCCTGCCCGGGCTTGGGGAGCAGAAACAGCTCTGCTTCCCAGGAAATTCCAGTCTTTAAGGCTTCTTTTCACAGAATTAGGCTTTTCCATAGGAAAGTCTCTTGAATTTGACCCCATTTCTTCTTTTCCCCTTCTATTGCTATTACCTTCAAGTAAAACTTCCTCACTCGTATCTTATGTTGACTACCACTTGAATAGTTTTAAAGCTGTTTGTTTCCTTTCTAAGGATCTTTTCCTTTTCATCCCATTTTCTTACAGGCTGCTGGTGTTACATTTCTAAAGCACAGGCCTCCCTCTTATGTTCCTCTGCCAGCCTTTCCATTGCGTATGAGACACATCCCTAAGTTCACATGGAGATAACCAAGGCCCTTCGCCAACTGGACAGCACCCGGCGGCTCCTACCTGGCCACTGTGCTTAGCGGTCCTGGCTTTGCCACAGCCTCTGAACATTCGCAGAGCTCTGCCCTCGCTCCACAGCCGTCTCCCGCCTCTGAACATTTGCAGAGCTCTGCCCTCGCTCCACAGCCGTCTCCTGTGGATGGTCCCAGTTTCACCACAGCCTCTCAACATTTGCAGAGCTTTGCCCTCGCTCCACAGCCATCTCCTGTGGATGGTCCCAGTTTCACCAGAGCCTCTCAACATTTGCAGAGCTCTGCCCTCGCTCCACAGCCGTCTCCTGTGGGGTGTCCGAGCTTCGCCACAGCCTCTGAACATTCGCAGAGCTCTGCCCTTGCTCCACAGCCGTCTCCCACCTCTGAACATTTGCAGAGCTCTGCCCTCGCTCCACAGCCGTCTCCTGTGGGGTGTCCCAGCTTCGCCACAGCCTCTGAACAGTCGCAGAGCTCTGCCCTCACTCCACAGCCGTCTCCCACCTCTGAACATTCGCAGAGCTCTGCCCTCGCTCCCAACCATCTCCTGCGTGTTGTCCTTTCAGGGTGCTGCACCCACAGACGCTTAATCATTCTTCAAGACACAGGTCCGATGTTGAAGTTGTGTTTCCTAACTTGCCTACACTGCTCTCTCTTCTTGGAGCGCTATCACCTCCTCTGCTAATATTTCACTCCCTGGTTCATATTTTATGCAGTTTTCACAATACTATCACTTTCCAGTAGATCGCGAGCCCTGGGGTGCAGAGGCTGTTGGGTCATCCTCATCTCCCTAGTGCTGAGCTTGGTTTCCGACTTGCTGTGGGCCCTCAGGAATGTCTGTGGAAATAAACTGACTTGAATTAATTAAATAAAGCAATTCAGCTTATGAGAAGGCAGAGTGTTAAGATGTGGGGTCACAGCAAACGAAGGGCACGGCAGAGGCACAGCAACTCCCCTGGTGACCCAGTGAAGGTGAGGACCCCAGGAGGAACTGAAATACCAGACCCAGTGTAGGCGAGGAGGCCGGGAGGAAATGAAACACCAGACCCAGTGCAGGCGAGGAGCCCGGGAGGAACTGAAACACCAGACGCAGTGCAGGCGAGGACCCCGGGAGGAAATGAAACACCAGACCCATTGCAGGCGAGGAGGCCGGGAGGAAATGAAACACCAGACCCAGTGCAGGCGAGGAGGCCGGGAGGAAATGAAACACCAGACCCAGTGCAGGCGAGGAGGCCGGGAGGATCTGAAACACCAGACGCAGTGCAGGCGAGGAGGCCGGGAGGAAATGAAAGACCAGACCCAGTGCAGGCGAGGAGGCCGGGAGGAAATGAAACACCAGACCCATTGCAGGCGAGGAGGCCGGGAGGAAATGAAACACCAGACCCAGTGCAGGCGAGGAGGCAGGGAGGAAATGAAACACCAGACCCAGTGCAGGCGAGGAGGCCGGGAGGAAATGAAACACCAGACCCAGTGCAGGCGAGGAGGCAGGGAGGAAATGAAACACCAGACCCAGTGCAGGCGAGGAGGCCGGGAGGATCTGAAACACCAGACGCAGTGCAGGCGAGGAGGCCGGGAGGAAATGAAAGACCAGACCCAGTGCAGGCGAGGAGGCTGGGAGGAAATGAAACACCAGCTTTGTGAAATTTCTGGATTTGGTGAGAAGCCTCTGGTGTCTGGTTAGTCTTTAAACAAGTGCTGACTTCGGCTTTGCCTGCACTGGTCAGTTAGACTTTCTTGGTTATGTGGCTTACAACCGGGAAGTGGCCTAGGGTTTCTTGAAGTTGACTCATATGTACAGCAAATTCAATAATCCATTTTCTGAAATTAAATGTCTGTCCAGTTTAGACTCAATTTAAGGAAAGGAATAGATTTGGCAATACACGTAGGTACGTTGATCATATGCGATGTGAACTTGGGGATCAGCTTGCTGCTTAGAGATTTCCTTAGTGATTCCTCATCGATAAAATGAACTGTTACATTTAAGATGCTGATAAAGTAAATATTTTTTTGAACAAGGCAGACACAGATGCAATTACACAGAAACATTGCCATAAATGTGCATGACTGAAGGGGTTAGAGGAGTTATCTGTATGGGAGAAGGCAGTCTGGATGCCAAAAATCCCAGCAGGCTGTGGAAGTAGGAGGGAAACTCATGAGGAGTTAGCAAGGGAAGCCTCAGAGACAAGAGGCTGTTTGAAGTTGGTCATCGAGAACAGATAGCAATTTGACTACAATGAAATAAGAAACTGTAGATATTGTTTTAGCACTTGGTTTCATGGGCACATGACAGCTTTTTATTTTTTCTGATAAATGTGCAGGTTTCCTGTATATTTTTAATGTCTCCAGTTCTTTTACTTCCTTTAGCAAATGACATTTTACCTTGTATCTTAGTCCATTAAGGCTGCTACAGCAGAATCACACAGCCTGGGTGGATTCTAAACCACAGAGACCTGTCTCACAGCTCCGGAGGCTGGAAGTCTGAGACCAAGGTGCTTGCCGATGCGGTGTCTGCAGGGCCCTCTTCCCTTCCAGAAGACACCATCTGGCTGTGTCTTCACCTGGGGAAAGGGGCAGGGCAGCTCTCAGGGCCTCTTCTATGGGAGAACTCATCCTATTCAGGAGGGTTTCACCCTCATGCCTTCCCAAAGACCAACTGATTTCAGTTTTCCCAAATGATTTCAACGTTTCAGATTTGAGGGGACAGACATTCAGTCTACTGCACCTTGCATTTGGGGACTCTGTGTCCATAAAGACTCCAAATTGTCCAAACTGAATTTAACAATCAGGTAATGATCATCAGAATAACTCCAGCTAGTTCTGACCCTGAAGGGAAGAGATATTATTTGTTCAAAGTCACATTTCTTTACTCTCCTTTCCTAACGTAATCTACTATTTAAACAGAATTATAACATTACATATTAAGTCTATCCTAGTGGGAGGATAATGACACTTATTGAGGTGTGGCCATTACATTTTAAAATACTTATCACTTTATAAGCTTACATTGAAAAGACAAGTAAGTATTTTTTTTCAGGTGTACTGATGAATTAAAAAACAGTGACAAAAAGCAAATATCTGCTGTGCATCAACCATGGGACATTGTTTTAGGGCCCTAGAGAGGATGGGGGTGCAAACAGGATCAGGGCATCATCCTGACCAGGCAAAGAGCTCAGCATCAATGGGGCAAATATCTATCTACAAGAGTTCTTGCGATCTACGGAAAATGGCAGTAAGGATGTGATTAGCAAAACCAAAGTACCAAGGAAGAAGAATAAAGGGAGGAACTCAGTATAAGCAGATACGCCACATGGAGAATGAGCCATCTGACCTGACATTTCAGGAGGTGACATCACCAGGTGGAAAAGAAAGATGTATGTCCCTAGATGCAAAAGCTCGAGAGAGCCTTGCTGGTGACTAAGACCCTGGGTGCCGAGGCTTGAGAAGAGCAGTGTCTGGATCTGGTCTGAGAATTGCAAACAGTGTGCTGTGGCCTACAGATGAGGTCCCGAAGCTTTGATCTCTGTGAATTCCTTTTTATCCCATTCTACTTGGAACAACAATACAATATCAATCTTCCTCCGCTGCCCCTGGGTGTGCTTCTCCCAGCCAACAACCTTCCAGAGATTGCCACCAATTACAGGAAAAAAATCCGTACTACTCCAGCAGGAATTTAAAGCCTCCTTCTTTCTCTGTCCCCCACCTCTGTGGTCTGCCTTCCACTCCTCTCCAGTAGAGGTGTGCTGGATCCACACACGCCTCCCTTATGCCTATTACAACATTGCTCCTGCCGGGAAACGTTTCCCAAATTCAACCCCATTAAAGGGAGGAGAGGCAGGAGGCTGAGGACTCTACATTTATCCAACAAAGAGAAAATGGATCTCTTAATTAGACAGTGGCAGTTGGCAAGGATTGGCACCTGTTTATTTTTGACCAAGAAGAATCAATCATAGGCTCTAGAGCAGCAGGAGACTTCTGAGGTGATCTCATTGAGGGACTATGTGGCATTTGAATCTTCCTTATAAAAGAGTAAAGAGAACACTGCTCTACTATAATTTTAACCCCCTTTGAGGGAATTTGTTGCCTTGCAAGGCAATGTATCTACTTGCTATATAGTTTTCTAATGCAAATCAATAAAGTGACTCCACTATAAACATTTGCAAAGTTTGTATAGTCTCATAATAGTAAAATAAAATAGTAAAATTTACATGATTTATTTATTTCTGAATTTCTGATCACATAACTGTATCTTAAAACAGGGCCAGCTTAGCACTATCATACATCAATGAATTTCAATGTAGGCAAATTGCCGTAAATAGAATTGACATATTTGAAGTGGACAGATTAACGTTGGAGCAGGACTATGACATTTTCTGTCTTATGAGGTAGTCAGCTCTTTTGACTATTGTTTGAATCAGTGATTTAGAAAGGATTTCACCATTTCCTGTGACTTACTTTAATAATATGCGCTATGTGCATTCATTCTAATTAATGTAGATAATTAATAATTAATTATACTAATTACTAATTAATAATCCTTTCTTATTCAGAAGTTCATTTCCAGAAGGACCTAGTGGGCATTGAAAGTGGGCCAGATGAGTATTAAACTTGACCCACCCATGCTTTGGAGACTTTGATAAGTCTGTGCTTTAATTAAATGGTAAAGTTGGGGTTATGAAGCTCAGGTAATTAAAAATGTATTTTTACTTAAATTGGGATATATGGGAATTTAATGATCTATACAGGAAATTATGGAGTATACATAATATTTGGAACGTGATTCAAAATGCTTTAGCTCATAAAGTACTAATATGATTTCATGATAATCTCGAATATAGACTAGATAAATTCCTGTTTGAGATAAGATACAGGACAGTGCATTCTTAAGCAGGTCCACACTAGTTAGAAAGAATATGGCTGAAGAAATACATTTTCTATATGGCTGTTATAGGAAAGATTCTCCTATTCCTATTAAGAACATAGCAAAATTAACTCCAGATACATGGGCTCTGTTAATTAAAATTGATTAGTTATGGAAATGCAGCTTAACTAATACTGTTTAGTTAAAATCTGCTCCCGGGAACCTTCCTGCAATTCTTATCTCCTGCTCTTAGAGCCCCTCAGACCTCTGGGCCGATCCCCTCTGCACCAGCCCTGCCGTGAGGGCGGGAGAAGCAAAGGACCCCCAGCTCTCAGATCCACCCATCCTGCACTTAGAGCACTCCACCAACCATTTTCTCTGATTAGAACATGTTTTTGTCTTGCCCTCCATCCAGAGGTGCCCTCAGCTCCTGAGAGGGGGTTCCTGGCCAACAGCTAAGAGGGAAGGAGCTCTGCTGGCCTGGGTCCTCTGCCGGCTTCTGCTGCAATGCCAGTGACATGCAGAGGTCACCTGCGCCAGACACACCCCAGGTAACTCCTCAGGTTACTCCCCAGGAGCTACAGCATGTGCCAGCGCAGGAGCAGGCAGAGTCTGTGGCATTATACCCAGCTGGTGGGTGTAGATGATAGATGAGACAGACCAGTCACCACAGCCCACAGATGTAGAGAGACAGACCAGTCAGCCCCCATGCCGGCATATGTGGACTGGACAGACATCACCTCTGGCCAGCACATGCAGAAGAGACAGGTCGTAACCCCCAGCCGGCAGGTGCAGAAGGGACAGGTCATAATCCCAGCCAGCAGGTGCAGAAAGGATAGGCATCACCCCCGACCTGGCAGGTACAGAAGGGACAGGTCATAATCCCCAGCCAGCAGGTGCAGAAGGGACAGGTCATAATCCTTGTCTGGCAGGTACAGAAAGGACAGGTCATAATCCCTGGCTGGCAGGTGCAGAAGGGACAGGCGTCACCCCCACCAGCAGGTGCAGAGGTGCCGTTGCAGCAGTTGGATGTGAGGCCAAGAAGCAGAAGCTAAGGGAGGGGGTCTGGGGCATCCCTGGAGCTCAGAAGCCAAGGCCCGTGCCTGCCCCAGGGCTGGTGCCATACATAGTTCCAGGTACTGGGGACGGAGGGTAGCCGATGGGGCCCTGAGCAGGACGTGCCTCTTCTGGACTTGACCACAGAACCCAAGCATGGTAAGTGTGCCTTATGGATGCCATCAGGTTGGCGCAATTCCACAGGAAATGGACCATCAGCCCTTCCTTGGCCCTTGGACTCTCCTTCCCGCCCCCACTGTGGGGGAACACTGCCTGTTCCCTGTGCTCCTGGGGGAAGGGTCTGGGCTCTGGGGTCAACCCTGCTCATGCCAGGCCTGGGTGGAGGCAGCTCCGCGGTGTGCTCTCTTAGTGCTCCCCCCTGTGCTACCTCGCCTGTGCTTCCCCTGTTCCTCTCATGCTCTCCCCAGTGCTCCCTTTGTGTTTCCTCTATGCCCCCTTCTATGCTCCCTCCCATGCTCCCCTCCATTCTCTCCTCTTGTGCTCCCTTTTGTGCTTCCCTCCCCTTCTCGCTCCATGTTCCCCACCCTCCACACGTGGCTCCCTCTTTGCTCTGCAATCTGAGCTGTGAGGGCCCAGGTGCTGCTCAGCTGCCAGGCCCGTGGCCCTCCCATCCTTTTCCTAACCCTCCTCTACTCCTTCCTGGGAGCCCCCACACCAGTGCTGCCAGGGAGGCCTAGACAGCCATGCCCGCTGTCGCACTTTCATAGTGGGCCAGAAACACTCACAAAAATTTATACTTCCACCTTCCTGTGCTTCCTTGTTTTAATGAGAATGACGCACCATCATTCAAGGTTTAGTAAGCAGCGAAATACGTCTCAGCTGTGCGAGGCTCATGTAAATCACCTTTAAGAAGTGAATGAAAGTGTTACATGTGCATGACAACTAAAGCTTTGTGAGACAGCCAGAGCCTGTTTCCCCCATAAAGATGTTTACACCTGACATGTGTGTGAGAATAGTGCCAGGAAGTTGAGCTCCCTGCTGAGGGTGCGAAGGACAGGAAAAACAGAAACAGAGAAAAAGAAAAGGGGAGTCTGTGTGAGAGAGAATAGACTGAGGGCAGAAACCAAATCAGCTGCCTGGTATAAAAATGTGCTTTGAGATAAGATAAATTATGGGATTTCATGTTAGTCTATATTAGCGTACATGAGGGATAAAATCTACTTCGTTATTAACTGATTTCGTTTAGTTTGCCTTAATTAGAAAAACTATTACAAATCACTATAAATGCAGAATTAACAGGTTGACGAGTGGCAACAAAATAATGAGTCCCATGGTGATAATTATGTAAAATATGTAAAATCAATTTTCTAATCATTGATTTACATAAAATAAAAACGTTAATTTGACTTTGGGTTGCCTGAAGATATTGGCAGCCACCTGAATCTAAATCTTTTCAAACATCTCCAAGATAACTATGCAGATGAGCATGAAGAACAACTTTACGTAGAACTCTTCCCTTGGCAAGCCTGGGAGAGAGAGGTGGTGTGTTTCAATCACCTGCAGGTGAAATAATCAACATACAACAGCAGATCGACTACCTTTGATCCCAAAGGTAACACAGTGGTGGACACTGAGGAAAGTCCAGGCACATGGACAGGAGGGACATGGAGAAAAGGAGCAGGAGCTGCCGTTAAGCAAAACCCACTTTGTGGTGGTAAAACTGCAGAGAAGCCTCCCAGGGGCTGGCAGCTCCAGGGAAGGGAGACATGCATCTCCAGGACCCACGTGGCATGCCCAGAGCTGCTTTGCCTCTGAAGAAAAGGGTAAATCAGAAGGAAGAAGGACCCTTAGGAAGCAGAGGAGTGAAGAAATAAAGAGAAGCAAGAGAGGAAAATGTGGGGTTCTGCAAGACCAAAGAGGAGCAGAAACCAGATGACACACCACTTTCCCCCAGGACAGCAGCGAGAAACAGAATGCTGCTGCACTGACAGAAGAGAGAGCTCTTGAACAAGGAATCCTATCCGCTGCCTCTAACGGTCAGAAGAAATAAGTAAACAAAAGCAGCCCAGCGTTATAAAAAGCTATTAGTAGAAGAAAACACAAAATGAGAATCAAGCCATTTCAGGTGATAAAAATGCACTGCCAAAAAACAACCGTGACAGAGAAGGGAACTGAGCACAATACTGCACCTTAAATTAAATATCCTTACCAAGCAGTTGGTTGAACAAGGAAAAGGACTTTTTAGTAGGAAATATAAAAATGACCAAAACCAAGAATGGTTGGATTGAGTGACAATTTGAGACATTCAAGAAAGGCAAGAAAACAACAAAAATTAAAATTAAAATGATTTATGAGAGTTCTCCAGTGAAACAGAATCCCTGGAAGGAAGAGTGAGCTCACGTAATTATGGGGCTGGCAAGTCCACAGTTTGCAGGTTGGGCTGGTGGCCAGAGACCCAGGAGGGCCAACGCTCCAGCTGGAGTCTGAAGCAGGTGGGCTGCAGAGTTCTCTCAGAGCCAGGGAGTGGGGGTCTTTAGGCCTTTAGGGGTGCAAGGCCTGGTGCAACCCCCATGTTATGGAATCTGCTTTTTACTTAAAGTCCACCAAAGTAAATTAATCTCAGGCACTGACACCCTCATGGAAACACCCAGAATAATGTTTGACCAAAAACCTGGGCACCCCATAGCCCAGGCAAGTTGACACATAAAATGAACTATCAAAATGAGTTATATTAAAAAAAGGGTCAGAGTGACATTGGTGACATGCAAGAGAGCCAACAAAGAGCCAGCATATGTCTAACTGGAGTCCTGAACAAACCTAGGGCCAGAGCTAGAGAAACCAGAGTTAGATAACTTTTCCAGAAACAAAAGAAGCATTGACGCTACATGTCAGAAGGGCCTACTGAGACCTGCAGGAACTGGCCTGGCATATTTAACCAAGACATAGCCAGATAAAACTATTGAACTTTAAAGATAATGAAACACAATCCTAAGGGCCTGAAGATAAAATATCACATTCCTCATCCAGGCCAAAGAACAAAGTAGGCATCTGACTTCTCAAGAGTGACCTGCAGAGTGAGGCCACAGTGGGGCTGCATCCCAGAAACCCCCTAATGGAGGTGTGAGCACAGGATCCTATGCCCAGCCTCTTGTCTTCTGCCCAATTTTGTAGTTGTTTACATCAGAACGTTAAGCCTGCCTCAGTTACTTCATCATGGCTGGAAAGATAATCAACATCTACTGCTTTTTTTAAATTAGAAAAACACAAAACAATGTTTTAGCATCTTCTTGTAAAATAATTTTTTTAGTGAAATTTTAATTGAACAAATGAATAAATGAACAATCAGGCCCTTCCTTTTTTTTTTTTTTTTGTTTGTGTTTTGAGACACAGTCTTGCTCTGTCACCCAGCTAGAGTGCAGTGGCATGATCTCAGCTCATTGCAACCTCTGCTTCCCCAGGTTCAAGCGATTCTCCTGCTTCAGCCTCCTGAGTAGTTGGGATTACAGATGCCCGCCACCGCACCCAGGTAATTTTTGCATTTTTAGTAGAGATGGGGTTTCACCATCTTGGCCAGACTGGTCTCGAACTCCTGACCTCATGATCCACCTGCCTCGGTGTGAGCCACCGCACCTGGCCAGGCCCTTCCTTTTATAATAATATATACAACTCATGGGTTTTAAACCTTTCACTTTACTCTAGTCACAGATGGACTCTGAGAGAGAAAATAGCACCCCTGTCCAAACATCACATGCCTGGCGGAGGAACGCAGCCTGGCCTGTGCAGCCGAATGTTGGAGAGTGCACCTTCCTCTCTTATTTTGTTTTATTTCCAGGGAAAGGGAAAGGAAGACATGCAGGTAATTTATCAACTAAATTACAGGCTGACTGATAATAAAGCTCCCCGCCCCACAAAAAAAGGAAATGATTGTGGGGTTTTAGTGGGTTTTCAATGTTCTTTCTTTACTCTCCACCATGAAAATCTATCATTAAAATACATTATTTAGTTTTTGCTTTAAAAGTTTAGATAATTCTACCAGTGAAAATGAACTTTCTAAAAATTCTACATAATTTGTCACTGGGTAGAAGTCCACAAATCTACCAACTTCCCACTGATTTTAGTCTTTATTGTATGATTTCCTTGTGCTGCCTACCAGAATTTCTTGCAGCCAGTGGGTAACTCAAGTCATACAATGTTAGAATAATAAAGGATTTTAGACTTTTTCCAAAATCTTCAGTTGTATATTTTCATCACCAAATAAAGTGTAGTATCCAAAGCAAAATTAAAGTAACATATTCCTTATCTTCTATCTAGAGCCAATACATATGGACTTCATTTATTGGATCATTGAATATGTTTTCTTTAAATATCAAGAAGCAATAACATCACAACTATTAACCTACCTATATGGTTTACATTCTAAATGAAATGTCAGGTTATGTATGTGAATAGAGACATATGAGGATCAATATTCTCCCATTTAGACTTTCAATCATGAATTGCAAAAGCATTTCTACTATGAATCATAGAAATATTTATTGCATGATAATAAAAGATTTGTATCTAAATACAATTTCATCAGAAAAGCAATGTAAAGATATTTTTGACTCAAGTTTTCATTTTAGGCTTTAATGAAATGCATGTATCAAGATATTATACATTTTATATAAACACTTTGATGATGATATTTGGCTTTCAAAGAAAGGTACTTGTGGACACATGAACAAAGTTCAACCAGTAATTTAATATGAAAACAGGAATGTTAGTTATTATGTAATTAAATACCATTATAAAGAATTTTAGTGTGTCAAACAAAATATTAAAAGTGCTGCTAGAATCTATTATAAAATTTTAAGAATTCAGATGTTTTGGATAATTCTATTTGTGTATTAAAATTGTTTCTATAATTCTTATTAATGTTCCAACACTAATCTGCTTCAAGAAACACCCCTTTGCTTTCCTTTTTAGTCTCATTGAAGTCCTTGGGTCACTTTACCCCTGCCCTTGGGTTGATGGACGATCAGATGTCTTCCTTCTCATGCTGGCTGAGACATCAAACACCAGAGTGGACTTACTTGGCTCCAGTGCTGGTGATGGGCACTTCTGGGTGAATGGAATCTGGGGTGTACTAGCAAATTTGCTGGTTCTTAGTGCAGGATCATTTGAAAATTTATTATTCTGCCAAATTGATCAAATCACTTTGAACAATTTATGCATGTACTTCATTACACAATAGTTTCCATTTCTGCACATTCTAACACCTATTAATTTTTGCAAATACTATAGCCATAATATAACATCACATTGTTATTTTTGATTTATGTTTAACTGAATTCAGGTAATTTTGTACTGGTGTTCAGAAGATTGACTTTAGGTTTTCTTACTTGCAAATTACCTTTTCATGTGTGTTGCCCATGTTTTAATGGGTTGACCTTTTTTATTGATGTTACTATGGACTGAACTGCATCCCTGCGAGATTCATATGTTAAAGCTCGAGCTCCCAGTACCTCACAATGGGACTGTATTTGGAGATAGGGCCTTTAAACAGGTAACTAAGTGAAAATGAGGTCATAAGGGTGGGCCCTGGTCCAATGTGGTTGGTGTCCTTATAAGAAGAGGAAATGAGGACACAGACACACACACAGGAATGACTGCATGAGACACAGGAAGAGGCCCCATCTACAAGCCAAGGAGAGCCTCAGGAGGGTCCAGGAATGACTAAATTGTCATCTCAGACTTGTAGCTTCCAGCACTGTGAGAAAATAAGTTTCTGTTTTTCCATTAAAAATTCTGATTATTATTGTTGAAAATGAGCACAATGGCTTTTTAAAAAAAAAATGTTGGTATTCTATCTGACCATCTGAGTGAAAGCTCTTATTAGTGTTAGAGTTTTTTTCAGATTTCTTTGAATTTTCTGTATAAAAATATTGTCAGTAATACAAAATATATTATCTTTTCCCATACAGTTCTGAATTCTCTGTTATTTTTTATCTTAATGTGGCTAATAGAAAATAAAGTGCAATGCTTTACAAGTGAGGGGACACCTTCCTCCTTGTCTGATTACTAAGCTTAGTAGAATGTTAGCATGATGTTTGTTTCAAAAATTTAGAAGATAATCTTTATCTAATTAGTGTTTCTGAAATGTAATGTTTTTCTCACTTTAAATTTTCTAGTACTATCTATTACATAGGTATGAGTATTGTATATTAAACTGATCTTATGTTACATTAAAAAAATCATACAATATTTTCAATAATTTGCTGGCTTTGATTATCTAAAATGATTGTCTCTCAATTCAGGTTTTCTAGTTCCTCCATAATGGTTTCTCCAGTATCACATTCTGAATGAAAACATATCTAGTGGTTTCCCATTAAATATGATGCTGGCTTTAGGAGAAATATAATTATGTTAAACATATTTGCATATATTACATTACATATATTTATGTATTTATATTTACTATATATAGTTTTACATATTTATAGATAACTATAGAACTATATATAGTTGTACATACTTATATCTGCATATATAATACATGTGAATTGATAAATACTTGCTTAACCTACTAAAATATATAAAACATTTACATATATCAAGAAAAAGATATCTATAATACAATGAAATATAAAACATTATTATATTTTAATGTGTTAAAGAAATATCCATCAATTTATATTTTATAGAATGTTTGTATTAGAATGGGAGTTAGATTTTGCCAAAAACATTTTTAATGTCTATAAATCTGAGATGGGAAACCAGCAGGACTTGTTTTCTGAGCAGCGGTCAGGACTGCAGCATGACCCTGCCGGCCAGAGCAGGATGGGGTGGAAATGGTGCAGTGAAACTGCCAAGCCAGCAGGTGGAGATGGCAGCAGCCTTAACTTCCCTCAGTACTCATTTGCATAAAGACCCCTCCACTGGTGCCATGACAGTTTACAAATGCCATGGCAACAACATGGAAGTTACCTTACATAGTTCTGGAAACTCCCTGCTCCTTTTCTAGATATTTTTTCAAAACAGCTGGCTCAGAGCTCACAAGTGCAAACTCTGGGTGTGCTGTCCATGGGGTATCCCTGCTCTGCAAGGGGCAGCACCAGTTCAGTAAAAGTTGCTTTCTGTCACCCCCAGCTCACCCTTGAATTCTTTCCTGGGTGAAGCAAGAACCCTCCTGGGATAAGTCCCAATTCTACGGCTTGCCTGATGTGTTAGTCCATTCTCACATTGCTATAAAGAAATACCAGAGACTGGGTAATTTATAAAGAGAAGAGGTCTAACTGGCTCATAGCTTTGCAGGCTGTACAGGAAGCATGGCAGCATCTGCTTCTGGGGAGGCCTCAAGGAGCTTTGACTCATGGTGGAAGGTGACACGGGAAGAGATGTCTTACATGGCAGGAGCAGGACCAAGAGACGGGGGAGGTGCCACACACTTTTAAACAACCAGACCTCGCAATAACTTACTATCATGAGAGCATCACCAAGAGGATTGTGTTAAACCACTCATGAAGGATTTACCCTCATGATCCAATCACTTCCCACCAGACTCCACCTCCAACCCTGAGGATTACAATTCATGTGAGATTTGGGTGGGGACACAGATCCAAACCATATATTCCACCCCGGGCCCCCCCCCAGTGTAATGTCCCTCTCACATTGGAAAATCCAATCATGCCCTCACAACAGTCCTCCTAATTCATTGCAGCATTAACTCAAAATTCAAACTTGAAAGTCACACCTGAGACAAGGCAAGTTCCTTCTATCTATGAGCCTATAAAATAAAAAACAAGTTAGTTACTTCCAAGATACAGTGGAGGTATAGGCTTTGGGTGAATACTCCCATCCCAAAAGGAAGAAATTGACAAAAAGAAAGGTGCTACAGGCTCCACACAAGTCCAAAATTAAGCAGGGCCGTCATTAAATTTTAAAGCTCTAAAATAATCTTTGACTCCATGTTTCACATCAAGAGGATTCTTGTGCAAGGGGTGGGCTCCCAAAGCCTTGGGCAGCTCCAGCCCTGTGACTTTGCAGGGGTCAGCCCCACAGCTACTCTCACCGGCTGACATTGAATACTTGTGGCTTTTCCAGGTGCAGGGTGCCAGCTGCTGGTGGCTCTACCATTCTGGGGTCTGGAGGATGGTTGCCTTCTGGAGGATGGGCAGTGCCCCATTGGGGATGCTGTGTGGGGGCTTCAACTCCACATTCCCCTCCACACAGCCCTAGTAGGGGTTCTCCATGAAGGCTCTGCCCCGTAGCAGATTTCTGCCTGGATGTCCAGGCTTTTCCACATATCCTCTGAAGTCTAGGTGGAGGCTTCCAAGTGTCAATTCTTTCACTCTGTGTACCTGCAAGCTTAACACCATGGGGAAGGCATCACAGCTTATGGGGTGGAAGCCATCACCCTCTGAAGCAGTGGCCCAAGCTGTACATTGGCCTGCTTGAGCCATAGCTGGAGTTGGAGTGGCTGGGATGTAGGGAGCAGTGTCCCTAGACTGTGCAGGGTTGGGGAGGGCCTTGGCCTGGCCCATGAAACCATTCTTCCCTCCTAGGCCTCTGCACTGTAATAGGACAGGCTGCCACAGAGGTCACTGAAATGTCTCCAAGGCCCTTTCCCCATTGTCTTGTCTATCAGCATTTTCCTTCCTTTTAGTGACTCAAATTTCTGCAGCTTGCTTGAATTCCTCCCCTGAAAATGGGTTTTTCTTTTCTACTACATGGGCAGGCTGCAAATTTTCCAAACTTGTATGCTCTGCTTCCCTTTTAAATATAAGTTCCAGTTTCAGGTCATTTCTTTGCTCACACATACAAGCTAAGCTATTAGAAGCAGCCAGGTCACATTGTGAATGCTTTGCTGTTTAGAAATTTATTCTGCCAGATACCCTAAATCATCGCTCTCAAGTTCAAAGTTTCACAGATTTCCTAGATCAGGGGCACAATGCCTCCAAGTCCTTTGCAAAAGCATAACAAAAGTGACTTTGACTTCAGTTCCCAATAAATTCCTCATTTCCATCTGACAGCTCCTCTGCCTGGTCCATATTACTATCAGAACTTTGGACACAACAATTTAACAAGTCTCTAGGAAGCACCAAACTTTCCCTCATCTTTATGTCTTCTTCTGAGCCCTCCACACTCTTCCAACCTCTGCCTGCTACCCAGTTCCAAAGCCACTTCTCCATTTTCAGGTATCTTTATACAATGTCCCACACCTCAGTGCCAATTTTCTGTATTAGTCCGTTCTCACATTGCAATAAAGAAATACCTGAGATTGGGTAATTTATAAAGAAAAGTTTAATTGCTTTACTGTTCCACAGGCTGTACAAGAAGCACGTTAGTGTCTGGTTCTGAGGAGGCCTCAGGGAGCTTTTACTCATGGCAGAAGGCAAAGTGAAAGTAGGTGTCTTCCATGGCAGGAGCAGGACTCACAGAGAGAGGGAGGAGATGCCACACACTTTCAAACAACCAGACCTCGTAAGATCTCCCTCACTTTCATCATGAGAGCATCATCACCAAGGGAATGGTGCCAAACCATTCATGAAGGATCCACCCCCACAATCCAATCACCTCCCACCAGACTCCACCTTCAACACTGAGGATCACAATTCAACGTGAGATTTGGGTGGGGACACAGATCCAAACCATATCACCTGCCCTGCATCAAATCGAATGCTACTAATTTTTCTCTTTATAGGGATTTCTATGTCATGTTGCTGACTTCCTTCATATTGGACTGACCCTGAGTTCATGAAATAGACCCCAGGTAGCCACTCTTTGCTAAATAGTTAATATTTTTGCATCAACATTTATCACTGATAGTTTATGTTTTTTTCTTGGTACTATATTAGGTTTAAGTACAAATGATATTCTTGTTTTATGACTAGAATTTGGAGTTTTCTTTCACTTTCTATTATTTGAGGTAATTTGTGTAATATTTAGAATATCCTATGTTTAATATGTGTTAAAATTATTTCATATATTCTTATGAGCAGGTGATTTTTTGGTGATGTAATTCCCTATTTCTTCTATTAAGATTAATTGATTTAAACTTTATATTCGATCTGAAGCTAACTTTATAAACTGTATTTCCTCCATTTCATCTATGTTTTCAAATTTATTTTTATAGGATTGATAAATTATAGTAACTTCTGACTTTTAAAAGTTTTGTTTCATTGTTATTTTGCTCTTTCGATTTCTTTATTGCATGTATTTAGGGTACACAACATGGTGCTTTGATACACATGAACATAGTGTTGTGATGTGACTACTACAGCCAAGCAAGCTAACATGTCTGTCATCTCAAATAGTTATCCTTTTTTTCTGTTAGGTGCATCTAAAATCTACTCTCTTAGCAAATTTCCAGTATACAATACAGTATTATTAACTATAGTCCTCAAGCTGCCTGTTCCATTTTTAGCTTTATTCATCCTGCATGACTGCAACTTCCTACCCTTTCACCAACTTCTCCCATCCCCCTTCCCTGCCTCTGGAAACCACCACTCTACTCTCTGCTTCTGTGCATCCAAGTTAAAAATATTAAGGTTCCATCTATAAGAGATATCTTGTCTTGTATATTTGTCATATTTATCTTTTTTGCTTGGTTAAATTATCTAGTTATTTGTCTACTTTGGTAAGTTTTTCAAAGAACCAGGATTTACATTACTGATTATATCTACCATTTTATTACTCTCTATCTTTTGGTTGCAAATATTTATGTATGTTTTTTATTTCCTGTACTTCCTATTTGTTGACTTCATTGCTCTCTTTAGCCATTTCAATTGGTAATAACATTTATTCTCATGCTTTAGTTTTTATTGATCTGAGTGTTGAGGGATCTGATTTCTCTTCTGATCCTGCCAAGATTTGAAATGCCTAATAGTGTTTTAACTTTTCGTTTTGAAATTACACTTCTCAGAAAAATTGCAAAAATAATACAGATTTTTTTTTGTAACACTCTTCATGAGCTTCCTCCAATCCTAACCTCTTGCATGAACTTGGAACTTTTTTTTTTTTTTTGAGATGGAGTCTCACTGTGTCGCCCAGGCTGGAGTGCAGTGGCATGATCTCGGCTCACTGCTACCTCCCCCTCCTGGGTTCGAGTGATTCTCCTGCCTTAGCCTCTCAAGTAGCTGGGACTACAGGCATGCACCACCATGCATGGCTAATTTTTGTATTTTTAGTAGGGACGGGGTTTCACCATGCTGACCAGGCTGGTCTCGAACTCCTGACCTTGTGATCTCCCTGCCTCGGCCTCCCAAAGTGCTGGGGTTACAGGCATGAGCCACGGCACCTGGCTGGGACATTTTATAAAGCCGTGATGTTAGCATTGGTGCAATGCTGTTAGTTACAGACTTAATCTGGGTTTCCCTGGTTTTCTCATGGGCATCCTTTACCTCTCAGCATCCGATCCGTGGTATCACCCCGCACTTAGCCGTCTCATTCCCCCACTTCCCTCTGACTGGAGTGGGTTCTCCAGTCATAAACACAAATTCTACGCGTGGGTTTGTGACCTCCATACACTGAAAGAGAACTGGTCAATAAGCTTGCTGGGTGACCCTGCATCAGGGTTTGTCTGATGTTTCTTCATGATTAGTTTGAGGCTACAGTGATTATCCTTTAAGGAATAGCATAGAGAAATACTGGGCTGATGCCTCTTCTCCCTGGAATGTCAGCCTAAACTGATTTGGTTAAGGGGCGTGTCTGACTGGTTTCTCCAGCACAGGGTAACCATTTCTCCCTTTGTCATTAATAAATGTCTTAAGGAAGAGCGAACCTAGAGCACCAGAGAAGGACAAGTCCTGCAGCAGCCTTGGGTGGGAGGAGCCGAGAGAGGACAAGTCCTGTAGCAGCCTCGGGTGGGAGGAGCCGAGGGGTGGAGAAGGACAAGTCCTCCAGCAGCCTGGGGTGGGAGGAGCTGAGAGAGAAGGACAAGTCCTGCAGCAGCCTCGGGTGGGAGGAGCCGAGGGGTGGAGAAGGTGCATTTGCACACCCTTGGAGGAGATTGTGTCCTGCTGTTTGCTGGCCACACCAGGTGGAGTCTGTAGCCCATGGCCAGGGACATGGCCCATCACCCTCAAGGGCATGGGCACCCTGGACTCCTCCCAGCACCTCGCCCTGTGCGTGTCCTCTACCCAGCTGTCCGTCTATACCCTTTGTCAGATTATAAATACACGGGTTCTTTGAGCTGATCTAGCAAATTAATTGACTGCAAGGAGGGGGCCACGGGAACCCCAATGTATGGCTGGTTAGTCCAAGACACAGGTCAAATCTGGGGCTGGTGACTGGTGTCTGAAGTGGGGGCCGTCATGGGAACTGAGCCTCAGTCTGTGGGCTCTGATGCTGTCTGCCGGTGGCCATCGTGGGAACACAGCCTCAGTCTGTGGGCTCGGATGCTGTCTGCAGGTGGCCATCGTGGGAACACAGCCTCAGTCTGTGGGCTCTGATGCTGTCTGCCGGTGGCCGTCGTGGGAACACAGCCTCAGTCTGTGGGCTCTGATGCTGTCTGCCGTCGTGGGAACACAGCCTCAGTCTGTGGGCTCGGATGCTGTCTCCAGGTGGCCGTTGTGGGAACCGAGCCTCAGTCTGTGGGCTCTGATGCTGTCTGCAGGTAGCCGTCGTGGGAAATGAGCCTCAGTCTGTGGGCTCTGATGCTGTCTCCGGGTGGCCGTCGTGGGAACTGAGCCTCAGTCTGTGGGCTCGGATGCTGTCTGCAGGTGACCGTCTTGGGAACACAGCCTCAGTCTGTGGGCTCTGATGCTGTCTCCAGGTGGCCGTTGTGGGAACCGAGCCTCAGTCTGTGGGCTCTGATGCTGTCTGCAGGTGGCTGTCGTAGGAACTGAGCCTCAGTCTGTGGGCTCTGATGCTGTCTCCAGGTGAGCGGTGTTATGAACGAACTGAACTGGAGGACACCTGGCTGGTGCCTGTTGGACAATCTGCTCCCGAATTGGTGGTTGGAGGGAACAAACCCTCACACATGTGAGGCCACAGAAGTGTACTATGTTGTGAGAATATTGTCAGAGAAACCAAATATGTTCTGTATCACCATTTGAACTATTCTAATCTAACAATATTTGCTATCTTCAACACTGATATTATTTTCTGTCATTTTCCTTCTGATCTGTTTGCTTTTATCCATTTCATTTATGCCATTTCATCTTTAGCTTTTTAAGTCAGCTTTGTCTGTTATTATTTTATGTCTTCTTTGAAACATCACCTTTATTTAATGTTAGTGAGAGCACAAAAAGCATTGTTGGCTAACATTCATTTCTATCACTACAGTAAAAAGTCTCAGAATTAGCAAAATAATGGGATGTGGCTCTTTGACATCAAGCCATGTGAATTTTTCTAAATTTAAATCTGGGTAATTTATTTTCCTTCGTGTGGTTGTAAGTTAGACCAATACTATCTGAATTTACTCACAGCAGCAAGAAAACATGTTTTATCCTCGATCGTGTGTCAATTGTTCATTCCTGTTTAAGCTATGCACAGCATTCAGTATGCTAATATCACTACTAACTAAGAATGTGCTGTTTGAATATTTAAGTGATGTTTGCTTTTGGTTCGTTCCTTGTCATTATAGCTATATTTGGAGTGATTACTTTGTGTGAGACAGGATTTTAAGTGTTATAAATTGATTAATTTAATCCTGATGTCAAGTCTATGAGATAGATAGATTTAGTATCTATGTTTTGGGATGAGAAAGCAAATACTGAGAGGCTAGGTAATTTGCCAAAATTAACTCAGCTGACTATAAGAGATGAGATTTGTACACAGGCATTTTGAGAGGAAAGCCTGTCAGTCTACCTCATACATTTTAAGATGGATTTATTTGTGAGATACAGTTAGAAAATGTAAAATAAAAAAATAGGGTAAACAAATACGGCAAAAAAGAAATAAAAATGACCATAAATATTTTATTATTGACAAACGTTTTTTAAAAATGTTTCTTGGATTTAATAGTGAAGTGAAATTTCACTATTCAAAGAGTAACATAAATTTTTTTTATACTAACTATTCAATTCACAAAAGTATACACAATTGGCTCATTAATCTACATGCCTGTACAATGCTAGAATTCTTTTACATAAAATAAAGTACTAAGGAAAAATGAAATCAGTGTCTTTCTTTACAAGTAGAGATAATACAAACCTTTAAAAATACTATTTGGTATGTTTTCTGATACAAACTGCTGTTTTCAGGAACTCAGTGTTGTAACATTTGAGCAATCTCATGAATAATTTTTGTGCATTGTTTACCATGTGCTAAACCTTTTATGTGGATTTTCCATCAGTTTTCAATTAAAAAAATCAAAGCTTGGACATTCTGAGTCAGAGCGCCAAGGTCACACAGCCGTGAGTTATGGAACGGGCATTGAACCCAGGCTGACTCAGTGCTTGTGCCCTGGGGCCAGCCCTGCTTTCCATGTGTGGTCAGTTCCAGAAAAATCCGAGGCAGGGCTGTCAACAGCCGTTCTATGGAGGGGCTGCTTTGGATGAGTGACGATGATTCTTGAGATGGGCTCCTAAGACCTGGCCACAGACACACTGGACCAGGGCTGGGACCTGGCCATGGACACACTGGACCAGGGCTGAGACCTGGCCATGGACACACTGGACCAGGGCTGAGACCTGGCCACAGACACACTGGACCGGGGTCTTTCAGGGTAAATCCAGGCATTTCTCCCAGGAGGAGACAATGTTTATGTGCAAGCTTAGAATGGTGGTACTACTGAGAATAGTAATTCTTTCACTTCTTGATGTTCTCTTAAGGACTTTAAATAAACACAATTCTAGAGAAGAACAGGAAGGCAAAAACGCTCTTTCATGTTTGATTGCGGTGGAAAGAACAATGGCCAGAGAATCAGAAAAGGGTCAGATCTGAGGGGGAGCTCCCCACGGAGGGCTGCAGTGTGAGCTCCAGTCCTGGGGCGGATGGGCCAGAGAATCAGAAAAGGGTCAGATCTGAGGGGGAGCTCCCCATGGAGGGCTGCAGTGTGAGCTCCAGTCCTGGGGCGGATGCGTCTGCGATGCCCTCCACACTGGTGCCTTGAGGAGGAATTACTTGGAGCTGAGGGAGGCCCAGCCTCTAGGCTCAGGGACTGGGGAGCTTCTGAGAGGAATGGATGTGTGTTGGGTGGTGCTTAGGCTATTAATGTAAGTGCTCATTACGTTAGAAAGTATTATTTCAGTAAAAGATGTATATGCGTGTGCTATCAAACTAGTGAGAATCTGAGAAGCATATGATGAAAATAGAAAATGAGTTTTACTACAAAATAGCGGGTAAAGAGAACTGATAAAATTAAAGGCAAACCTTAACTTTGGGTCTGCGGCAGACACTGGGAACGCCGGATGGCTCATGCACTTTTGTTTCTCACAGCCTGTACTTCCCCTCACGCAGAACAGCCCAGTTTATGTGTAGAGAGAAACATTCTCTTAAAATAGAGATATTTTTGTAATAAGTTGAAACACAAAATTAAAATAACATTAAGATCTATAATTAATAAAGATGCTGTCAGCTGATTTTCCATAAAGACATTGTCTCTGCTCATAGCCTGTAAATGAGAAGGCCAGAATCTTTTCATGAATTAAACTTCAAGAAAGGAATCTGACATTGGGAGTAGATATTTTGGAATTGTTCATATCACCCAAATGTTTACCACTTTCATTTGCCACTGAGAAATTAGCCTGTCAGGTATGATTCCTGAGGAAACAGAGACCAATTTCACTTCCTTCCATTGAGTGCTCCTTCCAGCAAGCAGGGTGTGGGAAGTATTCAGAGGCAGTGTTTCTGAGTTTCCTACAAGCTGGGGTTGTGTTTCAAGCCATGAAGCTTTTCATATACATCTTCTCAAATATTTCTTACCCTCTAAACGGCTGAGCTGTTCTTTGAGCTGGCATAATTAGCATATAAAGGGCACATTTTCGTTTGGAGTCACTCGATGCATTTCAGACTTGATGTCTCCTGGAAATGACCTTGTGTCTGAGGTGCCTCAGAGTGTCTGCTGGAGACGGCTCTGTTCTCGAGAGTAAGGCGAGGCATTGTTCAGATGCAGAGTGGACCCTCACGCCAGCCCTGGCCTGAAAGACTCATGAGTGTGTCTTTAAATCCAGGTCGCCGGGAGCACTGGCATGGAAGAACACTTTGCTGTGTCCCAGCACTTCACTTGTTTTGCTGCACTGGTTGGCCAAACCCCAAATAATTACCTTAAAATGATGGCATGGAATGGTTCTCCTCTCAGTGTTCAATCACAGATGATCACTTTCACCTTCACCACCCAGCGGGAACTGCAGCGTTGCAGACCCTTGTGGATCTGAGTGCCCCTGGAGGTTCAGGCCCTCGCCTGCCGGCTGTGACCTTGGGCCCCCCAGGTCATCCCTGGGGCTCCAGGGGGTGTGGACACTAACAACCTGCCCCTGACTCTGGGGTTGCTGTGAGGTTTAAAGGAGTTCATGTATGAAATGGGCTTAGACTCGTGCTTGCCTCAAGGCTGTAGCCCTGAGTGGATGCTCCCCATGTTTAAGTAGCTGTGGGACCTCCCGGAAGCGCCTTAACCCTGAACCTCTACATCCACTCCACGTAGAGCATTGGACACCAAGGTCCTTTCCAGCTACAAAAACAGAAGAGCAGCAAAAACAATAAGACCATGGGCTCCGTGTTTACAAAAATCTGAGGTTCGTTTTTCCTCTTTTCTTTCCCAGTTCAGGCTGTTTCCAATCACAGGTGACTCACTTCCCTGCCAGGCAGGGACACAGCCAAGGCTGGCTGGCTCTCAGATCCAGTGGGAAGGGTGCTGACTTGGATAAGGAGTCTTTGGCTGTACTCCCCCAGCCCTCACTGAGCAGTGATACTGGTAACTCTGGAGGCCGTGGATTCGTGGTGGGCTCTGGGGCACCGCCTGCCCGCGTCTCGTGCGCTTGGATTCCATGAGCCTCAGTGCTTCTTTCCGAGTGAGGAATCCCCTAGGTCAGGGCTGGGCAGTGGCAGCTCCTGGTGTTTGTAAACGTCGGGGGCAGATCACAGCTGCACATATCAGGCCTCTTAACTGCTGCACAAGCCACTTTGGTTGTTAACGTCTGTGTTTCACACTTGCTCCACCATGAGCCCTTGTCATGATTTCAGATACAGGCCTGGGCCAAGGCACATCACAAGTCTGTCTAGTGCATGCTGCTCCCTTGAGATAAGCAGATAGAACAAAACAAGAACAAGAAAAGCAACAATGAAGCCTTGTCTCGTGGAATTTATACACACGGAATTATTCTCAATATCATGACTGAGTTTCTCTTGGATCACAGACAGGGCAGTTGGGGTCTCCTCCGATCCAACGTAGCCTTGACCTCACCATGTACTTATGTAAATGGACGTGGTACAATGTTTTAGAGTGTGCTAGAACACTGTGGAAGCGGCTTTAAAATATTCCATGATGAACTGTCCTGTCGTAGTAAACACTTAATCCTGAAATACAGCAACATCCCTGAGCACATATTGGATCGACTTCACTCAGCATTGCTGAGTGCATGGTGGGGAGGCATCAAGGGATCTGGCCTCAGAGTCCGCACCTGCTGCTCACTAGGTGGGTGGCCTTGCTTGTTTTTGAGTTCTGTTTCCTTCTGTGAAAGGGAGGACAGCAGGACACTTGATCTCCGACCTCCCACCTAGAACTCTGAGAAATAAATTCTTGTTTGAGCCACCCTGTCTGTGTTTCTCCGTCAGGGCAGCCCCACAGGATGAAGACAGACTTGCCCACATTCATCTCATCTTAGGTATGTGGCAGGATCAAATGTCTGCAGCCCACCAAGTCATGCGGGTCCAGGTGACAGCTTATCCTCCAATGTTTTCTGTCTCTTCGGTGCTGAATCTGGTTGGGTCAAGACAAGGAAGAGGGAGGGTCTGTGCTCTGTTGAGGGGAGTGGGTATGAAGGGTCTGCAGGGTGCTCGTGGGAGAGGCAGACCCTGACTCTCCACTCCAGCCCCTTCCTAAGCATCGACGACTGTCACTCAGAAAACTCAACAAGAGTAAGTTCTGACTGTATTTTTGATAACATGCTGAAACAGACTTCACATTATAAATAACTTTCAGGATTTAATATTTATTTTACTAGAAGAGGTTGATCTTCTTTATTAAATATACATTTCATGCTGCTTTTTGAAGAGTTGAAAATATTAAATATGAGAATCCTTTTGCAATAAAGTCATTTATTTTCAGGAAAAGGCAATATGGCTTTGCAGCAGAAACATATTGATGAGTATCTGGGGTTCAGTGCCCCCACTGATTTAATCACTCTGCAGAGGCCAAGAGGAAAGTTATTTTCGTCTGTTTAATTGTTGGCTTCACCAAGGACAGTTATGCCCTGAGCAGGTTCTCTGCTACTGACAGTGCTAATTTACTGCCTGAGTTGGCATTGAAATTATTTAAGACCAACAGGTGTTACAAAGGTAATTCCTCACTAGGTGAGCTGTGTGTGTGGCCCCACCCTGGCCAAGGGAAAGTTGGTCTTAGCAGAATCCGGACTGTGATGGGACGAGAGCTTCTTCCATGCAGAGCGGTGGCAAGAGTGCGGCGTGTGCGCTGGCACAGGGAAGGCATTCACCCCCTGGTGGAGCAGATTCCTCATGACGGACCCTGCGGCCTCCCTCTGGTTTGTAAAATGAGATCCAGAAAGCCGCTGCCTCTGGAAGGGCCTCCTGCCATCGGGGGACCCTTGGCTCCTGACGACAGGGTCTCCATGCAGGCATCAGGGAAAGGGGAAGGCTGAGTGTTCTGTCACTGTGTTTCCATCAAAAGTAGGTTCTCTGTCACTTCAAAGAAACACGAAGCCAGCATAAAATACGGCCTTCAGAAAACCAACGCCATTCACTGGGCTAGACATGGATGGACCAGAAGCTCTGACGGACTCGGCCTCCTCGTTCTCTCGTTGTGCGCTCTGTTCCAGCTCAGGGAGCATCGGTTTAGGGAATTCAGGAATGTAGGGATTCCTGTCACGTGTGTGTATTCATGTGCACGTGGAAGCAATCAGGTTGGAGGAATAGTCCCTATGGGGAGGGGCCACAAAGGCGGCATCTTTGAGAATTCATGAGCGCTGGCCTCTGTCCACATTAGTCCCAGGCCAGCTCTTGTGCTTGGAGGAATCCGTCGTGGGAGGACCCACCTCGGTGTGGAGATTCGTGCTACCAACAGCATCTGCCGCATTGAGGGCACTGAACGAGGGCCCTGAATGGTTTGAATTTACTTTCCCTGTGGGATGAGATGTGTCACTGCTGTTCATTTCTGGTCTCGGGTCAGACGTCAGCCAGGACAAAGCCATCCGGGACTGTAACCAGGAGGATGGGGTCCCGGGGCCTCCATGGGCTCTGCAGAGCCCCCAGTCCTGCTCGCACTCTGCGTCCTGGAAGGTGACCCTGGCCGGCTGGGCCCCAGCAGATCTGAGAGCTGGCCTGAGTCTGGGGCTCCTTCAGGTTCAGCCATGCCCGTCTCCGTACCAGCAGTGGTGTCGGTGCCTCCCCGGCTGCAGCCTTGTGGGGGCCTCTTCCTCTTCAGCTCGTCCATGTACCCCTAGGCCTCCCTAATCCCCCATATCCTTCCGGTTTCCAAACAGGTCCCCCTCAGCTTTGGCCAGGAACTCCCCCACCCCCAGTCCACTCCCCCGAGCCCCCCAGTTCCCCTCCAAGCCCCCAGTCCTCCTCAGTCTTCCCTCGAGCCCCCCAGTCCTCCTCAGTCTTCACCCGAGCCCTCCAGTCCTCCACAGTCTTCCTCTGTGACCCCTGGTTCCCCCCTTCAGTCCCCCAGTCCGCCTAGTCTTCCCCTGAGCACCCCAGTCCACCTCAGAGCCCCCCAGTCCTTCTCAGTCTTCTCCTGAGCCCGCCAGTCCCTCCTGAGCCCCCCAGTCCTCCCCACCCTCGTTTCCCTGGGCTCTGGCAGTTCCAGCACTGGGGACCCTGCCCTATGCTAACCTTGCCTGTTTCAATGCGTGGAAAACCCTCGAGGTGCGTCCGACGGCACCTGGCAGGGCTGACCGTGGGCCTGGCGTTCCCAGGCTCCATGTCCTGGGGCTGCACCACCCTGCATCCGCTTCCTGACTCCTGAAGAGGGGTCCGGTACTCACAGGGGAAGGCGTGGTGAGGGCTCAGACACTCCTAGCTCGCCACAGAGGTCAGGTGCAGTGAGACACTAAGATCTCTTCATTTTCTTTCTCCAGGAAGATTTCTAATGTTCCTAGAACTTGAAAAGCAGGAAAAAAAGCCAAACTGTTTTTCTTCTGCTACACACTTAACACGTTCCACACTTCAGTCCTGAAACCAGATGTGGGGGCTTCTCCCAAGCTGACCAGCTCTCCTTCACCAGCTGAGAGTCCTATAATTCCGTTTACTTCTGCTGCTACCTACCTTGCAACTGTGTCAGGTCTCATGGGTTAACAGCTCCATCCCACGAGGCTGCCCCACTTCAGGTGCCAGGGAAAGTCCAGGCCTGTCATCCATGGGAGGTCCCTGTGACCCCTCCTTGGGTTCAATCCTGTGCTGGAATGGCTCACAGAACTCAGGGAAACATTTCACTTATACTCACCCATTTATCACAGAGACTCAGGAACAGCAGACAGAAGAGATGCACAGGGCACCGTGAGGGCTGAAGCCTCCACACCCTCTCAGGGTGCCCCATCTTCCCAGCACCACCACTGGGTTCCTCACATGGGCACAGTGGGTTCTTTCCTTGGTCAGTGGTGATTACATGTGTCTCAAGCCCCACTCCTCTCTCCGGAAGGCTGGGTGAGGTTGAGGGTCTCTAACCCTCTAATCATAACCCTGCTTCCCCTGGCAAGCCACCTTAACCCCCTAGCTCTCTAGGGACTTTCCAAAAACCATCTCAAAGTAAGGCCAGGTGTGGCTTAAATAGGCTTCTTATAGACAACAACCTCTCACCTTACAGTTCCGCAGCTGTCTCAAGAAGGAAGACACCAGATCTTATAGCGAAAGACCCTCCTGCTGTTCTGCTCACTAAGGAAGCGATGAGGGTTTTAGGAGCTGTGAGCCAGGAATCCTGGATGAACATCTGTGTTTCTCATTTAAATCACAGCTCCACAGAACTTTCTCACCCCGTCTGATCCCAGAGCAACCCCTGCTGAAGTGGCAGGTTTGAGCTTTTTATGGAGCTTTTATGGAGCTTTTTATGGAGGTTATGAGCTTTTTATGGTTTGAGCTGCTTTTTTCCATCCCCTCTCCTCCCTTCCTCTTTCCTCCCTCTTCTTCTCTTCCCTCGTCCTCATCTTTACCACAATTAAAAGAAAGGAAGGGAGTGCACTTAGAGAAATTAATGTAACGGGACAAAATAAACAATAGGCATGTCACGGGGGACAGGGACATGGAAGCAAGACAGAGGCAGAGGCTGAAACGAAGCCTGGGAGGAAGGCATGGGCTCTGCCTCCCGAAATGCTGTTCCCTCTAGTAGGGGGGTAGAAAGACAAACGCTATAATGTGCGGGATGCAGGATTTACGAGTTAAAAACATGCCAGCTGTTCATGAAAGTAAACACCTGTGAATGTCCATGCGCCCGTGTGTTCTAACGTCCTCACTGCTCCAGGTCCTCTGCCCCTTCCCGTAATCACGCTCGCACCAGCGCTGAGAACGGGCTCCCATGATCACGCTCACACCAGTGCTGAGAACGGGGTCCCACAACCACACTCACACCAGTACTGAGAATGGGCTCCCGTAATCACGCTCACAACAGCACTGAGAACAAGTTCCCGTAATCATGCTCACACCAGTGCTGAGAATGGGCTCCCATAATCATGCTCACACCAGCGCTGAGAATAGGCTCCCGTAATCATGGTCACACAAGCACTGAGAATGGGTTCCCCTAATCACACTCACACCAGCACTGAGAACGGGCTCCTGTAATCACGGTCACACCAGCATTGAGAACAGGTTCCCGTAATCACACTCACACCAGCACTAAGAACGGGCATTCCCAGCCCTCTGCTGCTCCCCCTGGGCCAGAGGCAGGACCAAATCCCACCGTGCTCAGTCATCAAACCTTGGACATCCCAATCTTGCTGAAGCATAGAAAGAGGCTAACAGGTGTCACGAGAACGGCACAGACTCTGGGAGCAGAAGGTTCACATCCATGTTCTGTCAGGCTAGCTGTGTGTCTTTGGGTAAATTAGCAACCTCTTGGGGCTTCAGTGTAACATCTTCAAAATACTGTACTAATAACCACCTCATAGGATAAATCTGAAAGATTTAGGAGACAATAAATTTATAAAAGTCCCCAAATAAAATACAGCAATGTGGAGAGGCAGTGAGGCGTGGTGAAAGTCATGGACTCTGGAAAGACACACAAAGGGCTGAACTCTCAGCTCCCCAGAGGAAAACACAGTTGTTCACACTTACACCTGCCTGCACCCCTCCTTCTGCCTTCAGCCTTCCCTGGTGCCCAAGAGTCACTCTATCATCACCTCCATCCACCATCACCTCCATCCACCATCACCTCCATCCATCATCACCTCTCCGTTCCATCAACACGTCTCTGTCTGAAGAACACTGTGCAGCTATTCCTTCAGAGTGAGACTGCTGGTAATACAGCCCCTTTGTTTGTTTGTATCTGAGGCTCTTTCTTTATTTCTGTGTCATTGCTGAAAGATATTTTTCTGGATATAAAATTCTGGATGGACAGCTCTTTTCTTTCAGCACTTGACAAACGTGTCGCTTCCTTCTGGCCTGCACAGTTTTGGTGACAAATCGGCTGTTATCCAAACCACTCTTCCCCTGAAGGCAGGTGATGTGCTCTTTCTGCGCTGGCTGTTAGTAAGATTTGTTTCCTCATTTCTGGCTTTCAAACATTGGGCTATTGTGCATTTGAACATGAATTTCTTAGGTTTTATCCTAATTGGGAGAGGACACTTACTTTCTTAAATCTATAGGTTTATTTATGTCTTCCACCAAGCTTGGGAAGCATTTACTCATTTTTTTTTCTTTCCAGCTTTTTCCATCCTGCATTCTTTTTTCCCTTTCATAGTTGCTGATGGGATGATATGCAGAACTTTTGTTGAGCCCCTTAGGACTCTGAGGAACATTCATTTGGTTCCCAGTCTATTTTATTTCTGCTACTACTATTTGTTTCAGATTATTGATGTTATTATTCAGATGACTGATGTTCCTTAAGTTAGCTGATTTTGTCCTTGCTAGTGTTCATTCTTCTACTGAGCTCATGCATTGAAGTGTTGTTGTTGGTTTTGTGTGTGGGTGTTGTGTTATTTTTGATGATTGTATTTTTTCAATTTTAAAATTACCATTTGGTACACAAGTACATATTTATTTATTCATTTATTTTTTGCTGAGATGTTTTATATTTCCATTTCCTTCAAGAGTGTTCTCAACGGCTCATTGTAGCATTTTTAACATGGCTGCTTTAAAATCCTTATCTGGCTCCTATGAAAATCTTCTATGTAAGACGCTGGTTTTTAGGTAAATCTTCTAGTTTGGCATGTCAGCCGGTCCAGGTTCGAATGCACTTCCTGGCTCAGTTTTGCCGTCAGTGGTCCAATGTCAATGTCAATGGGCCCTCTGCAGTGCTGTTTTGGTCCCTGCCACTGTCTTCTCTAGAAGGTGTGACTTTGCTCCCAGTGTCCCTGTCCTGGGTGGGGAGGGGGAGGCCCCTGCCTGTGCCTGCTGAGCAGGGCCAGGAGGCAGCTTCCACACTGATCCTCCTCAGGACGTTGCCTTCTCATTGCCCCGAGGGGCAGGGGGATCAGGGTTCTCCCCTCGAAGGGGGGGCAGGTGCAGTTACCGCAGCCCACTCTGTTGGGCTTCACTGCTTCAGATCATGTGGCTGGAGAGGGCAGCCTCTGTGGGGCTCCTGTGTGTCTGTACTGGTGGGTGTTTCTGGGCTCCTGTCACACCCAGGCTAGGGTATAAAGGAGACTGGAAACCCCCAAGAGCTCACTGCTGAGTCATTTGCAGGTTTCCAGGGTCCCTAGTTAGTTTGCCCGCCTTTTCCTCGGTTTCAGAGCCCTCTAGAAGGTGGCTTAATGTTTTGTATGGGGTTTGTGCTGTGAGCAGCTAGAGGAGTGAGTCAGATGGAATACATTACAACTCATGCAGAATGGGAGCCTCCACCCTTCCACTCTCTCCTGGGATGACCTTCAGCAAGGGACGTGACTTCTTTGAGGCGCAGACTGGCCTGTGAGGTTGGGATGCAGGCACTCCCTGAAGGATTCCGGTCGGAATGAGGCAGGATAATGTGTGTGTGGCACCTGATGGCTGCTGGGCAGCCCCCACTTCTTTCTTTCTGTATTTCCCTCACACCCAAGCCTTATGCTCCTCCACCCAGTCTGCTCTGATAATAGTAGGTTATCTTTTCCTTGGAACGTGACTGCTTCTGTTCCTAGACTGATCTGAATTATGAGGAGTCACATTATTTGCAATTAATGTGTGCCTGTCTTACCTCCTAACCTACGTAGATAACATTTAATATGTAGAATTTTACCATTGTGCAGTTAATGTGGTCAACATTCCATTTGATAGGGGAGGAATCTGAGGCCAGGGAAGGAAAGCGGCCTGCACAGTTCCTGGGTCGATGGCTCCATGGATATGGCAGATGTGGTCTAAGATGTATTTCTGTGTCTCGTCTCTGCCCACGAGGGCCCAGCCTCCCGAGGTGCATGAACATCCTGGCTGTCCTAGGTTCGCTTGAGACCCCCCAAGCAGCAGGTGTCCCGGCATGTCCGGTGGTTTCCTGCAACAGAGACCCTGCAGTGCATGATGGGCTGTGGGGGTCCCATGAGGAGGGCACGGAGTCTCAGTGTGCAGCTGGGAGCTCATTTCCCTATGGGAAGCAGCCCACAGTCCACTCCAGAGTGGATTATAATCGCAGAAAGATGGAGAGAAAATTCCACTCACTAAGCAGGGTCTGAAGCCCACTCACCAGAGCTCTGGCAAGGCCCCCTCCCCGCCCCCGTCCAGGGACGTTCCCGACTCAGGGGACCTGCCTGCTGAACAGGAGCACATGCTCGGGCTGGGGAGAGACTGCAGGAGGGCGCCAGTGTCAAACTCGCTGGCATCATTAAGGGAAATGTGCTTCAGTGTGGAACATGGAGGCTCCACTGAGGGCGTAAAGGTGTCCGGGGTTCAAATGTGCTCGAGTGTGGAATGCGGAGGCCCCACTGAGGACGTACACGTGTCCCGGGTTCCACCTGGAGCCGAGCCTGCCCGGGACAGGGCCGCGTGCTCTGCCGTTTGCAGCCCGACGGGAAACCGGCCTCGCAGCATCTCCCAAACAGACAAGGCAAACTTCTCAAGTGTTCTCAGATTCTCTCCCGGGAAAAGGAGGAGCTTTGTTTTTCAAGTCTTTATGTATTTAATTATTCATTGATTGCCTTTCTCCTTCACATAAAAAGATTACTAAGTTCCTTGGGACTCCTTTCACAGAATGCAAAACTATTCCACCTCTCAAAATAAAATGAAGAGAGAATAAAATGAATTCCAAATAAAATGAATAAAGAATAAGAAGCTACAGAGAAATGAAAGAAATGTGGCCAGTTACCCAAAACAGGGATTACGCAAAGCATTCCTCTGGTCTTCTTGACTGAATGGCCCACGGGGGAGGACGGAAGGCAGCTGCGTAGGAGGGTGGGTGAGGACTGAGAGGTCGTCAATATGATCAATATTCACGGCGACGGGAAAGTCCAGGGGCGTCCTTCCCCAACTTTCCTTTAAAAATGCGTTTCCTTTAGAAGCCCCGTCCTGAAGTCACCCAGACACGCTGGCATCTTCCTCCAGTAACTGTGGGAGCGTCGACGGGCCATGTGCAGAGACTGACAACATGAAGTACAAGAAAGGTTTGTGCTGTGACTGTTCACAAAGAAATCTCCAAAATAACCCGGAAATAGTAAAATTTATTGAGCACAGAGTTTGGGTCAGGCAGAAACATGCATCGTGTAACTCAGTCCCACAAGAACCCACCTGCTCCTCAGAACCTATGGGAACAAACCAAACTCTCTCAGAACCTACGGGAACAAACCAAACTCTCTCAGAACCTACGGGAACAAACCAAACTCTCTCAGAACCTACGGGAACAAACCAAACTCTCTCAGAACCTACGGGAACAAACCAAACTCTCTCAGAACCTACGGGAACAAACCAAACTCTCTCAGAACCTACGGGAACAAACCAAACTCTCTCAGAACCTACGGGAACAAACCAAACTCTCTCAGAACCTACGGGAACAAACCAAACTCTCTCAGAACCTACGGGAACAAACCAAACTCTCTCAGAACCTACGGGAACAAACCAAACTCTCTCAGAACCTACGGGAACAAACTAAACTCTCTCAGAACCTACGGGAACAAACTAAACTCTCTCAGAACCTACGGGAACATACCAAACTCTCTGCTTCTTATTCTAAGACTGAGGCTGTTCCCGCCACACAGAGAGAGTCCGTGCTCTCTGCTTCTTATTCTTACTCTAAGACTGCGGCTGTCCCCGCCACACAGAGAGAGGAGTCTGTGCGCCATGGGGGTTTTGAGAGTTCAGTGAGATGAAACCTTTAGTCATGGTGTCCTGGTTGTTGTTGGCTTGGCCATCAGAATGCCAGGGCAGAGACTGCAGTTGAGGGCAACTGGGAGATGCTTCAGCTGCAGGGCAAGAAGGGAGAGGTCGGATGCTTCATCCTCAAACCACAACCAGAATCAGCCGTGACTTTCCAAAGCCTGACCACAATGAGGCCATGTTTAGTTGTTAAACCCTTGACCACCTGTCTTGAAGGCAGTCCGGCTGTCCTTGGGCACCTGGGCCTGTGACCCTCCCTCTCTGGAGGAAGGTGTTTGTGTGTGCATGTGTGTCTGTTCGTGTGTGTGTGTAGGGGCAAGAGGGTTTGGTGTGTGTGTGTGTGTGTGTGGGCGTGCATGTGTGTGTAGTGGGCAAGAGAGTTTGGGAGGAGTGTGCATGTGTATGTAGGGGTGAGGGGGTTTGGGGAGAGTTTGGGAGGAGTGTGTGAGTGTGCGTGTGTGTGTGTAGGGGCGGGAGGGTTTGGTGTCTGTGTGCGTGTGTGTGGGCATGCATGTGTGTGTAGTGGGCAAGAGAGTTTGGGAGGAGTGTGCGTGTGTGTGTAGGGGTGAGGGAGTTTGGGGAGAGTTTGAGAGGAGTGTGCGAGTGTGCGTGTGTGTAGGGGTGGGGGGTTTGAGGAGAGTTTGGGAGGAGTGTGTGAGTTTGCGTGTGTGTGTGTAGGGGTGAGGGGGTTTGGGGAGAGTTTGGGAGGAGTGTGTGTGTGTAGGGGTGAGGGGGTTTTGGGAGGAGTGTGCTTATGTGTGCGTGTGTGTGTGCATGCATGTGTGCATGTGGGTGCGTGTGTGTAGGCGCGATGGGGGTCGGGAGAAGTGTGCATGTGTGTGTGCGTGCGTGTGTGTGTGTGTAGGGGCAGGGGTTTGGGAGGAGGCGGGGATGATATGGGGTGGAGGCGCAGCACTAGCAATAGGTGCTCCATGCAAGCTGAACTGAGTGTCCGAACCCTGAGCTCCTCCTGGACTCCTGGCCCCGTGTTACATGCTGGGTACACTGTGGTCAACAGCATGGATGCTGCCTGGTGGGATGAAGGCAGTGAATGAGCAGTGGTTAAATGAGCTTTTAATCAGGAATTGACCCGAACGGGCCTGTGGCTCCAGACCTGGGCCCTCATGAACTGTAGGAACGTGGGAGCCATCTGTGAAAGCCCCTCACTGCACAAACCCACTTGGAAACCACAGAAGAGATGCTATGACCTGGGTAAAATGCAGCAATAATCCTGGGTGCTTTTTGCATGGGCGGAGTTTCCCAAATTCTAAGCCATATCCCGTGTTTAGAAGCCCAGGAACCAGGAACAGAGAAGCCTGAAGGTCTCCATCATTATGTGGGAACAATATCACTCAGATGAATCACCAACAACTGAACCCCTGGAAATTGTCCTGAGGCTCAAGTTAAAACATTAATGGAAAACAAACACTAAAATGAAGTTATTCAAACCCCAAAGCACAGGGGCATCAAATCTCACTGGAGTCTGTCTGATGAACACACAGAAGGAGAATGCAGAGGAAGCCAGAGACTGAGAATATGAGAAATAGAAAAATGACTTCTTTAAGCCTCTCTGAAACTCCAAAAAATCAACTGTACAAGGAAAGAGGTTTTATCTAGGTAATTTTCAGACATTTAAGCTGTGTGTAGATTTTGTATAAGTAAAGAATCACTTTGACTCCCAGAGCTCTCGTTTTCTGTAATGTGCTCTCACATTTTCCAGTAGCCGCTGCTAATGAACGTCAAGCTGCCTTTATGAATATAAATTATTAACATTGGCTTATTGATACATAGTAGCTAATTTCCAAGATACTGTCTGTAAACACCATAAAATTGTATTAAATATTCATATAATCATTGTGATAATCCATAAAGCAATTATAATTAAAATGAAATTATCTTATAAATAACCAAATAAAATATTGCTTTACAAGATAGATACCACATCAACTTTTATAGCTAACAAAATAAAAATAAGATTGCTTTCACCTCCATTAGTCCGAGCTGCAGAGAGTGAAAGGAGCCATACCTGTTACATTAACTGGCTCCAAGAAAGTGAGGATGCCTCTCTAGGAGATGGTTTTGCAAGAAGATGGAGATAAGAGTGTCTCTGGGGTGCCCATCCGCAGGCATGGGCCACACATTTAGTTTGGGAGGCTTTTTGCTTTTGTCTCTACGTTTGGGTTGTTACAATCCAGGTAAAAATGCCAGGCCCATAACTGACCCCCGGAATGGGCAGCAGAGTGGGGACTCCACTGCGACATCTCTGAGGCCCATCAAGGAGCAGGGGGTGTTGAGCCCAGCTCACCTTGCATGTGGCCAAGAGCCTGGGCCAAGGCTGTGCATGGGTCTGGGCTGAAGGAACTTTGATGGCTTCCATAGCAACCTGGCAGAGCAGCCTCTGGGACAAACATCAGGAGGCAGAAGATGAAGGGGGTGTCTGGATGGGCCTGGGCACCCCAGGGTGGCCACTGATGCCAGACCTGGCCTGGATGCAGGCTCCTGATTCTCTGAGCCCAGGAGAGGGTGGCTGAAGACCTGGGTTTTGAGGCAGGGGTCTCTCCTCCTTCCCCTAGTTGCCCTAACTCACCAACTCTGATGGAGAACTGGCTGCAAAGAGCATGACGCCCTCTTGCTTAGCCTCAGCTATAGAGAGCTGAGGGATCCTGGATCCAATGCTGTGCCTGATCCCAATCCCCACTCCCTCAGGCCATCCCGGACCTGCTTAGTTAGGAGAATTCTATGAACGACTGTCGCAGTGTACAGGTGCCCTTCGGAAGGTGGGCTTTTGGGGGTGAGTTGTTTATAATCCTGGCTAAGACGCAGCATCTGGGATGCGTGGGCCTTCAATCCGTCGCAGGATCACCCTGAGAACATGCTCTGTGAGGTCAGGAAGACTCTGGGATTCTGCAGGAGCAGAAACCAATTGCAGAAGCCGCCTCCCGCAGAACCGGCCACCCTGCTGGGGCTCCCCCGTCACCTCATTCTCGCATCCAAGTCTGCAGCCCGTGTGTCTGATGGTAAAGCCTAGGTTCCCATGGGGATCTCGGCAGCAAGGATCTTGGAAGGGCAGAGTCGAGCTCCCTGGCAGACTCCGCAGAAGCCAGAGGGGGCCGATGTTGAGGAAGCGAATTATCCATGTCCGCCACAGCTGTGTGGTCTGCACCCCAGATACAGCAGGGTGCGTCTCACATGGGCCTGGCCTCACGATGGGCAGCGTCCAGCCTCTCCAGCCTCATTCCACCCAGGCTCTGCCCTCATGCACAGTTTCTGAACGTGGGCACCCTCATTCACTGCTCCCTACCAAAGAGGACTCTACATTTTTCCCCGTTGCCAACAGAAAGGATATCTTTAATGTGCTCCTGTGTCTCTCCTTTGCCTGGAAGAGCCTCCTAACTGTCTGTCTGACATCCCCAAAGATCTGTCAATGCACAGCTCAGATGCCTCTCTCCTGATCAGCCTTTTCCAAGATGACTTCTCTAGGAAAGAAGCATCAATTACTTTTTGGCTCCTAAGCATCACGGTTTATTACACAATTGGGTCAAATATTAATATGCTAATAATAAATAGGTATGTTACCCCTCTGTTGATACAACAAGGGATTTTTTAGAAATTCTATACTGTATATGTGATTTGAATTAATTTGGTAGCACCAATGATTGAACTCAGCCCTGCCTACTCTAAGTTGGAATATTTCAATTCACTCTTACTTTCTTTTTATTGTATTTAAGGTGTGCAACATGATGCTTCGGTATACACTTACATAGTAAAGTGATGACTACAGGTGGTAAACAAATTAATATTTCCATCACTTTTCATAGTTGCTTCTTTTATGCAACTAAAACCCACTTCCTTAGCAAATTTTCCATATGTGACACATTATTAACCCCAGTTCTCCTGCTGTACCCTGGATCTCTAGATGTACCCAACCTGCAGCACCGCAACCTTCCGCCTTTAACCCACACCCTGGTCTCGCCGAGCCTCTGGTCCTCCGGCTCTCGTAGCGTTTGGTGCTGCTGGTTTCTTCACTGATTCCTGGAGGTTATCAGCTACGTGTTGAACACCTCTTCTGCTAGATTTTGGTAGATGCAGAAAGCCTTTCTTTTTGTTCTTTCCCTTAAATAATATTCAGGAAAGTAGAAACACAAACAAACCACTATGAGGCAACATAATTTATGCTATGAAGGGAGTTTAAACAAGGTTCCCCAGATGCACAGAGACCAGAGCAGAAAGGCCTGCCTGGGTGTTCCGGGAAGGGTTCACAAGAGAGGCATCGCCGAAACGGAGGGTCTTTGCATCTGTGTAATTAACGCAGAGACAAGGAGCACTTACAGGGCTCCAAGCTCTGCGCAAAGCTTCCAGGCATACACAGTGTCCTCACGGGAAGGTTCAGCAACCCTCCAAGTGAGGGAAGTGAGTCTCTGTAAGAGGCGTGACCACTCAGCTGCTCAGTGACCCAGAGCTGGGCTTTATAAACTTGGAGGAGGGCACAGGGCGCAGAGGGAAACCCAGGCATTGTGGAGTCAGAGCCCATGCATGTGACTCCTGGTTCCGCTGTGTGCCGGCTGTGACATCACTGCATGCAAATTGCCTCACCTCTGCTCGCCAGCAGCCTCAGCTTTGAAATGGGAGTCACCATGGATAGAAGGTGAACGTGGACTTGTGCAGGGGATGCACGTCCAGTGACATGCGGTAAACACGAGCCTCGGCTGTGGTGGAGTGACAGCCCTCAGCCCGTCCCAGTGCACACAGGGCTCCATGCAGTCGTGCTGACCACCTGCGCTTGGTGAGAGGAGGGGCTGGGCACGCCCCTGGTGTGCCCCTTCTTGCATTTAGAATGAGCCCCTGTGCTGAGTGCCAGCCATGATCTGGTGAGTCACAGGCCTGTCCTCAAATATTCCACAGTCGAAGGTGAGAGATGTGCTGCAATGTCTCCCAGTGGCATTGGGCTGAGATGAGCTACAGCAGCTCGGAAAAGGCCCCGGTCAGGGTCAGCCATGCCGGGTGACAGGGCAGCAGGACTGGTCCCAAGTGTGTGTTGCTGGCGGGTGTCAGGCACGGCAGGTGAGGGACTGAGTAAAGGTGAACGCCGCAGGGCTCCTGGGCAACACCACGGTTCCTCCCGTAGTAAAACCTCCCACTTTCATGGGTGCTTCTCTGGTTTTCAGAAGCGGTCTAAGGGTAGATGGTAAACCTGTAAATGATGATGATTTGAATGAAGTGCATTGCTACATGTTAGAGCCAATGCACTTATTTTCAAAAACACAAGCCTAACTCTGTGTGGAAACACCTGGGGTCACCCGCTCACTCACTGTGGGACACCTGGGGTCACCCGCTCACTCACTGTGGGACACCTGGGGTCACCCGCTCACTCACTGTGGGACACCTGGGGTCATCCGCTCACTCACTGTGGGACACCTGGGGTCATCCGCTCACTCACTGTGGGACACCTGGGGTCACCCGCTCACTCACTGTGGGACACCTGGGGTTACCTGCTCACTCACTGTGGGACACCTGGCATCATCTGCTCACTCACTGTGGACTTTTCTAGAAACAACTGATTTCCAGGCATTGCCACCATGCAAGCTTGACTTTCTCATGTGTATTTGGCCTCAGCCCAGGCTTACCAGGGCTGCTGAGATGCTGCAGGGAGGAGCCGCAGTTCAGGTGGGAAGGAAGCTGCCGGGTGTGCACTGTGAGCAGTGAGAACTGGAAAAGGCTCCTGGTCAGAGGCCACCTCGGTGCCCATGGGTTCCCGCCTTGTGACAGAAAGAGCCCTAAAGGAGGGGCTGTGGCCAGGTGGTGTTCCTTATGATTCAGGTTAGTTATTATGCATTATTAGCAACCTGAACCACTTCACAAAAAAAATTTGGTACTTGAGAAAAAAAATGGCCATTTTAGAATGCAACTGGAAAAAAAATTCATGTCCGTTTACAAAGAAATAAGTTTGTCAGGTCTTGAACTGGTTATGAAGTGTTATCCTGAAATGCTGGTTTACAGCCATATTCATAACCATTTTTTCTTTGATTAAATATTTTTATTTAATGTCTTTTGAGAATGTCAGTGAATGGAAGGTCATTTTCTGAAAAACCAGCGAGAGACTCTCCACATGAAGACGGAAATCAATTTGCATCTCTCTGTGTGGTTGTAATGCTGGCATAGACAGGAATTAAATGCCCTTTCTTACTTTACTTCCTGAAGTAGAACTTAGCCTGGGACAGAAATTATTTAATGGGAAGCCTCAAACTGTGACACATTTAATTGATGTAGGGCAGGTAATAATAAGCTTCTCCATCACTGTGCACAAACTGTGACTTTTGGTTTCAAAATGCCTCCGTGCAAAGGAGTGAACCCCCAGGATGGGGTCCGGGGAGGAGGATGGGAGGAAGGGGTTTCCCGAGTGGAGGAGCCGGGCATCGTGGAATAGGCACTTGGCAGGTGCAGGAAGCTCGTGCCTGGGTCATTCCAAGGTGCTCTGCTGAGTCTTTGTGTTTCTAGGTCTGGGAAGTATTTAATTATCCATTTCTTAAAAAGCGTATTTTCAAAGATGCTTATTAAAGGCTTTAAAGTAAGTGGCAGTGCTCATCGTCTGAACCTTCTGGAAGAGCCAAAGGGAGCAGGAAGCGGCCTCCCCAAGGCGCATGCAGCCGGCCTGTGTGTGGAGGATCAGAGCTGCTGAATCAAGGCTGGAGACCACAGCCACCCAGAGCACCTGCCATCCTGGCGGGGCCTGGCTGTCCTGCCCATGCCAAAGCCAAGGGGCGTTTGCTGTGGCTCCCTCTCAGCCTGGCACCCGGCCAGTGCCCACACCCTCGTGCCTCCTCCTTCTGCCACCCCTGCTGCCGCGCAGTCCCCAGGAGGGGAGCTGGGCCCTGGGGCTCTGAGCATCACCCTCCGTCCTCCCGATCATGGGCCATGTCATCAGGGCTCTTTTCTGCTGAGCTGTGCCCTGCATCTCTGCATTTTAGCCACCAACCTCTGCCCAGGACCCCAGGCTGGCAGCTAGGCTGGACGTCCCCACAGCTGCCCTTGGGGCCTCAGTCTTGTTCTTGCCTTTGAGGTTCCCTGGGCACATCTCCAGTCCCTGAGGGGTGACAGGCGCCCTGCACTGTTAGGGCCGGGCACTCACTGCCACTGGACCAGCCCCTGTGTCTGTCTCCTGCATCCCCTCCAGTGGCATCCATTGGCCCTACAACATCAGAGGGACTTGGCTCTCCAGGCTGCAGCAGCCATAATCCCACACCTCACTGGTGGCAGCAGCAGTGGTTATTTCGGGCTCATATTGCACTGGGCTGAGGTCTGCGATCTCACACACGTGGAAGGAGCGGTGCCATCCGAATGTGCTTGTGAGAATCGTGACAAAGCCAGGAAGGGCCTCTGCACAGGTGTGGGGTGCGTCGTCTTCTCAAGGCCGATGTCAACGGGAAGAGGCGTGCAGTCCTCTCATCCGGGGTCTGGTGCCCAGACGTGCCATCTTCCTCCTGCCTGTGTCTTCCTCCTGCCTGTGTCATCCTCTTCTGCAGGACGGGAAGACCCCGGAGGCACCGTCTTCCTGCCACCTGTGTCATCCTCTTCTGCAGGACGGGAAGATCCCAGCGCCATCTTCCCGCCACCTGTGTCATCCTCTTCTGCAGGATGGCAAGATCCCGGTGCTGTCTTCCCGCCACCTGTGTCATCCTCTTCTGCAGGACGGAAAGATCCTGGAGGCGCCATCTTCCCGCTGTCTGTGTCATCCTCTTCTGCAGGACAGGAAGATCCCGGCGCCGTCTTCCTGCCGCCTGTGTCATCCTCTTCTGCAGGACAGGAAGATCCTGGCATCTCACACGCCCCTGGCTTATAGGGCTCGGAGGCTACAGTGGGAGCTCAGGGCATGTTTGTTGAGTATTGGAGGTTTTTCAGTCAGGGAAGATATCAATTTAAAAATGAAGTCACACATTCCCCAAGAAGCATTGCTGAATTATATTGGTTTAGTCAACACAAAATACAAGTACACAGGAATAACCGAACCACAAAATGTCAGGCTGTGGAAGTCAGACGGCACCTAATATTAGGATAAATAAAGCAGGTGGAGAGTGAGTGTCCTCTACACTAATGGAGACATTTTAAATTAACTTTGACCAGCAAGTTTTATTATTTTTCCTGTTAAGATCTAGGCAGGCACATGCAATTTTTGCGGAGAAGAGACTCCAGTTTAGGAGCCTGCCATGAGCAGTCATGCAGGTGGCCCGTGGGGAAGTGGCTGACGTCTGTGTCTGCACCATCCTGCGGGGTGTGGATGCCTTGCACACCTGCACCCTAGCTGCACCCCTGCCTGCACCGTGCAGACACGAAGTGGCTGCTCCAGAATGTTTTCTGGATGAGGACATGAGTGAGCAGGACCTGGGGCTGCAGAAAGACTGCTTCTATAGGCTTTATTATTTATTTATTTTTATTTATTTTTGAGACAGTGGCAGGATCTCGGCTCGCTGCAACCTCCACCTCCCAGGTTCAAGCAATTCGCCTACCTCAGTCTCCCAAGTAGCTGGGATGACAGGCATCCACCACCACGCCCAGGTAATTTTTGTACTTTTTTTTAGTAGAGATGGGGTTTCACTACGTTGGCCAGACTGGTCTCAAACTTTCATGCTATTCTGAGCATTATGACTAAATCTTGCACTGTCCTGCTCCATCCTGACCAGGACCGGGTCATCTCTTTGCCCAGCAGATCCATGCTGTGCACACCACATGCCTGTTAGTGGCTTAGTAGCTCTCCTGGGTCAGCAGGTCCACTGATGCAGATCACAAGTGCCTGAGTTCAGGCAGCCCTTATTTTGCTTACCAAGGGCTCCAGATCAGAAGAGCAGTGAGGCTGGCAGCTTGTAGATGGCAAAGAGAAGCTGTAAAGTGCTCCCTTTAAGTGAAAAGGTGAAAGTTCTCTACTTAAGAAGGAAGGAAAAAATTGTATGCTGAGGTTGCTAATATCTACCATAAGAACAAATCTTCTATCTCTGAAATTGCATAGAAAGAAAAAGAAATTCCTGCTAGTTTTGCTGTTGCACCTCAAACTGCAAAAGTTTTAACCACAGGAAGAACACAGGAGGTCGGCACCACACAATTTTCAACAACCAGATCTCCTGAGAATTCACTCACCCTCGTGAGAACAGCAAGGGGGAAATCCGCCCCCATGATCCAGTTACCTCCCACCAGGTCCCACCTCCAGGGGCAAATCCACCCCCATGATCCAGTCGCCTCCCACCAGGTCCCACCTCCAGCACTGGGGACTACAATTCAACATGAGATTCGGGTGGGGACACAAGTCCAAACCATATCAGGTATTGAATGTGTGGGTGGAAGACTTAAGGATAAACAAGTTCTGACTGACGGCCGTCGGGTTTAGTGCCATCCACAGTCCCAGACACCCACCGGGTCTGGAATGTGCCCCGTGAGGATGAGTGGGAGCTACTACATTTCATTTGTCCACAAGGAAACTGGAGCTGAAAGAAGCTGCAGAGTTCCCGAGTCCACACACCCCGCAGGCAGCGCGTTTACGTCAGAGCTCCCGAGTCCACGCACCTCGCAGGCAGCGCGTTTACCTCAGAGCTCCCGAGTCCACCGACCTCGCAGGCAGCGCGTTTACGTCAGAGCGCCCGAGTCCACGCACCTCGCAGGCAGCGCGTTTACCTCAGAGCTCCCGAGTCCACCGACCTCGCAGGCAGCGCGTTTACGTGAGAGCTCCCGAGTCCACGCACCTCGCAGGCAGCGCGTTTACGTGAGAGCTCCCGAGTCCACGCACCTCGCAGGCAGCGCGTTTACGTCAGAGCGCCCGAGTCCACGCATCTCGCAGGCAGCGCGTTTACCTCAGAGCTCCCGAGTCCACGCACCTCGCAGGCAGCGCGTTTACGTGAGAGCTCCCGAGTCCACGCACCTCGCAGGCAGCGCGTTTACATCAGAGCTCCCGAGTCCACGGACCTCGCAGGCAGCGCGTTTACGTCAGAGCTCCCGAGTCCACGCACCTCGCAGGCAGCGCGTTTACCTCAGAGCTCCCGAGTCCACCGACCTCGCAGGCAGCGCGTTTACGTCAGAGCGCCCGAGTCCACGCACCTCGCAGGCAGCGCGTTTACCTCAGAGCTCCCGAGTCCACCGACCTCGCAGGCAGCGCGTTTACGTGAGAGCTCCCGAGTCCACACACCTCGCAGGCAGCGCGTTTACATCAGAGCTCCCGAGTCCACGGACCTCGCAGGCAGCGCGTTTAGGTCAGAGCGCCCGAGTCCACGCACCTCGCAGGCAGCGCGTTTACGTCAGAGCGCCCGAGTCCACGGACCTCGCAGGCAGCGCGTTTATGTCAGAGCGCCCGAGTCCACGCACCTCGCAGGCAGCGCGTTTACCTCAGAGCTCCCGAGTCCACCGACCTCGCAGGCAGCGCGTTTACGTGAGAGCTCCCGAGTCCACACACCTCGCAGGCAGCGCGTTTACATCAGAGCTCCCGAGTCCACGCACCTCGCAGGCAGCGCGTTTACGTCAGAGCGCCCGAGTCCACGGACCTCGCAGGCAGCGCGTTTACGTCAGAGCTCCCGAGTCCACGCACCTCGCAGGCAGTACGTTTACCTCAGAGCTCCCGAGTCCACCGACCTCGCAGGCAGCGCGTTTACGTCAGAGCTCCCGAGTCCACGCACCTCGCAGGCAGTGTATTTACATGGAAATTGGATCGAGGCACTGACGTTTAAATCTTGGCTCCTGCTCCTGCCGTCTAGACAAAGGGCGCACCCATTGCCGTCTCAGACACCAGAGGCTCCCACTTGACCAGGTGAGATTTATCAGCTCCCAGACTGAAGGAGCATACGCTGCCAAAATTCTGACACATGTGAACGCTCTTCTTTTTATTTAGGAATAGAGTTGGACTCAAAATTAGTTTTTGCAACCTGATCAGTATTTGATTTGAGAGTAGCTGTGTGCATTGAGAATTATTCTCCACACTCGGGGGTGCTTCTCACAGCTGCTTTGGAAAGCAATTACTGGGGAGTACCTGATCTCTCAATTCCATTTCCTGCATGAAAATCAAATGGGGTGAGCTCTCTTCTTTCAAGTTAAAGTCAGTATCTAGGGAAATTGGTTTCACATAATTTTAAATTGTGGACACTCTGCACCACATGTTTAAGTTTAATGAAAACCTTAGGAAAGATGCATTTGACCTTCATTTTAACAGCAACTAGTGCTCATTGAAACAGGAAAAAAGATTCTGTGGAAAAAGGGGCAATACATGGATAAATAAAAAGTGCAGTTTTTGTGCTGAGTGGAGACAGTCTTCATAGATGCATGTGAATCCAGTTACAAGTGAGAGGTGCTCGCACAGTGACAGTGCCGTGTGTCACACGCTTTGAATCCCTGAGCTGGACGGCACGCCTACGTGCTGCGTCTTAGTGGCATAACTGTTGTCAGGGCTTCCCCGTGAAACAGGCCTGGGATGAGAGGTCCCTGCAGGTGGGGAGGGCGGGCCCCACAACATCTCCTGTCCATTTCACATTTTATTTCATGTTTCACTACTCAGGAAATAGACATTTTATTTCATGTTTCACTACTCATGAAATAGGGCCAATAAAATGCCAGAGGAATCCTGGTAAATGAACTTGAAGAACACACCGTCGAAGCCTCCACCAGAGACAGATTGTGGCACTTTGGGGTGTGTGACCTGCAGACACACCAGGCTCTTTCCTTAGTAAACACATTCCTTTCTTTATCTGCTCACTCCTCTTTCAAAAGCGCCTGTTAGGCACTAACCATTTTGCTGAGGGTTTGGGATCCAAGTGAAGATAATCACAAGTTCTCACCCTGCAGTGTCTGGGGCCTGTGGGTGAGAGAATGGGAGGATTGCCAGGCCTTCAGCTGCTGCCTGCTGGGAGCTCCCTCCCGGAGAGCTGTGTACGAAGGTCCCTAAGGTGGTCTTGGGAAGAGCGAGGAGTTGCCAGGGAAGGTTGTTCTGGAGGAAGAATGCTAACTGGAGAATCTTAAGTGGAGATCCTAGAGAGCAGAGAGGAAAGGGCTGGAGGCAGAGAGGAAGGTGGACAGGTGGGTGTCAGGGTATGGGGCCTGAGGGGACCTGTGCAGCCTCAGGTCCCCATTGTGGTGGAAACTCTGGGGAGAAGACGCAGCAGCCTCAGGTCCCCATTGCGGTGGGGACTCTGGGGAGAAGACGCATCTTCCCACCACCTAGCATCAGTCACCTCAGGTTTTAGTCAGAACACCTCAGGTTTTATCAGTTCTAATTTATTAGGCTATCTAGCAAGAACTTGCCAAAAATTAATGTGTGGCTAAAATCAAACAATCTAAAATGTAGACATCGTGGATGAAGGGGAGAAGCTCCGCTGAGGTTGTGCGTGCGGCCTCGGTCCCGGCTGGAGCGACGTTGATGATGTCAGTAGTGAGGCCGCCCCAGGGGACTGTGGAGGATGCAGGGAGGGGCTGGGTGAGTGTGACTTCCCTCTTCTTCCCACCAACCACAGGGAGAGACGGGGGAGGGGCAGAGGCCATGAGGTTCTCCCTCCTGGGATGGGAATAGCCTTGTTCACTGGCCCAGGAGAAAAATAGAGAGACTGCGGAGAGAGTGAGGAATGGGAAAGATGGGAACTTTGAGCTGAGATGCGTTTCCAGCTGGAAATCAACCGCAGGTAACCAGGAAATGGCTCAGGATTGCTGCAGCCTTTGTGATTTGCAGAGCAGGGCTGGACCTAAAGTAAACGCTGGCTCCTGCCAAGGGTTTAATTCATGACCCTGCTCCACAGTAGTGAAAATTCAGTGATTGTTAATGCCAGTAGGTCAAGAGAATAGGTGGACAGGTTGGAAGCAGGTCATTTCCAGCGTATGTGTGTTTAGGCCTCAAAGCATGTAGGTGTTTATCTAAACAGCAACTGCCCTCAGGGAGGCGAAGAGATCCCGGGGAGGGATGCTGTGTGCAGGAAGAGAATGCTGGCTCATCTTCAGGGGCATGAGCAATATGACATCTGCCAGATGTGATAATTACTCAAAATGTTACCCGTTTAAATCAGTTCTGATCAGTATGCTTACTAAAACGTGTTAGGTGAGTGTCTTCAAGTAGATGCATCCGTAAGATCTGGGATCCGCATTTCTTTCCAGCCGCGGCTCACCTGATGCTTGGAGTTCCGACGACTTCTCCTTTCTGCAGCCTCCCGGAGGCTCTGCCCTGCCCTCCTCCCATAAACAGCACACACCGCCTCAGACCCCTGCGATTGCTCCTAAATATTCTTCGAAGTGTGATAAGTATTTTAATTCCTAGGACATTAGAACCTTCTCTAAGAGAGCTTCCAGTTCCTGGACAGCTATGCCCAGTTACAAAAAGAAGTGCTTCATAGAGGAGGCTCTATGTGCATTTAAATGAAAATAGTGTCTCCTGAGAGGAGAAAAATCCAGGAGTGATACAGAGGTTGAAACCAGTGTCAGAAGACTGACTGGTTTTGATAAGCAATGGCCTGTCAGAAGAGTCTACCTGCAAATGTGTTTAGTTTGATTCTTATCATGACTAATTTATCCTAAAGCTTTCCCCCAGCATTTAAAAATTGTAGTATTTCATATAAAATTTATATTTATGGCTTCTCTCAAAACTGTAAGTTCATGACTAAATTGGATTTCTATTTTTGCTTTAGCAAAACCCAGCCAAGGAGGTGTTTTCCCGAGGCGTCGTGTGCTCTCCACTTTCTCACAGTGTATCAGGCTATTTCTGCTGTCATAACATCTGACCATGAACTTCAGTGGTTTGAACAACACAACTGTATTAGCTGGCAATTCCGGAGGGCAGGAGTCCGACACGGTCTCATGGGGTTAAATGAATCCAGGTGTGGGCAGGGCCACCTGGTGGCTTGGGGAGTGGCTCTTCCTGCTTCCCCCTGGGTCCGTGGCCAGCTACCTGCTGGACTCACAGCCCCTCCTCTCCTTGAAAGTCAGCCACATCCCCATCCCCATTGCTCCGATTGCAGCTGACCTCTGCCTTCAAGGGCTCGTGTGGTTGCATTGGGCCTGCTGGGACCCTCAGGGTCATCTCCCACCTCAGCGCCGTAATCTTTGCCACGCCTGCCTCTGGCCCTTGTCTGTGTCAGTGACAAAGCCACTAGTCTGGGAAATTAGGAAGTGGGCATTGGTGGGAGCCACACACAGGCACTGGACCGTCTCACGGTCACGCCACCTACCTGGCCCCCAGGCTTTGGAGCTGGCTGGTGTTGTCACACCTGCGTCCCTAGGCCTGGAGGCTGGGGCCCCTCGCTCCTTCACCTCAGACCCTTCCTGACTCTCACATCAGCCCACGAGGGCCGGGGCTGCACGGGGCTCCTGGGGTCCTGCACACTCTCTGGTACCTGCCTCACCCCTGAGGCATCTCTTCTCTCCCTACCCTACGCTGGCTTCTCTTCACTGGAAAAGAAACAACAGGCCTAGTTTCAAAAGGCAGCCATGAGTTTAACAAGTAAAATCAGCAAGTGACCTGAATGCTGGGGACAGTCTGGGATTCCACTTAAGGACCCAGAAGAACCCACCAGGGCTCTCGGGGTGAGGGTCGGCCTGAGCGTCTGGCCCTCAACTGGGAATGGCAGCCACTTCCACTCTCAGTCCCCACATGGCCTTGCCGATGGCCACACAGCTTCACAGCAGAGACAGGACACTGAGCTCAGACGGGAACTGAGGACGCCTGGGGCAGGGAGGGTGTGGCTGGACCCGCAGGCCTGGGCTGTGCACCAGGGAAGGATGGCTGGGGGCAGGGAGGGCGAGGCTAGACCCCCAGGCCCGGGCTGTGCACCAGGGAAGGATGGCTGGGGGCAGGGAGGGTGAGGCTGGACCTGCAGGCCTGGGTTTTGCACCAGGGAAGGATGGCTGGGGGCAGGGAGGGTGAGGCTGGACCCGCAGGCCTGGGCTTTGCACCAGGGAAGGATGGCTGTGGGCAGGGAGGGTGAGGCTAGACCCACAAGCCCCAGCTGTGTATCAGGGAAGGATGGCTGGGGGCAGGAAGGGTGAGGCTGGACCTGCAGGCCCCAGCTGTGTACCAGGGAAGGACGGCTGGGGGGCAGGGTGGGGGTGAGGCTGGACCCACAGGCCTGGGCTGCGCACCAGGGAAGGACGACTGGGGGCAGTGGGGGCTGGGGGGGGGGTGAGGTCTCCCATAGCCTAATCCACCTCTCCTCTGCTGCAGTGGTCTCACACAGCCTGATCCACCTCTCTTCTCCACTGCAGTGGTCTCACACAGCCTGATCCACCTCTCCACTGCAGTGGTCTCACACAGCCTGATCCACCTCTCTCCTCTGCTGCAGTGATCTCGCATAAGCCTGGTCCACTTAGTGGTCTCGTGTAGCCTAGTGCACTTGACTGGCTTGGTCCAATTTCTCTTGAACAATGGGAAATTTCCAAAGGGTTTTGTGATGATTAACCCTGACCTGAGTAGGAATGGCTCTTATCCACATTTGCAGTAAAGGGACCTGATGCTCCCAGAGGTTAAATGAAGGCAAAGCTCAGGTTCATGACCTGGTGACCAGCTCTGCAACTGCCCTGAAACAGGGCAGGTAGCCCAGGTGAAGTGCAGTCATTTCTAAGATGAGGGAGTGGGGTTTGAAAGTTTGAAAGATCCTGTTTGTTGGCAAACCATCTGGCATGCCTGGAGCAGGAGCACCCTGGCCACCCCGAGCTCCTTTCTTGAGGCCTTTGATGGAGTTGGAGCTCTGAGATGCAGGAGCTGTGTTGTGTGGAAAAGTCGGAAGGTGGAGTTCCCTTCTGCTGTTGAACAACTGGGTCCTGGTGTCCGTAGGAGAGGAGAAAGGAAGCAAAGGGACAAGTGGCAGGAAGGAAAGAGAAGGTGGAGGGAGGAAGGAAGGAATCGAGGGAGGGAGGGAGGTGGAGGGCTGGGGAGGTGTGGGCCTCTGCACCTGCACTGTGTTGAGTTATATTCAACAGGTGTTTACTGAGACCCTGTCTCCCCAGGCACTCATCACCACTGAAGCATCCTTGGCCACCAGTGGCTGTGGTGGGGTGGGGACGCCTTTGCAGGCTGGATGCTCGAGGCCGCTGTCCCCCTGGGAGTGGACGTTGGGGGAGACTCCTCAGAGGATGTTCCCTTTGGCTGAAGCTTTGAGGGATAGATGGGGTGCAGACGGCAGAGTTACCTTATTCCCAAAGGGTACTGGGGACTTTGTGACAAACTCTACAGCAGAAGAAACATGGGGAGAACATCCAAAGAGAGTGGCATCGCTCCATCCCTGTATCGCTCGGGTGTTGAAACACGGAGAAGGGCTCTTCCTGGAGGCTGGGATGCCAGGTCATTGCCCACCTGAGTCGCACGCCCTTTTTATAAAACCCCGTTCAGTGGATCAGTGGAGCACAGTGACCACACCGCACTGCCTGTGCAGGAGCCGGCCTGAAAATGGCATCCTGGAAGAAAGAACACAGGAGACGCTTTCACATGGGGAGTGTGACTGCAGAGAACGAGGGTGCCGGTCCTGCTATCGGCATCAGGGGAGGCAGGTGCGGGCTGCAGCGCACTTCCTCCCACCATCAGCAACGCGAATGGTTTGATTTCTTTCCGTCTACACGTCTGTGGCTCTCAGCATCCTTGGGGATTTCAGAACGCATCCAGGGTTTCACACTTGGAGGAAAGCCCAGCATTTTCTCGTGGGTTTCCGTGCACCCGCTGTCTCGGCTGATGTCCTGGCCCTCATCAGTTATGTCAGCGTGTGGGTGAGACACACAGCTGCCTGCATGCCTGGCTTGGAGAGCATTTAAGTGTCTCAAACTCCCATTCAGTGCTTGGGATGTTGGAGGAGAGGAAACCTGAGAATCCAGGGAGCTGGCCCCTCAGTAACAGTGGGAAGAACACGCCCGGGGGTGGGAGAAGGGAGGTTCAGCAGCCGCCACTGCGAGGAGTGGAAGCCGAGAAGGGGGAGGCGTGGGGGGTGTGAAGGGGCTGATGTCTCGGAGAACTCTGGGAGGGGCTTGAGCACTCGAGTGGCACAATTCAAACCACACTTAACGTTCACTCACCTGGGTTCCTGCGCGCGTGTGTGTAGGAAACAGAGACCCTCAGGGAGGCTCCACCTGGTCCAGGTAGCTGTGAGGAGGGTGCCCTGGGCTGGTGGAGCCATGAGGCGGGCTGGATCGGGGGATTGTCTGAATGAAGCAGTCAATGGCACCTGCAGGTGGGGTGTGCAGGGAAAGTCGTATTTTTTTTTTTTTTTTTTTTTTTGCACCTGAGCGATTGGTCCCATGCTGGTGCCATTTGGAGACGCTTTTCCCAGGAAGGAGTGAGGTTTGTTGAGTTACAGGTGACAATCCAGGCTCCTCCAGCGTTCTGAGCGTGGCATAAAGATGCCGGTTTCTTTTACATGTGCATGTTAATTTCTATCGTTCAGGTTCTTCGTTGCTTCTCTCTCAAGAGAGCGCAGGAATGCACAGACATTCCTGTAAATGTTTGGACATGTGAGTGTACCAAGCTAGCGCAAATCTTTAAACAACTAATTTTGAGGGAAAATTTGAACAAAAACCTCACCAATCTGAAATTCAATGGGGGAAGTATTGAAAACTCTCTAATTGCATCTGAAATTTTGCCATATAAGTGATTGTTATGTGACCTGAGTAACAAAAAGGGAAATGGAAAACCATGTTTTCATTTCTGCCCTGAGGAATAAGGTGGGGGGCTGAGGAATAAGGTGGGGGCTGAGGAATAAGGTGGGGGCTGAGGAATAAGGTGGGGGCTGAGGAATAAGGTGGGGGCTGAGGAATAAGGTGGGGGCTGAGGAATAAGGGGGGGGCTGAGGAATAAGGGGGGGGCTGAGGAATAAGGTGGGGGCTGAGGAATAAGGTGGGGGCTGAGGAATGGGGGGGCTGAGGAATAAGGTGGGGGCTGAGGAATGGGGGGGCTGAGGAATAAGGTGGGGGGCTGAGGAATAAGGTGGGGGCTGAGGAATAAGGTGGGGGCTGAGGAATAAGGTGGGGGCTGAGGAATAAGGTGGGGGCTGAGGAATAAGGTGGGGGGCTGAGGAATAAGGTGGGGGCTCCAGTAACTGATGATGGGACTCTCAGAACCCCCACGTGCCCCCTTTTAGGGAAATGTTGTTTCTAATGGAATCTCAGGACTGTTGAAGTTTCTTGGGTCTCCTGTAACAGGTAAGGAAACAAGTCCCTAAGGGATGAGCACTCCGCAGGTGCTTGGGGATGCTTGGCGACGCCTGGTGGCACTGTGCGTCAGATGTGGTCAGTGGTCCCAGACACATCAATGAACAATCGTGCTCCTGCCCCAGAGCCGGGGGCTGGTGTGGAGGGGGCAGGTGAGCAGGGGACCTTGAGGGCCAGAGGAACGGTCCAGTGCCATGGAGGGGAGAGGGTGGAGGGTGTGGGTGGGGGTCCAGGGGAGAGGGTGGGTGCAGGCTGCAAAGGTGCAGTGCTGTGAAGGAGAGGCTTCTGGCAGAGACAGGCGCTGGGGAAGGCCGGCATTAGGGTGCAGTGTGGAGACAGCTCCTCCGGGAGGGAGGACGCCTTTCTAAAGGGGCAGCTCCTGGAACTTCACTTTGTACAAATGTTCAGTCAGTTCTGATGTCGAGGTTTTGGACTGCGAGACCTTCCAATGTTTCTCAACATTTAGATCCCTATTTTTTTTTCTTTGTAACAAGATTCTCATCTTATAAATTTTTCCCATTGATTTTGAAAACCCTCAACTATTTAGCTATTCCTGTTAGAATTGATATCAGGATTCCGTTACTCAGAGCTTCATTCCTGCAGCATTTTGAAAGAACATTCATGACAAAAAGCAATGGGTCAATACCTTTTTATTGTTTTGGGGAAAAGTGTTTCTTCATGAAGGTCCATGGCTCTCTCAGGATCCCTTAAAGGTGGCGTTTTGGGCGATTTTTCCTCTTGTTGGCACATTTCTAAGCCAGAGCAGCTGGAGGCAGCACAGTCCGTCCGGCTCCCGGTGAGGGAATAAACAGCCTGACTCAGGTGTAGGCCACAGGGGCAGTGAAATCACAGCCAGTGTAGACGGTGCGCTTAAAGATGTTATGTTGACTGTGCCTGTGCTGTGAGCGTTGGATTTTTAAATCCAGATAAAATTGAGTTTTTTTTTCTCTCCCAAATGTATGGGAATTCGATCCAACTCACAGTGGCAGTGGAAGGATCTCTTTTCAAATGCTTCTGTCTGTTTCACGGGAAGATATTTAAGTGGGAGATGACAGGCTCGTGGGCGCTTTGAGAGCTACACACTCTCCCATTTGGTGTTGTTGAGATAATCCTTTGATAGTGGAGAAATATGCAAACATCTTCCTTTCTGTTTGGCAGACTTTGATAAGTCTAAAAACTGCACATGTATTTATTATTTTTAGGAGAAAAATATGCACCAACCACTTTAAAAATTAATACTTTATTCAGTGTATTTGCCTTTGTGCTAACATTGAGTTTAATATAAATACACATATATGCAAAGAAGATAAAGGATTAATTTTAGCTTTTGGTAAATATATTCAGCATTAATGTCATCCCTTTTTTTTTGTCTGGTTGAGAAAACTGTATTGCTAAAGGGTAAACCACACCATACCTGCCAAGCTGCTGGTTTTTCTGTTCCACGCTTTCCACCATTGGTTCTAAATAAGTCAATTTCCAGAAGGAATTAGCCAGTAATACTAATAGAGGGGACCAGAAATTACACTTCTGTGTATAAAATACCTGTTTTAAGAATGACAGAGCACTTTGGCTTGAGTTTTAACGATTTAGTGGCAGCTGTTACTTAGCTGTACTGTTCCTATGTTTGAAGCGATAAACGCAGATATCACAGTGCGGAGCCTGCGGTGAGGCACATTTTAGGAAACAAATTCTCAGCCTTCATCTAAAAGCCAGAGTCCTGCAGGGTGAATCATGTCCCCAAATCCATAGGCTGAAGTCTTAATCCCTAGTGTCTCAGAATGGGGCTCCAGTTAGGGACGGGGCCTAGAAAGAGGGGATTAAGGTAATAGGAAGTTATGAGGGTGGGCCCCAATCCCACAGGATGGTGTCCTTATGAGACGAGGAGATCAGGACACAGACACACACAGAGGAAGGACCCTGTGAGGCCCCGGGGGATGTCGGTGTCTATAAGCCGAGGAGGGAGACCTCAGGATGTGAGGCCCTGGGGGATGTCGGTGTCTACAGGCTGAGGACGGAGGCCTCAGGAGGAAGCAGCCCTGCCTGCACCTGGATCTGGGACTTCCAGCCCTGGGATGTGAGAGGATGAATTTCTGGGGTGCTTTGTCATGGCAGCCTTCACACACACACACACACAGACACACACACAGAGCTGCAAATCACAAGCTGCATATCTTGGCAAAATTTTCCCTTAAGAAAGGACAACCACACCTCAAACCCCTCAACAGCAGGGAGCACAATTTGTTATTTTTGTTGTCTCCACCCCTCTTTACTGTATCCTCACACTCAAAGCATTAAACATTGGATTTCTGGAAGGAGATGAGGAAAGTGTAACCTCAGGGGGAGACCCAGAGTCTTCTGATAACAGTGCCATAAATGACATAGGGCGTACATTTAAAATTGAATTTTCAACCTGAAGCTTGAATACGTGGTCTCAATGCCAGCAGCAAAATGAAATGTCACTTCTGGGGCCTGGTTTGCCTCCCTAAACGTCAGCTGCAAGGGAGTGTTTTACTTCACGCATTAGAGTGTTCCGGTTTACAGGGGGCCGTTGTTTTATACTGAGTTCCTGTCACTAGGCCCCACCTGGGCAGACTAGGCAGATTGAAGTCACCTGTGCCAGGTGCCAGGTCACCAAACTGAGCTTAAAAACAGGTCAACTTTCCAAAAACAGGAGATTCACAGCCACCCATCAGGAGGGGCCCAGCCACCTCGAGCTGGCAGGATGAGAACATCCCTGGGCTTTAGCCCGCAAGAGGAAAGGAACATTGTATTAGTCTGTCCTGGGCTAATAAAGCAGCCTCAAGTCTGAGTAATTTATAAAGGAAAAAGGTTTAATGGACTCACAGTTCTGCATGGCTGGGGAGGCCTCACAATCATGGTGGAAGAGGAAGGAAGAGCAAAGCCATGTCTTATGTGGCGGCAGGCAAGAGAGTGTGTGCAGGGGAACTACCCTTTATAAAACCATCAGATCTCGTGAGACTTATCCGCTACGATGAGTACAGTGTGAGGGAATCCTGCCTTCATGATTCCATCACCTCCTACCAGGTCCCTCTCACAATATGTGGGGATTTTTACAATTTGAGGTGAGATTTGGGTGGGACACAGCTAAACCATGTCAAACATGAATGCTACTGATGTTATCTGCTGTGGTCTGAATGTGCCCCCCACATCCTTGTGTTGAAACTTAAGCACCAACGTGATGGCATTAAGGGGGCTCTTCACAGGGGATCAAGTCCTGCCAGTGGGTGAAGCCCTTGTGAGTGTGATTAGTGATTTCATAGGAGAGGCTGAAGCCAGCGGCCCTGGCCATTCCTGTCTTCCTCCATGTGAGACACAGCTCCAGGCGCCCTCCTGAAAACAGAGCCCAGGCCCTCCTCAGACACTGACCCTGCAGGTGCCTCGATCTTGGGCTTCACAGCCTCAGTACTAGGAGAGATCAATCTCTGTCGTTGGCGACTGTCCATCCTTGGCATTTGTTACAGCAGCACAAATGGATGAACCCGATTTCCTGCCAGCTTGCAGCAGGTCACCTCCTCCTTCCCGCCCAAGCTGCCTGCAGAAACAGACCATGGGCATTGCCTGGGGAAGCCCTATCTGTGCTGTGGATGGCACACTGTGGGTGGTACGCTTGGATGGTACACTTGGATAGTATGCTGTGGGTGGTATGCTGTGGATGGTATACTGTGGATGGTATGCTTGGATGGTATGCTGTGGGTGATATGCTGTGGATGGTATGCTTGGATGGTATGCTGTGGGTGATATGCTGTGGATGATATGCTTGGATAGTAAGCTGTGGGTGGTATGGGTGGTACGCTGTGAATGGTATACTTGGATGGTTCGTTGCCAGTCCATGCATCATGAATAGCAGCCAATTCGATCTTTAAAACTCAGTTTTTTGAAATGTTCTTGGACAAGAGTCCTTAACTCTCCTCAGGCTGGGGGGAGGTCCTGCTGCTCCTCTGAGGCCCAAGGACGAGGTGGTGGTGAGGGCTGAGTCCACACGGCCGTGCCGTGTGCAGTGTGTGCTACGTGTGAGCCTCTGCAGAGAGAAACACAAGCACACTGAACTTAGACTTGCCTGAGCATTCCTTCTTTTCCTTGACCTGTTAGCTTTTGCAGGAGAGAAAAATTTTAATTCAATAAATCTAGTAAATTGTAGCCCAAGGATAGGATAGAAGAGCAAAGGTCACAGAAAATCAGTGCCAGAGAGAAGAGAAGAGCCTGGGGCCCCAGGGTGAGGGGCACAGGGCTGGGCAGGGAGGAGAGCAGGAAGTTCCTGGGGGAGGAGAAATGCAGCCTTATCTGGATGCAATTCCACAGTGATTTTAAAAGTTGTATATTAGAATGCTAAAAAGCTAAGCACTATTATAAAATGTATATATTTGACTTAGAAAAAAAGCAACAGCTTTATTGCTGTGACATGCTATTAATTTAAATTGCTTAAATGCACTTCTCATGTATTAGTTATAAAGCTAGACTAAATTGCAATCTTTAATTTTTTGCTGATGTTTTTATTGCTTGGTGATGTATGGAAAATTACGTACCTTCAAGAGTTTTAATTCGTCTTTTTTCTTTTGTCAGCCTCTGGAGACAGGAAGCAAAAAGTAGCAATAAAATGAGATTCTGTCAGTATGTTATAATGATAAACCCAAAGCTTACCACTAGCTCATTTACAATTTTGTAGCAAGCTTACAAAAAAAGAATTAAAAATTTTACATCAATTTGTAATAGACTGTATATTCATTGATATTTCTGAAGTGTTTTATCTATCCTATAGCACCTTCAAGAGTACACTTTTTAAAACAAGTTTAGAATAGTTTTAGATTTACTGAAAAGTTGCACAGATTGGAAAGCGTGTTTCCGTGTCCCACACCCACATTCTCCTGTTAACACCTGACGTTAGTGTAGTGCTTGTGTGACACAGCTGATGACCCAGTTTGGAGCCAAGTTGTACAGACGTGGGGATAACCAGGGACACTGATCCTGGGAGTGGCATCTGAAGAGGGGCAACCTTGTGGGGCTGAGTCTTTAGCCCAGGGGCCTGGGCTAACCCCAGGTAGAAAGCATCAGACTTGAGTTAAGTTGTAGGACACCCAGCTGGTATTTAGGGAGATGGAGAGTGGTTGGTGTGGAAACCCCTCAGCCCCCACCCTGACCTAGTGTCCCACGTGAAGTTTTGAGAGGGGCCGGACAGTCAGGGAGGACCGTTTTCCTCCTTCTGTGACCAAAGGACCAAAGGAAGACACTGTATCACACGAAATAGTTAACCATGCTTCCATTCATTGATCTAATGAAGAAAGTATATTTTGTGAGATTGCAAAACAAAACCCAAGTGTGTGTTCCACACAGGAAATCCTCAGGAAATGAGACCCAGGAAGTGAACGCAAAAGGCGGAGCCACACGATACCAGGCAGACAAGAAGGCAGGTTGGTGACTCAGCATCGGGTCTCCAGGCACAAAGAAGGAGGAATGATGATAGAACACTGCCAGGGATCAATTACAAAATAAATAATCAATATTCATAGACAAGGAATGCGGCGTGGTGAGGTATGAAGACGGTTCCTTTGTTCCTTGTCCGGCCTTTACCATTCCTTCCTTCTGCTAAGTGGGGGCTTAGTGTGTTCTGGCTTCCCCGGGTTTCGTGAGGTGTAACGTGAGGCTGTTTATTTGGCGTCTTTCTTCTTTTTTGATGTAGGTGTTTATTGCCAAAAACTTCCTTCTTAGAACTGCTTTGCTGTGTCCCATAGATTTTAATATGTTGTGTTTCCATTTTCATTTGTCTCAAGATGTATTTAAATGTCCTCTATAATGTTTTCATGGACCCACTGGTGATTCAGAAGTAAGGTGTTTAATTTCCCCGCCTTTGCGGATCTTCTGAAATCCCTTCCGTTATTGATTCTAGCTTCGTACCACTGTGGCTGGGAATGGTATTTGATGTAATTCTGGTCTCTTTAAATCAGGCAGGACTTGTTTTGTGCCTCAGTGTACAGTCTATCCTGGAGAATGCTCTGGGACACTAGAGAAGAGCATGTTTCTGGCTGCTGCTGGATGGGATGGTCTCAATGGGCCAGTGAGCCCAGGTGCCTGACACGTAGTTTAAGGCCAATCCTTCTTCACTGATTTTCCACCTGGATGGTCTGCCCCCTGCTGGCGGTGGGCCCCTGAGGCCTCTCAATATTGTTACTTAATTGACTTGCTGCCTGCTTCTCCCTTCAGATTTAGTAACATTTGCTTATATACTTAGATGCTCTGACGCTGGTAAAGATGTATTTACAATTGTTACATGCTCTTGATGAAGCCACCCATTCAACCTCACATCATGACTCTCTTGATCTCTTTTTACAGGTTTGACTTAACGTCCATTTAATCTGACAGGAGTGTGGCCACCGTTGCTCCCATTTGCTTTCTGTTTCTAGGGAATGTATTTTTTCATCCTTTCTCTTCCAGCCTATGTGTGTCCTAATGGGCATAGTGAGGGAGAGGGAGAGAGGGAGAGAGAGAGAGAGGTGAGAGAGAGAGAGAGAACCCTATCCCTTTTTTTTTTAATCAGAAACCCACTCCTGCGATGAAGGATGAATCTTCCTGAGGGCAGAGCTCTTACCGCCCACTCGCCCCTCTAAGTTCCCACCTCCCAAGGCCGTGTCTCTGGGGATGAAGTTTCCAACACACAAACATTGGGGGCACCTTCAAGCCACGGTGTCCTGTAAACCAGCGTTCCAGCATTTGCCAAATGGTGTTTCTTTTACCAGGAGATAAGGACTCTGATCAGGTCCTTTGGAAAGAGCAAGTGAGTCTTTGATTCTCTCCTGGATATTCATCATATGTGTTAGGAACTTAAAGAATCCCTGTAATCCCAGAGTTTAACAAAGACACACATGTGTTTTCAGCAACACCGAGTCTTACACGAGTATCTCCGAGATGAATGTGATTGTGCCTGTCTGTGAAGCTCGTGGCAACCACCTTCCCCAGGGAAACGCTTCTGTGGCCTGCAGGAGCCCTTAGGTCTGGCCGTGGTGTGAGCACAGGGTTTGTTCTGGGAGATCCATCCAGCAGCAGTTTGTGTGGGATGGATTAGAAGAGCAGGAATCAGGGGTGGACGACCGGCTGGCCGGGCATGGCTCCAGCTCCGGGGAGTGACGGCCAGAGGCTGAGGCGGGTGGGCCACCCCCACCATGGGGAAGCAGGCAGACCAAGGAAGGAACTCAGATGCTGACAGGAGAGAGAGAAGAGAAGGGTGAAGGTGGTGGGAGGGAGGTCCTACAGGACTGGTCTGTCCCTTGCTCTTTCCAAAGACGATGTTGGGATTCCCCCTCCACTGCACATTCCCTTTCGGTACGTAGGAAGGTGCCTCACGGGCATCCATGTCTCACGGTGTTGGAGAGCTTCAAGACTTTTTGAAAAGCCTCTGCCCAAACTCTCGGTTCAGCAGCTACCAGGTATTTACCTTGGAGAGGTAAGTGAAGCTCTCCCTGGCTTGGTTTTCTCATCTGTGAAACAAAACTGCTCTTTCCTGAGAGGACTGAATAAAATCGTGTGCTCAGTTGTGATGCTGGCTTCGTGAGAGGTAGCCTGTCAGGCAGTGCCAGTTCTGTTTGAGAAGAGCCTCTGGTGTCCTTTGTAAAATAGATAAAATTCTAAGTCCTTCAACCGACTGAATGGGCCCCCTCTTTGCCACGGGGATCCCCCCCTAAAAATTCAAAAAACCGGTTCAGCCCATGATGGCAGGAAGTGGGGTTGGACAGACCACATTATACCCTCCTCCCTGTGGAGTTCAGGACCAGCTGACCAGCATTAGCGCTAAAGCAGACATCAAAACACTATCCAAACAGACTCCTTATAGTAATCAGATTCCCCACTCCAACCTGGCCCTGGCATAGCATCACATGAAAAATAGCAGGTCCTGAAGGAAATCAAAATATATTAACCCCAACTATATCTCCCTTACATATTCTGAAATGGCCCTGCAAAGGCGTCTTTTGCTGGGAATATCTGCATTCTGTGGAGAATCCCTTACTAGGCCCTTTTCTGATCCAGGAGAGATTTAACTAAGGCCTGACATCTTTTAAGGTCCTATAGGAAGCATTTGCCATCGATTCTCTCTGAAGCTGCTGCCTGAAGGCTTCATCTCCATACTGTGAATCTTGGTTTCCACAAGGCCCTTATCTTTCTGCTGGAGCATTTCTTTCTGCTGACTTCACTCTTTAGGCAAAGCTGAAGTCTGTCAACCAATCGTCACTCCAAAAATCTTTGAATCCACCTGTGATCTGTGAGCCCTTGCTTTGAGATGTCCACCTTTCTGGGCTGAACCAGTGTAAACCTGTAACTTCTGCCTCCCTAAAATGTATACGACCAAGCTGTAGCCCGAACACCTTGAGCACAGGATCTGAGGACACCTCAGTGCTGCATTACGGGTCATGGCCACTCATATTTGGCTAAGAACCTCTGTGACAATTTTATTGTTCGGCTTTTATCATCAACACCTTCCAGGCAGAAGCCACTGTGGTCCCCATGGCCACCCTCACCTGGGCCTCCCGCCACCATGAACTTTCTTAGTTGAGCTGAATTAACAATGAGCAAGGAATAGATTAGTCACTGGTACAATAGATTGTTTTCACCCCTTACCAAAATGTGTTAGCTGAATGTCTAACACATTAGCCACCGGCCTCTGCCCAGGGCCCCAGGCTGGCAGCTGGGCTGGATGTTTTTGACCTCTTATCTGGAGGTGCAGGTGCACCTCCAGCAGCAGGGTGCGTCGCACACGGGCCTGACACCAAGCCTGCCACATCCACGGTGCCATCGACCCATGAACTGGGCAGGCTGCTCCTACACACACACACGCACACACATGTACACACATGCACACACAGGCACACATGCACACACAGGTGTACACATGCACTCACACGCACACATGCACATGTACACTCCTCCCAACCAAACCCCCTTGCCCCTACACACACACACTCACACACACACACATGCACATACATATTATTAGTATTTTAATATATGACTCAACTGTGTAATAAACCATGATGCTTAGGAGCCAAAAAGTAATTGATGTGTCTTTCCCAGAGAAGTCACGTTGGAAAAGTGATCAGGAGAGAGGCATCTGAGCTGTGCATTGACAGACCTTTGGGGATGTCAGACAGACATTTAGGAGGCTCTTCCAGGCAAAGGAGAGATACAGGAGCACATTAAAGATGTCCCTTCTGTTGTCAATGGGGAAGAACGTAGAGTCCTCATTGGTAGGAAGTGGTGAATGACGGTGCCTACGTTCAGAAACTGTGCATGAGGGCAGAGTCTGGGTGGAATGAGGCTGGAGAGGCTGGACGCTGCCCAGCATGAGGCCAGACCCGTTTGAGACACACCCTGCTACTGGAGGTGCACCTGCACCTCCAGACAAGAGGTCACAATTGGGCCTCTTGGACCAATGTTCTCAAATATGGTAGATCCGCCTAGCCACAGTGGCCCAGTGTGCATCCTCCTCCAGGCAGCACAACTCAGGGGCACTTGCTGCCTGGCAGGCAGGGGGCTTCACATCTGACCCTTCACCCCTCACACTGGCCCCCACCCCTTACTGAGGTTCCCTGTGTGGACATGAGCTCCCAGGGCTGTGTCCATTTCTCTCCTCCATCTCTCTCAACCATGAACCTGTGTTATCATCTATGTTAGGGGCCAAATTCACCTTCTTCCCCCATTCGTAGGTTAAAGTCATAGCCTTCAGCATTTCAGAAGTGACTGTCTTGGAGACAGGGAATTTAAGGAGGTAATCGAGTTGAAATGAGGTCACAGACTAGACCCTGATCCAATATGACTGGTGTCCTTATAAGAAGAGGAGATGAGGGCACAGTTGCACCTAGAGGGATGATCACCTGAGGACACAGAGAGAAGACAGCAGCTGCAAGCCAAGGAGAGAGGCCTCAGGAGGAACCAGCCCTGCCCAAACCTTGATCTTCGGCTTCTGGCCTCCAGAACTGGGAGAGGATAAATCCATGTCATATAAGTCACCTTGTCTGTGGGTTTCTGTTATGGAAGCCTGAGCCAACTATTACAAGGAATATTTGTTGAGTCAGCCAATGACTCTTCACAGCAGTCAGAATCTGGACAGAAAGCAGCCCTCACAAGCCCAAGCGAGCTGCACTAAAATGTCCTAGCTGCTCATAGTGTGTTCAGTAAAGTCAGAGGGCTCTCAGAGATCCTGTGCTATCTAACAGGCACCCCATTTATTTCCTGGAGACGCCTCTCAGCCATCCAGCAGCTTCTGCGGCCATAGCCTGTGGATACTTCTCCACACTGACAACGCCCATTCTGTTCAGGAAGGTTTGTCCACCTTGGCTGGAATTAGGTGACCCATGGAAACATCCCACTGCCCATGTTTCTGTGCACCTGCGGACACTCGTGGGAAATGCCCCATAGCCTGTGTTTTTATTCCCCTTGTGAACACTCGTGGGAAATGCCCCATAGCCTGTGTTTTTATTCCCCTTGTGAACACTCGTGGGAAATGTCTCATGGCCCGTGTTTCTGTGCACCTGTGAACACTCGTGGGAAACACCCAACGGCCCGTGTCTCTGTGCACCTGTGAACACTCAAGGGAAATGTCCCATGACCTGTGTTTCTGTGCACCTGCGGACACTCGTGGGAAATGTCCCACAGCCTGTGTTTTTATTCCCCTTGTGAACACTCGTGGGAAATGTCCCATGGCCCGTGTTTCTGTGCACCTGTGAACACTCGTGGGAAATGTCCCATGACCTGTGTTTCTGTGCACCTGCAGACACTCGTGGGAAATGTCCCACAGCCTGTGTTTTTATTCCACTTGTGAACACTCGTGGGAAATGTCCCACGGCCCGTGTTTCTGTGCACCTGTGAACACTCGTGGGAAATGACCCATGACCTGTGTTTCTGTGCACCTGCAGACACTCGTGGGAAATGTCCCACAGCCTGTGTTTTTATTCCCCTTGTGAACACTCGTGGGAAATGTCCCACAGCCCGTGTTTCTGTGCACCTGTGAACACTCGTGGGAAATGACCCATGACCTGTGTTTCTGTGCACCTGCAGACACTCGTGGGAAATGTCCCACAGCCTGTGTTTTTATTCCACTTGTGAACACTCGTGGGAAATGTCCCACGGCCCGTGTTTCTGTGCACCTGTGAACACTCGTGGGAAATGACCCATGACCTGTGTTTCTGTGCACCTGCAGACACTCGTGGGAAATGTCCCACAGCCTGTGTTTTTATTCCCCTTGTGAACACTCGTGGGAAATGTCCCACAGCCCGTGTTTCTGTGCATCTGTGAACACTCGTGGGAAACACCCAACGGCCCGTGTTTCTGTGCACCTGTGAACACTCAAGGGAAATGTCCCATGACCTGTGTTTCTGTGCACCTGCGGACACTCGTGGGAAATGCCCCACAACCTGTGTTTTTATTCCCCTTGTGAACACTCGTGGGAAATGCCCCACAGCCTGTGTTTTTATTCCCCTTGTGAACACTCGTGGGAAATGCCCCACAGCCTGTGTTTTTATTCCCCTTGTGAACACTCGTGGGAAATGTCCCGTGGCCCGTGTTTCCGTGCACCTGCGGATACTCATCAAACACCAGGCTGTCATTGTGGACAGGGTGAGCTCTGGCTGTTGGTGCAGCATGGTAGGAAGAGCACCAGGTCCTGGACTCTGGTGATTTATATTAGACCCTAATTCTGAGCTGTGGTCTTGGCTAAGCCTTGGACGCTGTGTTATCTAACGTGTGGGGAGGGGGCTTACCTCAGAATGTGGAGAATTACTTAATCCATGTGAACTTCCCGGTGCTGGAAACACAGAATAGACCCTAAATGACCACTGTTTTATTTATTATTGTCTCAGAATTGTTTAGAGCTAAATAATGATTCAGTATGTGATTTTCTAGAAAACTCACGGAAGGAGATAAGACTTGCTTTTCATGAAAATTGGTACTTGAACTAACAAACAACGGCCACCTACCACTGAGGCTGTGGCCTTGGGACACGCTGCTGTGTCCTTCAACACCGTCGGGCAAAAGCCGTTGGGGTGAGATGGAAGCAGAAGCACAGTGCACAGAGGCCAGCCTGGGCTCACAAAACTGCTCAGAGCTTCACAGAGGCCATCATGGGCTCACACAACCTCTCAGAGATTCACAGAGGTGAATGTGGGCTCACAAAACTGCTCAGAGCTTCACAGAGGCCATCATGGGCTCACACAACCTCTCAGAGATTCACAGACGTGAATGTGGGCTCACAAAACTGCTCAGAGCTTCACAGAGGCCAACATGGGCCACAAAACCTCTCAGAGATTCACAGAGGCAAATGTGGGCTCACAAAACCGCTGAGATTCACAGAGGCCAACATGAGCTCACAAAACCGCTCAGAGCTTCAGTGGAGTCAGATTTTGGTCAGGCTGAGGGCCCGATTCTTAGCTAATTATTTCCAGTAATGTCTACTTTTAAGCAATTATACTTCTAATGTCTGTTTAATAAAAAACAGATGAGGTAGACTATTACCAAATGGTGCCATAAGACAGAAATATAATAACTGTGTAAAAAAGAGCACTACTTTAATATAACCTTAAGCAAAATAACACTTTTTATTAATACTAAAGCTTTTAGATGTAATTAAATAAAATATGACATGCAACAAATTAATGTAATTCAAATGTGATTACTTTGTTCCAATAAAAAAACTTCAATTATTTTACACTTAGCTGGTTTTTCTAAAAACATGCTATTTTTGAGAGTTTTAAAACAAATACACTCACTCACTGAAAAGGGACGTTTTGGTCAATGACAGACCCCGTATGCAGTGGTGGTCCCGTGAGATAATCATGGAGCTGAAATTCCCCAGTGCCTGGTGACACAGCAGTCCTAACGCCAGAGTGCCACGCATTGCTCACTGTTTGTGGTGATGCTGTGTAAACAAGGCTGCGATGCGGTAACTGTAACGTCCAGCACATACAACCATGCACCGTACACAATGCTAGATAATGATAATAAATGACTATGTTGCTGGTTTATGTATTTACGATACTTTTTATCCTTATTTTAGAGTGTACTCCTTCCACTTATGTTTTAAAAGGTTAACTGTAAAACAGCCTCTGGCAGGTTCTTCAGGAGGTGTTCCGGAAGAAGGCATGTAGATAGACAAATGCTCACCATTGTGTTACAGTCACGTGCAGCGTTCAGTGCAATCCCAGGCTGCACAGGTGTGTAGCTCCAGAGCAACAGCCTGGGCCCCAGAGCCTCAGTGTGCAATAGGCCATGCCCTGGAGCCTCAGTGTGCAGTAGGCTGTGCCCCAGAGCCTCGGCGTGCAGTAGGCTGAGCCCCAGAGCCTCTGTGTGCAGTAGGCTGAGCCCTAGAGCCTCAGTGTGCAGTAGACTGAGCCCTAGAGCCTCGATGTGCAGTAGGCTGAGCCCTAGAGCCTCGATGTGCATGCAGTAGGCTGAGCCCTAGAGCCTCAGTGTGCAGTAGGCTGAGCCCCAGGGCTGCTGTGTGCAGTAGACTGAGCCCCAGAGCCTCGATGTGCAGTAGGCTGAGCCCCAGAGCCTCAGTGTGCAGTAGGCTGAGCCCCAGAGCCTCAGTGTGCAGTAGACTGAGCCCTAGAGCCTCGGTGTGCAGTAGGCTGAGCCCTAGAGCCTCGGTGTGCAGTAGGCTGAGCCCTAGAGCCTCGGTGTGCAGTAGGCTGAGCCCCAGAGCCTCGGTGTGCAGTAGGCTGAGCCCCAGAGCCTCGGTGTGCAGTAGGCTGAGCCCCAGAGCCTCGGTGTGCAGTAGGCTGAGCCCCAGAGCCTCGGTGTGCAGTAGACTGAGCCCCAGAGCTGCTGTGTGCAGTAGACTGAGCCCCAGAGCTGCTGTATGCAGTAGACTGAGCCCCAGAGCCTCGATGTGCAGTAGACTGAGCCCCAGAGCCTCGATGTGCAGTAGACTGAGCCCCAGAGCCTCGGTGTGCAGTAGGCTGAGCCCCAGAGCCTCGGTGTGCAGTAGGCTGAGCCCCAGAGCCTCGGTGTGCAGTAGGCTGAGCCCCAGAGCCTCGGTGTGCAGTAGGCTGAGCCCCAGAGCCTCGGTGTGCAGTAGGCTGAGCCCCAGAGCCTCGGTGTGCAGTAGGCTGAGCCCCAGAGCCTCGGTGTGCAGTAGGCTGAGCCCCAGAGCCTCGGTGTGCAGTAGGCTGAGCCCCAGAGCCTCGGTGTGCAGTAGGCTGAGCCCCAGAGCCTTGGTGTGCAGTAGGCTGAGCCCTAGAGCCTCGGTGTGCAGTAGGCTGAGCCCTAGAGCCTCGGTGTGCAGTAGGCTGAGCCCCTGAGCTTCTGTGTGCAGTAGGCTGAGCCCTAGAGCCTCGGTGTGCAGTAGGCTGAGCCCCAGAGCTTCTGTGTGCAGTAGGCTGAGCCCTAGAGCCTCAGTGTGCAGTAGGCTGAGCCCTAGAGCCTCTGTGTGCAGTAGACTGAGGTGTCCTTTCCTTCTGGTTTCAGATATTCCACCCGCTCTCCACGCAGCAACCCTGGCATAGAGCCACTGCTGGAGGATGGGAAAACACAAAACGTTGCACAGACCTGTGGTCTGAACCACCAGGCTTGCTCCAGGGTGCACCAGGATAGACTCTCAGGGCATTTGTCAAACCCTGAGACTATCACAGGGAGAGGAGAGGCTACAGAACTAAGTCCAACCTCAGAAAAGCAGGAAACAAGATTCTTAGTGAAAACCCTAGTCATGAAGAGAAAAAGAGATGGATGGAGCTTGACCTAAACTGCAGCCCCGTCTCGACCCAGCACTGCTCTGTTGACGTGAGGGCCATCGGTGTCCCACTGTGTCTTCAGAGCAGAGCAAAGGGCAGGCCTCTGCTGGGTGAACCAGTCTTCTGGTACCTCTATGCTTTTTTCATATGTAATGTTATCAATGTATCCAAAATTACTAGTCACACCAGTACACAGGATGCAAGACTTATTATTTGATGAATTGTAAGAAAACGCATAGATAGCAGAAGCTGCCATGCAGATGGGATTGTCAGATTCAGGAAATAAAAACACTGGACAGCCAGTGAGATTTATTTCCGTCTATGCATGTATGCATTGAGACAACAGATGAGACTGCAGATCATTCATCTAATAATTTAGAGCATAGAAGTTTCACACATCTGTTTGTAATGACATTTCTCAATAATTTGGTTTGCTTTAAGTTTCTTGTGTTGAAGAATTTGCTTATATAATTCTTTGCAGTGATAGTCTGTGTTGCCTTATCTTGGAACATACCTGCTATAGTGGTCACTACAATATGTTTTGCTCCTTGGCTCATGGAACACTCATTACTGAGAAAGCATGGTCAGCATTAGCATGTGAGCCAGTGTGCAGAAGATGAACTGGAATGAAGCCCACCAGGCTGAGAACCACTCTTCAAAACGGATGTGCTGAAGCACACAGTACCACCTTTCACGGCATCATATTTCCCTCGTTCTTTTTTCAGGATTATATACGTCTTTTGATCAAAAACATAAAAAGAATCCACTGACAAAAAAGATAAATGTTATCAATTTTTATTTCCTTCTTCAGCATTACACCTGTTGGTTTTACTCAAGGCCACACTGGTAGCATGGCTGGTAACATCTGTGTGAAGGAACTGGATTATTTAAGTGTGAAATTCATCCCAAAAATCCATCCCAAAAGACAGTCCTGGCCAATCCTTAATAGTCACCCACCTCAAGTCAGAATTTCATTTCCTGTTGGTAAATAATGTCATCGCATTTAAGAACAGCCTTGATGCCTAAAGGAATGCATTTCCCATTGATTATCTCCTCAACACTTTCAGCAAGTTCCTTCCAGCAGCAGAGAACTTCAGCAACACTGCTGGCTTCCTTCTTTCAACTTGCATAATCTGATTGCTCAAGCACTGATGAAAAATATGAAGAAGAAGTAAGTAGGCTTCGCTCAAAGGACTATTTTAAAAGTCAACAAGAATATCTTGGGGCTATTGTTCGGAATTAACATGATTTTAGTGCTGCAGATAAACTGAAGATGCTGTCAGCTGTGCTCTTTAAGGAGACTCATTGGGTTTTTCAATGCAGAAGAATTGAAGAACACTGAATGCCAAAAATTCTATAAAAATCCATTAATCACTCAGTTCAGATCGTGTCAATGCTGCAATAAGAAGACAATTGCTTCCGTGTCTGTAGCAAAGGGATCAGCTATCGTTTTCACAGTGTCGTGGTCTTCGGGCCGGGGAGCCCCACTTCCCACAGCGCTGTGCTTCACTTCAGCCTTGAATAAACGTCGTCTGCACCTTTACGCATGCATCCATCAAAATCTGTATTTGTGTTATTTCTGCCAAAAGCAATACAACTTTTCTCATTGACTCCTAACTCATCAATAGAGAATCTCTGAGAAAATTACGATTGTTTCTGAAATCTCATCTGGAAGAAATGTTACTCTCAATCCTCTTGTAAATAAGCCTTTTTCATGAGAGGAATGTTATACCTATGAAGGGAAAATCCTGTGTGCATTGTGGTTTTGGAGCAAGGACACTCCTGGCAGGAACCTTTGTGTGTGGTGGCTGGAGCTGAATGGCTGGTCATGACAGAGTGTGGATGGCACCTTAACTCCTGCTGCAATTAAGATCCCTTCATCTGAACTCCTCTTGATAAGAAATAGTTATTTTATCACTCTTCCTGACACTAGTTGAAGAAAGAATACTTTTCTTACACTTAGTGGCTATTGTGTGCTGGTTCACAGGCACTTTCACCATTTCTTTGCTGTTAAGTGAACAATTGTGTACTGAACAAAAACGATGACAAAATACAGAATTTCAGAAGAGATTTGGACTCCATAAAATAGTATAGAATGGACATTCTAGAAGTGCAGATTAGATCTAAGATGAAGAACCCAATGGTTGGCCTTAATAACTTGTTGAACACAGAAAGGGACAGGACTAATAAGCCGGAAGACAGATCAATAGAAGATATCCATGTTGAAGCATGGAGAGGAATTTGGAGAAAAACGTACACGTTCCATGAAAAACCCAAATTCCCAAAGCTGACAAAATAATACTGAAAAAATACAAATAGCTTGATTTATACTAGAACCTGACATGGGTACACAGCATGAAAATACAGATCAATCACTTCTATGAACACATCTGAAAACTTCCTACACACTAGCTAATCAAATCCACTGGGACAGGTAATACATCAAGATGGCATGTTTATTCCATAAATACAAAATTCCAAGGTTTCAAAGGGCCTTTGACCTTTGAAAAGCCGATCAGGGCAAATCCACATAGTATTAATAACATAGTCATATAACCTTCTCCATAGGTCCAAAATAGCCTTTGATTATTCATAAAACTCCAGTGAGGTTGTAGAAAACTCCAGAAAGGTTGTAGAAGTTTCTTAATCTGAAAAAGAGGCTCTGCAGTAACCCCCACAGCACTCATGGTAGTTCCTGGGGGACACCAGTAACCCCCACAGCACACATCGTAGTTCCTGGGGGACTGGGGGACGCCGCCCATTTTCCCAGCAGCTTCCTTCGGAGCAGCCCTTCCCTGGGGACTATGGATGAAAAGCGCTCAAGGACAGGCACTGCCCAGGGGTGTTTCCTGCCTCATGGACCGATTTGCAAAGGAATTTAAGGCTTGGATAGGGAAAACATTATTTTCACCAGTGTTTAATGCAAAACAAATTTTATAATAGAAATACTTCATAAAATATATAAATATTCAAATATTTCCATGTGCATATCATAGACATCTGATGAAGACTTAAACTTAGCAACTTGTTTTTAAAAAATAAATGTCCCAAAGGTCTTTGAAATGTTCATACCTTTAAATTCACTAATTCTACTTCTAAAAATTACCATAAAATCCATACAAGTATAAATATTAATACACCAAGATCTTTAAATCATGTTATTATTTGAATACTAAAATACTGGGAAAAATACATTAAATATAAATTATGGCATGATGAAATGTTGATCTGTGGCTGTCAAATAAAAAACAAATCCTGACTTAGGTAAGGGGAGACTTCATTTGAGAAGGCCACTGTAGCAGGACGGCAAGCCACTGCTACGGAGAAAGTTTCCACCCCAGGAACCCGGGCGTCTCCAAGGCCAGGCGGTGAAGGCTGTTGTTGTGTAGGGAGGTGTGAACAGGGCTGGGAGCGCCGAGGGAGTGGGAGGAAAAGCACCTGGTGTTTCCTGAGTGGCCCTCTCCTCCTGCCAATGGCTCAAGCTGAGTCCTCACTCTCTGTCTGTCTCCCTTTCCATTTCTGCCATAGTGTGGGTGCTGGTAAGGCAGGCTTGATCATTTAATCAGAAAGATTGTACACCCTGCACAGCTGGACCCCAAAAGTGGGGTCAAGGGCAAGAAGCCCTGCCAGGCTTCCCTGATCCGGAGTCCACTGCGCCTTGCAGGAGCAGCGCGCTCCCACCCACGGCCCTGCTCAGGGTTCTGCAGGACGCACCAGCCATGTCACATACTGAGAGGACAGGCTGTGTGCACCCATGTGTGCCAACTTCTCAGAGACAAGGAGCATCTGACAGAAGCCAAAGATCTCACGTTTGCTCTCCCAACGTTTCATCAGTGTGTGCGAATGTTATTTTGAAAGTTCATTGAATACATGTGACTAAAGCAGATTTCACCAATTAAACCACTTTCTTATGTAGTCATTTTATTTAACGTTTCCAATTAACTTACTCATTTTAATTAATTTTATTTAATTTTTTAAATAAAAACTATAAGCAGAAAATAGTCCAAAATTAGTTTCATATATAAATGACAAAAATACACAAATTTTTAACATACAAATTTCATTTTAGTCTTAAAATACTTTTTAAAATTGAAACTATGGCTTTCATTGATTTCATTTTATGTGTGTATGGTCCATTACCACCAAGCCACTTAGGAAGAGTGAAATCAAAGATGTTTTGGTTCTTAAGAACTAACACAATTGCAATCACTATGAATATCATTATCCTTTTTCATATTAACAACTCATGAAATTGTTCACGGTATGTTGAGTGTGGCTTACCATGTTCCATATTTTTGTCTAAAATGAAAGCTATTTAATGTAGTTCAATAAAGATACTTTGCATTTAATTGTAGGGATTATGACACTGAAAAATATGATGTTGAATTACTTCCCTTTCTATGCCCTGCTGCTGCATAAAACATATACATTAATTTTCTTCTATATTAGTTTTAATAATTTATTTTGAATTTAAAAATAAGACAGTTTCATAAGCATTAAAAATATATGTAAATTCCTGTATTATTAGTGTAATTGCTGAAGTTGTTTTGCAGGTAGAATAGTTGGGGTGTTCATAAAAGGTAGATTTTCATATCCTTTGATTTGGAATGGAAAGTTATCATGAAGTATTGGAAAAATTACCCCAGACTGTGAAAGGTAGAATTTAAAAAAATAATTAAACATGTATTTCTTTTTGGCATTGGTTCAGCAGATATTTAATAGTAAAAATCTAGCAGGGTAGAGGCCATAGTCATGTTGACCACTATTCATTAATGTCCTCCCAGTGAGATGACGTCATTCTAATAGACAGAGGCAGCGATTCTTTGGGAAAATCAAAGGGCGAGTAGCGGAGAGACTGACGCTTACTCTCCCTACACCAATGTGCCCTTTGCTCCTCTGACCTCCCTCATTCACCAACTTCATGGGGAACCTCTTGGGGATTTGGAACCAGACCTGGTGTGTCCCCAGCCACCACCCTGCATGGCTCTTCCCTCCTGCAGGTAGTGGAGAGGGACCCGCAGCTTCTTGGACTATTCTCATCCACCGCAGGCTCTGCACTAACCCTGGATTTCTGTGTCACTTCTTGACATTCCTGTGGGATAGAGGAGCAAAGACAGAGGAGAGTTAGGGAAACAGGCAGGCAGGTATTCTCAGATATGAAGGAGTAGGTTCGTGAATCATGTCACGATGACCGCAGTGGGGGTGTGCGCACTCCATGTGGCATGCAAGATGATCTTCGGAATGTTGGATTGATACATTGCACCTTTATCTGTATTTATTTTAGCTTGTTAAACAGGAAATAAGTTTATTCACATTTGATAAACACATTTACAGACCCTTTTTTTTTTTTTTTTTTTTTTTTAACTTTAAGTTCCAGGATACATGTGCAGAATGTGCAGGTTTGTTACATAGGTATACATGTGCCATGGTGGTCTGCTGCACCTATTGACTCATCCTCTAAGTTCCCTCTCCTCACCTCCTACCCTCCAACAGGACCCTCCCTGTGTCCATGTGTTCTCATTGTTCAACTCCCACTTATGAGTGAGAACATGAGTGTTTGGTTTTCTTTTCCTGTGTTAGTTTGCTGAGGATGATGGTTTCCAGCTTCATCCATGTCCCTGCAAAGAACATGATCTCCTTTCTTTTTATGGCTGCATAGTATTCCATGGTGTATATGTACCACATTTTCTTTATACAGTTTATCACTAATGGGCATTTGGGTTGGTTCCATGTCTTTGCTATTGTGAATAGTGCTGCAATAAACATATGTGTGCATGTGTCTTTATAGTGGAATGATTTATTATCCTTTGGGTATATACTCAGTAATGGGATCGCTGGGTTAAATGATATTTCTAGTTCTAGATCCTTGAGGAATCACCATACTGTCTTCTACAGTGGTTGAACTAATTTACATTCCCACCAACAGTGTAAAAGTGTTCCCATCTCTCCACAGCCTCACCAGCATCTATTGTTTCTTGACTTTTTAATAATCTCCATTCTGACTGGCATGAGATCGTATCTCTTTGTGGTTTTGATTTGCATTTCTCTTATGATCAGTGATGTTGAGCATTTTTCTCAGATGTTTTTGGCCACATAAATGTCTTCTTTTGAGAAGTGTCTGTTCATATCATTTGCCCACTTTTTGATGGGGTTGTGTTTTTTTGTTGTTGTACATTTGTTTAAGTTCCTTGCAGATTCTGGATATTAGACCTTTGTCAAATGTGTAGATTGCAAAACTTGTCTCCCATTCTGTAGGTTGTCTGTTCACTCTGATGATAGTTTCTTTTGCTATGCAGAAGCTCTTTAGCTTAATTGGATCCCATTTGTCAATCTTGGCTTTTGTTGCAATGGCTTTTGGCATTTTTGTCATGAAGTCTTTGCCCATGCCTGTGTCCTGAATGGTATTGCATAGGTGTTTTTCTAGGGTTTTTATGGTTTTGAGTTTTACATTTAAGTTTTTAATTCATCTTAATTTTTGTATATGGTGTAAGAAAGGGGTCCAGTCTCAGTTTTCTGCATATGGCTGGCCAGTTTTCCCAGCACCATTTATTGAATAGAAGATCATTTCCCCATTGCTGTTTTTGTCAGGTTTGTCAAAGATCAGATGGTTGTAGACATGTGGTGTTATTTCTGAGGTCTCTGTTCTGTTCCATTGGTCTATATGTCTGTTTTCGTACAAGTACCATGCTATTTTGGTTACTGTAGCCTTGTAGTGTATTTTGAAGTTAGGTAGCATAATTCCTTCAGCTTTGTTCTTTTTGGTTAGAATTGTCTTGGCTATATGGTCTCTTTGGTTCCATATGAAATTTAAAGTAGTCTTTTCTAATTCTGTGAAGAATGTCAATGGTAGTTTGATGGGGATAGCATTGAATCTATAAATTACTTTGGGCAGTATGGCCATTTTCATGATATTGATTCTTCCCATCCAGGAGGATGGAATGTTTTTCCATCTGTTTGTGTTCTCTCTCATTTCTTTGAGCTGTGGTTTGTAGTTCTCCTTGAAGAGGTCCTTCACATCCCTTGTTAGCTGTATTCTTAGGTATTTTACTCTCTTTGTAGAAATTGTGAATGGGAGTCCATTTATGACTTGGCTCTCTGCTTGTCTGTTGTTGGTGTAAGGGAATGCTTGTGATTTTTTGCACCTTGATTTTGTATCCTGAGACTGTTGACGTTGCTTATCAGCTTAAGGCTAAGATGATGGGGTTTTCTAATTATAGACTCATGTCATCAGCAAACAGAGGCAATTTGACTTCCTCTCTTCATATTCAAATACACTTTATTTCTTTCCTTGCCTGATTGCCCTGGCCAGAACTTCCAATACTATGTTGAATAGGAGTGGTGAGAAAGGGTATCACTGTCTTGTACTCGTTTTCAAAGGGAATGCTTCCAGCTTTTGCCCATTCGATAAGATGTTGGCTGTGGGTTTTTCATAAATAACTCATTATTTTGAGATATATTCTATCAGTTAATACCTAGTTTATTGAGAGTTTTTGCCATGAAGGGATGTTGAATCTTGTTAAAGGTATTTTCTGCATCTATTGAGATAATCATGTGGTTTTTGTTTCTGTTTCTATTTATGTGATGGATTACATTCATTGATTTACATATGTTGAACAGCCTTGCATCCAGGGATGAAGCCAACTTGATCGTGGTGGATAAGATTTTTGATGTGCTGCTGGATTCAGTTTGCCAGTATTCTTTTGAGGATTTTCACATCGATGTTCATCAGAGATATTGGCCTGAAGTTTTCTTTTTTTGTTGTGTCTCTTGCCGGTTTTGGTATCACGTTGATGCTGGCTTCATAAAATGAGTTAGGGAGGACTTCCTCCTTTTAATTGTTTGGAATAGTTTCAGAAGGACGGTACCAGCTCCTGTTTGTACCTCTCATAGAGCTCGGTTGTGAATTCATCTGGCCCTAGGCTTTTTTTGGCTGGTAGGCTATTAATTACTGCCTCAATTTCAGAACTTGTTATTGGTCTATTCAAGGATTTGACTTCTTCCTGGTTTACTCTTGGGAGGGTGTATGTGTCCAAGAATTTATTCATTTCTTCTAGATTTTCTAGTTTATTTGCATAGAGCTGTTTATAGTATTCTCTGATGGTAGTTTGTATTTCTGTGGGGTCAGTGGTGATACCCCCTGTATCATTTTTTATTGTGTACAGACTATTTTTTATTAACCTATGAAGCAAAGAGGTAATACCTTAGCTGGGGAAAAAAAAAAACTATCCTCAATAGAAAATGACCTTTTTTAGTAAGGATGATGCATTATGGGAACTGTGTAAGAATGACCTTGGTCTAACGGGCTGTTTTGATTGGAATATATATATATATTCATATACATATATATACATATACATACATATGCATATACATATATATGTATACATATATATATATATATATATATATATACACCACATACGGATTTGAAATACAGCGTCTTTCATAGGCAAGCTATTGTAGCAAAAACATGTAAGAAACAGATAAAAATTTTATGGAAGGTGATAGCATTATAGAAGTAATATGTTTTATATTTCTAAAAAGACTTCTAAATAATGACAGCATCCTGTAGTCTTTTACAATAATAAAGCATCTACCATGAGAATCTTCTCTATCTCACATTGATTCACAGTCATCTTGTGGCAAAATAATTAAATTATTGCAACTAAAGATGACCGAGACTTTTGTTGTTGAAAAAATTTAGTATATAAGCTGTCAAGTATTTTTAAATAAACAATCTGCTCCTCAGAATAAAAGTGACATTCTAAAAATGGAGAAAAGAATGAATGTATTCTAAGTAAGTTTACACTTTGGAGAGAGCTTATTAAAAATGAATATTTCTAAGGTTCCAATAACTTTATTGCTAGAAACAATCACGTATGACCTTAATAAAACTTCTGTATCTGCTTCATAAATCATTGAAACCAAATTTTCTCACCCAGTTAGAATCTTTCAAAAAAAGTTGTTGGATAGATTTTGAATTCATTCACTAAAATATGACATAAAAATATAACATATTTTGAAATGTGGTTTATTTGCATAAAAATGGACTGATACAAGGAAAGATAGGAACAATATCAAATTTCAACAAAAACCAGAATTGGTAGTTGATATTGAAAAATAAATATCTTGGTTTTGAAAGTACATCACACACAGCTTCCATGTGGCTCTACACAATTTAAAACTGTATATATGCTTTAACACAACTGCCACAAAGCCAATAGCAAAAACCTGAACATAGAATTAGTACTGACTCATTCTCTCATACCACAAGTTTTGAGCCAATAGCTATCAAATAATTCATCATATTCACTCATTTTTCTCTCATCAAAAGCATCAGCTCTACCAACATTTCAGTAAGAACAAAAAAGCCTTCTACAACAGTCACAAATATAAAATAAAGTATCTTAAACCTATTGTTTATTTCAGTTCTATTTCATAATTTAAAAGTTCTGTTTTTGTGTGTGTTTTATAATGTAGCTGTCGTTTTAGGTGGCAGGTACAGCCCAGAACACACAGGCATGTATTTATAACATCCCTCGTTCCTCACCCGTGAATATAAACATCGCCCCTCAGTTCTAACCTTGTGTGAACTGAGCACTCTCCTTCTTTTCTAAGGTATCAGAAGTTGAAATTGTGGCCATGTAGCTCTCTGGGGGAGCCTGAGGCTGCTGTCACATCACAGATTGGTGAACAGGGTGTCACTGTGGAAAGAAAAGGGGACCCTCATCCTTTTCTCCCCTCAACCTGCTTCCCACACAAGGCTGCATCATCTAATTGGCCTTTGGGAAGGAACAGCTGGGCTTTCTGGATGACAGAATTTATAGAACATTAGAAATCTTACAGACAAGTGTTACCTTATAACTCACTTCAGCGACTCTTGCAATGCATTTTTCCAAGTGCAGATAATACAGGCTGGAGATGCTCCTTGAAGTCACAGGGTACTGCTTTATTGCTGATGTGACCTAACCGTTTTATCCACCAATAGAAAGATTGTTTTCTAGATGTTTTATTTGTTATTTTCCTGGAAAAGAAGCAATGGGCATGGGGACTGGTGTTCCCATTTGCACCCCGGCTGTTCATAGGCACTTGGTGTTGCGGTTTCTAAAAAGAATGCACTGAAGGCCGAGGCGGGCGGATCACGAGGTCAGGAGATCGAGACCATCCTGGCTAACACAGTGAAACCCCGTCTCTACTAAAAAATACAAAAAATTAGCCGGGCGTGGTGGCGGGCACCTGTAGTCCCAGCTACGCGGGAGGCTGAGGCAGGAGAATGGCGTGAACCCGGGAGGCGGAGCTTGCAGTGAGCCGAGATTGCGCCCCTGCACTCCAGCCTGGGCGACAGAGCGAGACTCCGTCTCAAAAAAAAAAAAAAAAAAAAAAAAAAAAAAAAAAAAAGAATGCACTGAGATTGAATTACTGAACCAAAATAGCCTCCAAATTTGGGTTCCAAATTTCCCTTCCTCCCTCTGCCCATAACCATACTTGGAAAGCTTCTGTCTAAGGAGAATTCCGTCCCTTCTGGATGAATGCTTCCGTATAATAACATAATTGTTTTATATCAATGAAAAGAACTTGGCTGTAACATCACACTTAATGGATGAACCAAAAGTAGTTTACTATGGAATGATTCACAGGTATTAATTTTTATTGCATTAAAGTTGTACATTTCCTTTTAAGGAAATTGACCTAACACACTCCTTAATGAGAGAATTTCTGGATGATTCCGGCTGTTCCTGCACAGACACTCACTGTGTTGTCTCAGGTAACACATCCCACACGTGTTATGTATTAGAATTTGTCATTCTCAGATGACTCCGGTAGTTATTTTGTTTATTATTGCGGGGGCAAGAGAACAGAATTAGAAACGATGAGAACAGAATTAGAAATGATGTCAGAGATTCTGGCGAATAAAGGAAGGTTTGCTTAACTTCCTGACTTCTATATTTTTAAGCAGTTCTTTCGCAGTCCTAAATGTTTCTTACGTTCAAGAAGCTACTGCAGGGCTGAAGGGACTTGCTGTGTGTGGTCTGGGGAAAAGCACTGAGGCCAGGGGAGACCTGTAGCCGAGACCCTTGAGTGTCTCCTAAACACTCCCAGGCTCACCCAGAATAAGTGGATGAAAGAATGCATGCAGCAATAAACAGGTAACACAGATTTGCTCTGGTTTGACCACAGTGAGTTTAGATCATGAATGGGAACTGCAAAAACTGTAGAAACAGGCAGCCTGGCTATCTTCGGAATGTGTATTTATCAAGCCTGTTCAGAACTCGTATGGAAACTTTGAGATTCCTCAAGACCACAGGCAAATCAAACTCTTTTTTGGAATATTACAGGTAGAGCTGCAGCAGATTGCATCTGTACTTCTGTAAGGGCTGCTTTGCCAGGAAGGCTGTGGGTGGGATGCCCGGCCTCTCCGGCTGTGGTTGTGAGGGAGGATGTCATCACCTGCCAGCCAGCATGTCCCAACTGCTCACGTTTGATCCGCAGCTCCTATAAGGACACAAAGGCCGTGAGGGCTTCCTCACGAGACACAGACACAGTTAAAGTGCAGGTCCCCAAGAGAGGAGTCAGCCCCAGCGTAAATGTTATTCTGAGAGTTCTCTGAAGGAAGAAGTTGTTATGGCAAGAGAAAACATGAGGAAATGGGGCTGAAGGCAAGGGTGGGGGGCTCCAGGATGGGAGAAGCACCGCCGAGGCAGCTCCTGAATCAGTTGCCATAGGGCTGGGGCTCCCACCCTGTTGGTGTTCCGCCCTGTCCCACATCAGCTCTGGTCTTCACTGACCACCCTTCTCCCTTCTCCCTGTTCTACCCACCCCTCTCTCTTGAAATCTCCCCTCCTTTGGCATCCTCTTTCCTTCCTAGAGTTTCCTGATGGTGGCATCCTGGAGGAGGCTCTGCGTCCCCCTGAGGCCATGTTTTCTTTGGAATAAAATGCGTCCGTCCTCGGGGTGACAACACACGTGTTTTTCAAATAGCTGATTAGGACAGCTTTCAATTCCTCACATACAACATGCTTAAATATTTTTGGACATAAAATGAGAGCCATTCCATCTAGTAACCACCAAGATGTTTTAAAAGGAAAGAGGCCGGGCAGGCACGGTGGCTCACGCCTGTAATCCCAGCACTTTGGGAGGCCAAGGTGGGTGGATCACCTGAGGTCAGGAGTTCAAGACCAGCCTGGCCAACATGGTGAAACCCTGTCTCAACTAAAAATAAATTTTAAAAAAATGAGCTGGATGTCGTTGCAGGCACCTGTAATCCCAGTTACTTTGGGAGGCTGAGGCAGGAGAATCACTTGAACCTGAGAGACAGAGGTTGCAGTGAGCCGAGATTGCACCACTGCACTCCAGCCTGGGTGACAGAGTGAGACTCGGTCAAAAACAAAGCAAAACAAAACAAACAAAGCAAAGAAAAGAAGGAAAAGCCAGTGAGGATGAAAAATGCTTATGAACAAAATATCTTACAATTTAGTACGTGAGATAAGGGCAACAAGGAAACCTTTGAGAGCTAAACCTACTTGGAGGTTTGAGAGAAGCTCTGGGTTGTAAGCTGGGTGAAGAATCTGTGAAGTGAGAAACAGCTCAGAGAGGACTTAGATGCCAGACGGCAAATCAAAGTGGTGAGACCTGCCCCGTCATTCTTCCTTCAGGGCCTTCACGGTTCTGTTCCCCATCACTCTGAACCACAGGACTTCCCCATAAGAATGTCAAGGTTATTGGTTTAACCACGAACCTGTAAAAGTGTTCTGTACTTGCAGATTGGTAGTCATGGCAGTGTTGCATTCAGTAGACTTGAAAGAAGTAGACAAGAGTTTTTGGCTCTGTGTATGAAAAGCACAGAGACAAAAACATGAGAATTTGGAATCCAGACTAGACATGGTCAGTGGATCTCCCCTCTACCACGAAAAAGAAGCAGGAGTGAGATGCTATGAATGACTTAATGCAAAACCATAGTCATGGTGAGTCCTGGTCTCAAGCGAGTTGTCTTCTGGGTTTGCATTTCTTCCTTATGTACCAAAATTAAATCATAAATTGATGTATTAGTCCATTTTCTTACTACTATAAAGAACTGCCTGAGACTGGATAATTTATAAAGGAAAGAAGTTTAGTTGACTCACAGTTCAGCATGACTTGGGAGGCCTCAGGAAACTTAGTCGTGGGGGAAAATGAAGGGGAAGCAGGCACCTTATTCTCAGGGCAGCAGGAAGAAGTGCTGAGCGAAGGGGGAAGAGCCCCTTACAAAACCATCAGATCTCCTGAGCATTCACTCACTAGCATGAGAACTGTGGGGGAAACCTCCCATTATGGGGATTACAATTCAAGATTGAGATTTGGGTGGGGACACAAAGCCTAACCATATCTGTTGTTTTACATTTAAAAAGTGACTGTAGAAGACAAACACAAGAACTATAATGAGAAAGCAATAGCCAATCTCTTCCTCTAAAGACAGGAAAACAGTATTTTGAAATGAGTCCAAACACAATTAATGAGGTGACACATTAAAGAAAAAAACTAAGAAAAAAGGTCCAATAAAGCATATAAGGAATGTTGGCTGGCTCAGTGGCTCACAACTGTAATCCCAGCACTTTGGGAGGCCAAGGTGAACAGATCACTTGAGGTCAGGAGTTCAAGACCATCCTGGCCAACATGAAGACACCCCATTGACTATAATAAAAGCCATGGTTGAAAATAAAAGCTTGGGACCCTGTCTCTACCCAAAATAGAAAAAATAGCTGGGCATGGTGATGCATGCCTATAATTCCAGCTACTTGGAGGGCTGAGGTGGAGGAATTATGGGAGACGGAGATTGTAGTGAGCCGAGATTGTGCCACTGCACTCCAGCCTGGGTGACACAGTGGGTCTCCATCTCAGAAAAAAAAAAAAAAAGCATATAGTAATGTTTGTAAGAATTTTTGGCATCTATTTCAAGCATGTTTCATAAGACTTTATTTTAAAAAGTCACTGTATGAAGAATTTTAAAACAGAGCAGTGATCTCTCTATGATAAGTCAAAGGTATGTAATACATTTTCTAATGGATCATAAAGTAGATTGTTGCAGACATTTTAAATTTATTTTTAATGAATTTCCATGTTCATTGGGTCACAGAGATTCTGGTGATGAGGGTCAGAACAAGCTCGTCCTCTGGAAGGTGCTAGACAGGGTGGTGGTCAGTGAAAGAACGTGGGTTGCGGGAAGTTCCTCTTGGCTCCTGTTCAGTGTTGGCTGCTGATCTAAAAATACTCTTGACTGTGAATGGGAAAGTCATTCTACAAAAGGGTTTTGCTAAGTTTCCACTAAAAGTAAACATCCCGTCTGTGATATGCCAATTTATTTTTATTCCCCTGTAGAATCATATCCATTTGTGTAATTAAGGTCAAGTGAAAGGACTTTATGAGGGCTCAGACGCCTGCAGTGCTAGGCATAAAAATGTCACAGAATTCATGCAGGTATTTGGAAAAGATGTTGAACGCGACCACACGCGAAGCCCTGGGTTTCATCCTGGGGGGTGGTATGGAAGCCAGGTGAGCCTCCAATCTCACAGGCAGGTGCCAGGGGGGCGCCCACCAGAGGATCAGTAACTCAGTGTGAGGTGGGACGGGCAGGACATGTGCGGAGTCCCACACAAGGGAGAAGCCTGCTGCGCAGCGAACGGCATAGGAAGGCCTAAGCAGGGGTCTTGAGGATTGGGATGGGCAGGAGAGGGCTGTTGGGACAATGGAGAACAGAGGGTGAGGGTGGAGGTTGCAGCTCCCAGGTCCTCACCAGAAAGAGACGAGGGGTATGGTCAGAGTGGGAAAGTGGACACCCCGGGCTGGGCTGAGGAAATGAACTCCATTGGCAGGAGCAGGGACCACCCTGTGTGTCCACAACCAAGTAAGAGAACCATCCACCCTAGAAGGGTGCAGGCCAGCATGTGGGGGAGGTCACGTGGGGAGACTGAGGTAGGGCTTGAGGGGTTGCTGTGGGCTGGATGACAGGGATTCAGGTAGGGCAGCTCGGGATAATGGAAAGGGCCCTGAAATAATCAGCACAGCAGGGAAAGGAAAGGGGGCTTTACAGATGTGAGTGCCTTCAGGGGACAGGGCAAAGGGGGATCCTTCAGCATAACTACCTTCTCAGCAGGTGCTCAGCCCTGGCACTTTCATTGGGATGAAACCCTGTTTACTCTATCCTAATCTTTAAGTTGTTGTGTTTTCTTGTTGCTGTTGAGTGATGCTTTGCAAGGTTTTTTCTCAGTTATATAAAGTCTTTAAGGAATTTTTTTTAATAGAAAAGGAATTACTCTTTTCAAATGCCAGACCCTAAAGGGGCCTGTTGTGATTTGTAGCAGAGGCTTGTTAAAAATAGCAAGACAGAGTTTATTCCAGTTGCTGCCTCAGGGCTGCAAGGCCAAAGTGCGGGCCTGGGCTCAGCCGAACACAGCAAGGACCTCCAGGGACGAAGGGCCAGGAATGCTGAGGGGTCGGGGACATGGGTTCGACTCGGGTAGTCTTGCTAACCTGGGCTCAGCAGCCAAGAACTGGGCCATGGCAGGAGGAGGTGAGGAGGGGCCTGACTGCAGCTAGTGGAGAACGGAGTCCATGTCAGCGTTGGAGGCATTGTGTGGGTAAAGTGACCTCAAAGGAAGTAATCAGAGTTTACCAATTTCAAACAGTGCAAATAAAAATAGACACAAAAATTGGTGGTAAAGTATATTTTCCTTTTCTCTACATAGAAGGAAAATGCATTTGATTATTGCGTTCACTCTGGCTGCGGCACCATGAAAGGAAACTAAGAGCTGGGGACCCCATTTACTCTGCAAAGAGGAGGAATGAAGCTGGAAGACGAGTCGTGCAAGCAGCTGCCTTTCCTTTTGTTCCTAAGCAGAGAACGACAGATAGAAGGTGATGCATCTCCACAAGCAGCTGCTCTATGTCCACTTTGTCTTATGGAAAGTGCAGAGTTGCTGGGCAGGAGGTGGTTGCGCAGTTGACTGTTCTGCCTGTCCTTTCCTCTTGCCGCATGTGGATGACCACACCCTTCCTCTTTCCCCTCCAGCTCCCATTTCCCCTTCAACTATAGAAGCTCTTAGCATCATCTTTGGAGAAAGGCACACACCATGGACTGTTTTTGTGATTCCGTGTTGTTATTTTTCTCCTGAGCATGCGGTTAACATTGGCAAAACAAACTTCTAAACTGATTGAGACCCATCTCAGATACTTTTTGGTTTACAACAGGAATTGGGGTGAAACCCCACCACATTTACACTATGCAGAGCTGGAAAAGGGAGGAAAGATTGAATCTTGCCCAGAGGCTTAGGTCCTGAAGGTTCAATTCTGGATGATCCTTTCAGGTAGATTTCAAGGGGAAAGCAAAAGCATCAAAATGAATCCTTATGAAGAAGCATTTCTAAGCCTGAATCTTGGAGACAAAAATATGATGTTTTCCTCAACAACACAGAGTCAGCAGGAAGAAAGATAAACATTGCTGTCCTGAGCTGGCACGTGACTTATGAGGGTTAGCCATGGTGAATCTGTATGAGTCTGCAGCAACCTCAGTTCTTGTCTCCTCGGAAGAAAGACTTTCATTGAGGGGCATAGGCAGAAGGAGAGACTAAGGCAAGTTTTAGTGGAGGAGAGAAAGCGTATTAAAAAGCCTAGAGTGGGAACAAAAGAAAGGAAAGTCCACTTGGAAGAAGGCAAGTTGGTGGCTTGAGCAAGTCAAGTGTGTGGTTTGACCTTTGACTTGGAGTTGTATCCATTGGCATGCTTTCAGTTGCATCCCTTTCCCCTGATTATTCCCATGCGGTGGGCTGTCCGCATGCACAGTGGCCTGCCAGCCCTTGGGAGGGGCCATGTGCACAGTAGGTTTACTGAAGTTGTACGTCTGCTTGCTTGAGGCGTTCTTCCCATAGTAGCTGAATATTCCTGGAAGGTCATATACCAGTTAAACTCCACCATTTTGCCTTTTAGTGTGCGTGCTTGAGCCTGCTCACCCAGCTCCTGAGATCTTATGGGGAAGCTGCTGATCCAGTTTCAGGTGTTTTCTGTCCATTGGGAAACTGCTGTTCCCTGGTGCCAGCTGTGACCAATTATTTTGGAGAGACTGTTAACCACCTCCTGGCCATCACCTGATAGTTACCTGACATTCCTGGCCAGGGGGGCTCTCACGTCTGCCTGACTTCCTGCTGTAGCATTTCCCCCTCAAGAGTCCAAGACCCCAATTTTGGGGGAAAATGGATTAAGGTCAGTCTTCTGTAACTGCTTCCTGTTGACACACGGGCAGTGGTGGTGGTTCTGTGGGTCTTGGCCTCTTGCTGCTGTCAGGGAAGGCAGATGACTCTTTAGGTTGGTGAAAGCAGTGTCTAGCCAGGTCCAAGGGAGATGGGGCAAGATTTCAACTCTGTTGCTTTACACTGATGGGCAGTCTAAGGGTCCTCTGTAGAAGGATGGCTCTTGAATCTTGAGAGGATGGTATTCCGCTGAGGGTCATCTGGAACTTGATGGCCTGAAGGCAGGAGGAGACATATCAGGTTATTAGATTTAGAAGACATGGACCATGAAGGAGCAAAAGTAGGAGACTAACAAGTGGTCTTCAAAGGGAAAAACCCAGGAGAGCCATTTCTAGGTTCCTTCCCCAGGTTCCTTTTGGAGAACAAGCCAGCCCTGAGAGGCTTGTTCCCACAAACAAGAGGCTGCATTTACAAGTTGTCTGATGTTGTCTTGTACTTTTCCTGATTGATTTACCCAAAAGCAATATTTTTTATTTGAGGCTAAGGAAACTCCTCTCTGAGCTGCTGTGAACATTAGTTAACATTGGTCCTACCTGTTGTGTGTTAGTGTTAGTCCTTAATGATTTGAAGGACTATGGCTGCTAAAGAGTGGATCTGCTCTTGTCAGCCCTTAATGATTTGAAGGACTACGGCTGCTAAAGAGTGGATCTGCTCTTGTTAGCCCTTAATTCCAGTATATGCCCAAAATTAGAATATTGATCCAGATTTTTGCATTACCCATCCCTCTTGTTTCTTCTGAGCTGCAGCCAGACATCATGGTTGGTTGATAGGAGTGAGCAGGATCAGTCTGAATTGCATGGAAAAAAAAACCTCATGAACAACTGATGAGACTGGAATCTAATAACAGGTGTACTACAGTTCTTGAAACATAATTTTTATCTCTATAGTCCTAATTTTTATTAAAATCAAATCATGATAGGACTGATTCATTTGCAAAATAAGCTTTAGTCATATTATACTTGGCCTGATTATTTGCATAAAACATAGCAAGAATAATCATAACCTCTTTTTAAAATTGGCTTTGATAGAACTTTGTTCCGTAAGGAATCTCAGATAAGACTTTTTAAAGCCTTGAGCCCTGCCATGGACTTGTGCCATCAAATACCTGTATTAGCTGCATAAATTCTTCTTCTCTTCAGGTCCCAAGATAACTTGGGTTCCTGGGCCTCTTAGAAAGTAACGTTCTTTACTTACTACAGGTCAGGAACCCTGCACAGGGACTGGGTAGACAAAGTATTAGGCCAGTTTTCCCAACAGGCCTTTATCGGCTCTATAAGTGAACTTTGATTCCTTAAAAGAGTCTGTTTGTGGCCGGGCGCGGTGGCTCACACCTGTAATCCCAGCACTTTGGGAGGCCGAGGTAGGCGGATCACGAAGTCAGGAGATCAACACCATCCTGGCTAACATGGTGAAATCCCGTCTCTACTAAAAAAAAAATACAAAAAAGTAGCCAGATGTGGTGGTGGATGCCTATAGTCCCAGCTGCTCGGGAGGCTGAGGCAGGAGAATGGTGTGAACCCAGGAGGCGGAGCTTGCAGTGAGCCAAGATAGCGCCACTGCACTCTGGCCTGGGCGAAAGAGAGAGACTCCGTCTCAAAAAAAAAAAAAAAAAAAAAGATAATTAGAATGAGACAATTGTCTGTGGATAACAAAAAACCTTAGGGCAGCCATAGTCAAAGACACAATTGACAAGGAAATTTGTCACTTCTGTGGCACACAATTATTTAAAATAATTATAGTTATTACTAATAATGTATACTAAGTCATATTAGAATTATGGAAGTTTCACATGATTTTGGAACACATACCAACAACACATTTATACAAATACAGTTCAAAAAAAAGCCAAATTTTACCTTTGCATTAGTGTACTATTGATGTTAAATCCAATTCTTAATAAAACCTTATGGACAAATCTATTTAATATTAATCAGTTTGACCATAATGAAAGATTTTCATAAACCTTTTATAACCCTTTACAGTTTTCTGTTAAAAAGCAGAGCAATGTTCTAAGAAAACTGTGTTATGCTTTCATTCCTATGTTCAATTTACAGAATAACTGAATAATACCCCTTTAACTTTAGCAATGTGATCACACACAGAATTTCTTTTACAAGACTACTTTTTCACAAACCTTCCACAACTTGCTCAAACTTTTAGCTTTATTCTATCTAACTTAAAACAATCCTTTAACCCTCTAAACTGGGCAAGAAAATACTATTCCCATGACTTATTATAATCTTTTACCAAAAGCACATTTTACTTTCCTTACATGCCTGGCATGTAAAACTGTTTTTCCAGTAGTCTAAAATATATGTTACACTGTTAATTCTTACCAACTTTTACTTTTGGTGAAAAACTATTAAATCTTATACAAATACATAGTATATTTTCCTGATCCCTTGTCTCATTTTCATATTATTTATTTGTATTCTTACTTATGCATTTTTATTAATTATAAAATATTTTAAGCATTCAATAAAGACACTCATGCACTCATCACCAAGATTACTATCTTTTATATTCTTTCACTCTCATGTTTTTGAGGGGATACAAAATCACAGATACAAAAAAATTTCAACATGAAATTCCAGGAATAGTTATTTACCTTATTTACGGTCACCTGACTTGGGACTTTAATTCTGTCTGCAAATCTCCTTCAGGGGGGTGTTGAGATTAGTGTTGACCAGATAGCCCAGGATTGACACTGCTGGGGCTGGGGTGTGGGGCATCTTTTAAATTTTGCCTCCTGCACTCCCTTTAACTCCAGGTTTTAAAAGAGAGTTTTATAAAAACAAGCTTCAGTCCTCACCTCCCTCTGCTAAAAACACATATTGTCATCCCAGTGCCACTATTCTACTTCATATCTCTGAGAACCGAGTCTGTCTTCTCGGGCCACAGCTGTCTGTCTTGTGAAATGGGAATGCTATATACTTTGGAGGGTTACCCACCACAAATTCATTATTTTACATAGATAAATATGAGAACATTTTATTTGTATTGCAAATTATAACACACATATAAAAAAGAACAAAATGCACAGTTTGGAAGCTTATGATCAATCAAACACTTTGGTCAAAAAGCAGAAGACTGAAAGTAACCTACGGTACTCCCTCACACCTCTCACAGTCACTACCTCCTCCTTTTTCTGAAAAAGGAACAACCAGACTGATCATTCGTAGTTGTCCTTTCCTCACTTTTCTTTCTTCATCCTTTCTACAACCTAGACCTTCACCTTTGAATACTATGGTTTTATCTTGTTTGAAATTTATGAAAATGGAATTCTGTGATCTGCACTCTTGTGTCTACCTGTTTTTATGCGACATTTCATTTGTGATATTTATCCACTTTACTGCACACATATCACTTCAGTCCATTAACTTATATTGCTTTAAACAAGGAGTCAACAAACTACCATCTGTGGGGGCCACATTCAGCTACTGTGGCCTGTTTTAGTCTACAAAGTCTTATTGGGACACAGCCATGCTCTTTCCTTTACTTGTTGGCGAAGACTGCTGCTCCCTGCAGTGGCCAGGGTGAGCCCCTGATAGAGGCCGCATGGCCTGCAGAGCCTACACCACTCACTGCCTGGCTCCTACAGAAAAGGTTTGCAGACGCCCCTGCTGTGGACTCCTCCCCCGAAGGGCTGTGTCCACACCCTGCCCCTGCTGCACGTTGGCGTCTTTCAAATCTTCAATTGTGTGAATATCCGTCCATGTGTCCTCCTGCACACAGCTCGCAGCCCTGCTCTGTGTCTTGTTAGGTGTGACATTGCCAGGTCATAAATGAGTACCTTTATTGTGGCCTGATGATGGCAATATTGCTTCCTTTTGTTTCGCCATCCATGGTGTGGTGGTATCCGTTGCGCTTTAATTTTGCATTTTCCTAATTACAGAAAGTTGTTTGCAAATGAGGTCTAAGACATTTCATACGGATATTGGGCAGCTGGATATCCTCTTCTGTAAAGGACCCATTTCAGTCTCTTACCCATCTGTTTAATTAGGCCATTTATGGTTTTGATCCTGATTTATGGGAGTTATTCTCTGTGTCAGCGACAAGCTCTCTGCCAGCTACGTGTCGCAAGGACGCTCCTGCACCGTGTGACTTGCTTTTAACTTTTTATCGGTGTCTCTGCAGGAGCAAATATTCTTAATACAAATGCAATCCAATGTGTCGATTTATTCTTTCATGGTTGTTATTCCTTGTGTCTCTTTAAAGAAATAATTCCCTAATAAAAAATGTAGATATCTTGTTATTGTTTACAATTTGTCTTCTTATGTCTTTCACATTTAGATTTAAAATTCACCCTACATTTATTTTTGTGTGCAGTATAAAGTATATATCAAGTCTCATTATTTAGTTTTCATATTTATTTGACCCAATATTATCTATTGAAGTAAAAAAAAAAAAAAAAAACACATCACTTTGCTCTCTACCCCAAACTCAGCCATAAGCTAAGTATCTGTGTCTGTGAGGGTCTGATTCTTAGCTCCAGTTTCCATTCCATCCTCCTGATGGTCTCTGCGCCCACACCGCTGGTCACTGCTGCAGGAGAAACCACCTGCCCATGGGGCAGTTCCTGGGGCCTGCATGTCTGCGTTGCCCTCAGCTCATCATTTGTCTGCCTGTATTTTATGTTTTTGAAATTATATTTCATAGGGATGGGATCTCAGTATGTTGCCCCATCTGGTCTAGAATGTCTGGCCTCGGCCTCCTAGAGCACTGGGATTACAGGCCATGCCTTGTCTCTGCCTCTATGTTAGACTCAGTTTGTCAATGTCCACAAAAGAAAAGGCCTGCAGGAATTGTCACTGAGATGACCTTGATTCTAGAGGTTATTTACCTTTACTGTGCTGAGTCTTCCAGAATCCAAACATTGCTTATTTCTTTAATTTCTTTAAAAAACATTTCATGACTTTGAGCATACTGGTCTTGCATAGATTCTGTTGCTTTTGTTAATGCCATTGTAAAACAAATCTTAAATACACACACAAAATTTATTGATTTTCAGCCTTTGTGATTTTCTAATATATGGATTTAAAACTATATGTTCTCTCCATACCATGTTTCGCCATGTGAATGTGTCTATTTTTTCTTGTTGTTCCATCAGCTTTTTGGGAAACAGCTTTATTGAGCTATACTTCAAATACCATACAATTTGCATGTTTAAATTATACAATTCGATGGTTTTGAGTATATTCACAAATACGTGCAGCCATCCCCACCCTCAACTGGATCATTTCATCAGCTCCAGGAGAAAAAGAGGAGACCCCTGCCCTTCTCCTGTTGTCCCTCCTTCCCCCGCCCACAGCTCTCAGCAGCCACTAAGCTGCCTCCTGTCTGGACAGACACTCCTCTCCTAGACTTCCATACATATACAGAGGCTCAGAGGTCTTTTGCATCTGGCCTCTCTCATTAGGCACAGTGTTTTCTAGATTATGGATGAATGATGTTCTTTTGCGTGGCTAAGCCACATCTCATTTTTACTTTTGTTCACTGATGGATATTTGGGTGGTTTCTGCCTATTGGCACTTTGACCCTTTTCCCAATGACAGATCCTAGAGAATTTGAAGTGCATTCATCTCCCACCCCATATGACTATTTCACAGGAACACCCTGCCCTTGCAGCAGGAGGTGCTCATGGCACGGGGCATGGGAAGCACGACCGGGAGGAAAGCAGGGTGTGGAGCGGCACCTGCAGCATGGCACCCTCTAACTCGGCAATGCCCACATGGCACCCAAGGGTACGAAGAGCATTGCTGGTGTATAGAGACCACCGCGTCTTCCATCTCTTATTCCTGTGGTTCACACAGATCATTTCTTTATTATTATAATTAATGTAACCATTTCTAACTTATGAGAATCACTGTTTCTTTACTCTCTGGATATAATTGGGTTACCTGTAAGTTTGACTTTTTCAAGGACCTTTATTTTCCTTTAGTGGATGCTGCTACTGTTTTGGCACTCTGTCCCTCCTGTCTGTCTCAACAGCAGCCGAGGCTCACTATTGACCTCTGGGTAGTAGATCCCATGAGAAAGAAGAGGGAAAGTCTGGAGCTTCCTGCATCCCTAGTAGAAGGAACCAGAGTTTTGAAAACCTGCTCACCACCACGGTTCCAGAGGCAGTGGGACTCCCACCAGAACCCTGGAAAAGAGGCTTTTATGAATTAATATGCTCAGTTCTGACCCAGAGTGAGGCACGCTGTCCTACAAAAGCTTATATAGCTTTTCATTTTGATTAAAGAAAAAACTCAAAATTATATTCACCACAAGCATTCTGTATTTGTTATATTATAAATTTAATTGTCTCTCGTGAACTTGTAGGGATAGGATTACAGTACTAATTCCTGGGAAATTATGTTATAGCTTCCAAACAACTACTAATTAATTAATAAGCCAACAAAGATTTACTGTGCAGCTTCTATGTGCCACACATTAGTGTGGAGCTGGATGGTGAAGGGCAGGCAAGAGCTGAAGTCTTGAGTGTATGTTCTGTGGCTGAGAAGAACAGTAAGTCAGTAAACAGAAGAGGTCATAATTCAGAATAAGAATAGATGCTTTGCTGAACATAAATGATAGGCAGAGGATGTGGATAGCCAGGGGTTGATAGAAACGTGATAAATGACAAAATTCGTCAAAGACTTGAAACTCTTCGTTAAATAAGGAACCAGATGATGCACTGTTCACAGTCACCTTTGCTTAGAAAGAGATTTTCATGTCCTAGAAGGTTCCATCACCCTACACAAAGTGCTGCTTTTGATCTAATCAATACCAGAGAGGCTGGCAGGGCATGAGGGCGGTGCCCGGGATGGAAGCTGGGGTCTGAGTGTTCCCAGGAAGCCACTGGGAGGACGTGCATCTGGGTTTGTTCCCAGCCCACCTGGCCACGCTGGTTTGTCTCCAGATGCCCAAACCAGGCACTGCTCTGCAGCGAGTGTGTAGGTGGTCGGACCGGGGGACGGCCCCATCCCTGTCAGAGGGCCAAGCCCAGCCTGCAGGCCGCTGAGCCACAGCCACACGTGGGCACCTGGCGCCCGGTCACCGCTCCCTCCGCGGGTCCACCAGGCATCTGCTTTGGAGCCGTCATGTCACGGGGCCACCCCTCCCTCCCCGTGCCATGCTGGCTTTGAGTGAGGATCGCCAGGAGACCGCTTCACAATTCTGTGACTGGTGAACAAACTGAAGTCAACCTTTTCTATAACAAAAGAGAAGACTCGGGGCGTCAGTTGGCTGAGGCCAGGTATTAGCTGAAGGTACAAATTGACGTGATTTTCAAAGCAGACACGCCTGTCTTTGCCTATATTTTCTCTGTGTTTTAGAGTCGTGGCTGGCATGTTTACAGGGTGTGTGTGGCGATGAATGCTTTCCATGAATATACAGGAGAGGACTTCTCCTTCCCACTGAACTAGAGCCTGGTGCTGAAAACGCAGTGAGCCGAGGGCGCACACAGCCTGAGATTCGAGCCCAGGCTTTGTCCTTCACTCCCGTTAAAGTGTGTCTGGGCTCCCGAAGCCTCAGCGTGTCTCGTTATGTGATGAGGATACCATTTTCCACTAATAGTCGTGGAGAGGATTAAATTAATTCCCGAATCTGAACGGCTCTGTGCAGAAGCTGGGAGAGCTCGACATTTGTCTTCTGTCTTTGCCGGGCTTGCGACACCTGCACAGGTACCTTCATCCATCGGCATCAAACTCGATCCGATTCACCGTCTTTCGGTGTCTCTCCTCTGTGGTGCACCAGCGGGAGGCTCAAGACACGTGCTCCACCCCACCCCTTCCCTTTCAACATCCTCACAGCGTTCCCTGTTTGTGTTTGGAGGCCACACAAGATTTTGTGCTTGCTCTAAGCCTTCAGCTATTTTGATGACTTCGTGAAGAAGAGACAGGAATGGCCACAGCTGTGTTAGGGACCCGGGACCCAATATGACCAACCTAACAGCAAGCACTTTATGACTGACGTGCACCTCCCACATGAGGATTTTAGTGAGAAAACCTGTGCTGTGAGGGCTCCACTTGGAATATTGAACATGGCACTGAGGGCCGAGTGCAGAGACGTGAACGTGGCACTGAGGGCCGAGTGCAGAGACGTGAACGTGGCACTGAGGGCTAGTGCAGAGACGTGGATGTGGTACTGAGGGCTGAGTGCAGAGACGTGGACGTGGCACTGAGGGCTGAGTGCAGAGACGTGGATGTGGCACTGAGGGCTGAGTGCAGGGACGTGAACGTGGCACTGAGGGCTGAGTGCAGGGACGTGAACGTGGCACTGAAGGCTGAGTGCAGAGACGTGGATGTGGCAGTGAGGGCTGAGTGCAGGGACGTGAACGTGGCACTGAGGGCTAGTGCAGACATGACGTGGTACTGAGGGCTGAGTTCAGGGATGTGAACGTGGCACTGAAGGCTGAGTGCAGAGACTTGGATGTGGCACTGGGGGCTGAGTGCAGGGATGTGAACGTGGCACTGAAGGCTGAGTGCAGAGACGTGGATGTGGCACTGAGGGCTGAGTGCAGAGATGTGATAATAAGGAATATATGCACTAAATTAATGTATCTGCAATCATTAATCATCACCAGAATATTGTGGAGGGGACTGCATTTCTGAGATGCAGGTTGGCGTGAGTTTCTGAGACCGTGAAACACACCTGTGCTGGGTCTCAGCTGACCCAGACAACCTTCCCTACCTACTCAGCTGGGTGGGTGGTGCCTGTGGACTTGCTTATGTGGCCTCTGTCATAGTCCAGGGCAACGGACCGGGGAAGGCCTCCGTGGGCCCGTGACAATTTTATGGCTCCCCTTCCCCAGTGAGGGTCAAACAGCAGCCACAAAGAGCCTCTGACTCCTCCATCTCAAGGTCTGTTTTCTGCAAAGGAGAGTTTCTAACATGAGCCTTAGAAAGCCACTAGAGTTTTGCTTTTTGTAATGATAGTCGCATTCAAAGCATGATTCCACTCTAACAAGCAAGGTGCCTGGAGGCGCAGTTTCAGAGTGTGAAATTAATGAGACTTTCATAAAGGAGGCAGCTATGAATAGAGGGAAAGGCAGGAACTCTGACAGCAACAGGGCCAAGAAGCACCCGCTCCAGCCTACCAGCCGGGCTCCCCTCCACGAGCCTGATCTCCTCAAAATCAGAGAATGGCCCACGGAGCATCTCCATGGCCCTCAGATAAGCTCCTCTGTGACACAAAAGATACCCCACAGTAGGGCCTGGAATGAGCATCAGAATGGCCTGTTCTGTCCTTCCCATATCTGAGGGTTCACTGTGCACCATGCGCTTATTCATTCAGCATTAATTGAGTACCTACTGTATGCCCAGTATTCTCCTGAGTGCAGGGCCTGCAGCAGTGAGAACCCTGGCTGTGTCCCTCATCTCAGGGGCTTCCGTGTAGATGAAGGGGATGCCCGGTGAGGACAAGGCCACCAACAACAGAAACGTAAGGACCCGGCAAGCCCAGGGTGGACGTTAACGGCAGAGAAGCAGGAGGGGTGATTGGCGGCCACTGCAGATTAGGGTGCGGGGCTCCTCTGAGCCTGCAGGTGGACATGGATGCAGAGCCGGCACCACAGGAGTGGCCGTCTTGGGACTGCCTGTGAGGACCTTCCTGGGGGATGGAGCAGCTGATTCAGAAATCCCGGGCAGAACATCTTTTCTCATAGTGTCCTCATCTGGCTTTGGTATCAGCATAATTCTGGCCTCATAAAATGAATTAGGAAGTGTCCTCTCTCCTTCAGTTTTTTTAAAGCATTTGAGGAGGATGGGTGTTACTTCCTTAAATGCCTGTAGGATTTATCAGTAAAGCCGTTAGGCCCTTCCTTGGCTTTTCTTTGATGGAAATTTTTTTTTGTTTTAATTATGAATCCAATCTCTGTACTATTTAGGTCTCCTCAGACATTCTGTTCCTCATAGTTCAGTCTTGCCAGGTCGTATGTGTCTATGGATCTGTCCATTTCTTTGGGGCCATCCGGTTTGTTGCTGTGTAATTGCTTACACTGGTCGTGTGACCCTTCATATTTCTGTGGGCCGTCCGGTTTGTTGTGGCATAATTGTTTACACTGGTCATCTGACCCTTCGTCTTTCTGTGGTGTTAGCTATGAGGTCTCCTCCTTCATTTCCCGTTTTATTTATTTGAGTCTTTCTTAATTAGTCCAGGTAAAGTTTTGTTGACTGTTTATCTTCTCAAAAAGCCAACCGTTCACATTGGTAGTGTATTTGTTTTTGTTTTAGTATCAAAAAAAGACAAGAAAGAGGATCATGATATGAAACCAGGGAGGTGGACCCGGGGGAGGCTGGGATGCAGATGGGGCCAGATCATGGAGCTTTATAAATCAGGGAGAAGAATCCTGAGTCCAGTGGAAAGCCATTAAAGGTTTCAATTAAGACATGACATCTGATTTAGGTCTTGTAGAAAGATCATCTGGCAGCTCTGTGGAGACAGGACCATAAGGGGTGATGCCCCAGGGGAATCACTGCAGCCCAGGCAGATATGGCCTGGGTGGGGCGAGGGGTGCAGATGGAGAGAGATCACGCATCGGCCTTTCAGACTCTTCTGAGCATGTGTCTTCTTGGTCCCCTGGCCTACTCTGGAGTCTCTGTCTCATGTGGGCAGGAGAGAGGCGCCCAGGTCTCTGCTCTCCAGAATCCCTGGGGGCCTCTGAACCTGGGTCATCAGACGTCTTCCACTGTCAGCCCTTTGAATGGATTTTAAATCAGTTAAAGCATTATGGGATTATTTTTAATGGTGAGAAACAAAAGGGAATTGTACACTATGCATATGTGTGTCCATGCATGCATTAGTGTGTGTCCACGCATGAATTGCTGTGTGCGTCATGTATGTGTGTGCATGTGTATCCTGTGTGCATGAATGTGCATCACATATGCATGTGTGTGTCCTGCATGTGTGTATACATGAATGTGCATTTTTGTATGTGTCATTTATGTGTGTGCAAGGTGTGTGTTTGTGTGTCTTGCGTGTGTGTATGCATGAATGAGCATCTGGAGTGCATGTGTGTGTCATGAAAGTGTGTGCACATGTGTGTCCTGCATGTATGTATGCATGAATGTGCATCATGTGTGTGTTATTATGAAAGATGAGGCTTCAGTCCCCACAAAACTTGTGTCATCCCTCGGAAGTCTGCAGCACACCCAGCAGACATTTCCTCTGGTGGCAGAGGGTACACAGTGCACAGGCCCTTCCCTGGGTTGCTTCCATGGTAGGGTTTCATCCTTGTGCTAATATTACAATAACAAGAAACGCCACATTTCAATTTGGGTAACAATGCTTCAAGGTGGAGCAGCACATGGTCTGACTAATTCCAGGTGTGGGAATGTCTGGGCAGAGTTCTGGCCACATTTGCATCTGGGACAGGAGCACAGACACGGTTTAAATGCCATATATTTGCCTCTGTGAAAGTCCTTGTCTGCACTAACAATCTGTCAAATAATCCTCCTGCCTTGCCCAATATCCCTTCCTTATGCTGGGAAGGTAAACCTTGTCTGGAGAATCCCCAGGCCCCTGGCATCTCTGCCCTTTGATATGGAGCTAAGTGAACTCTGTGGAAGGTCTCAGTCTGGAACAAGCTGCTGCACAGGGCCCAGCCGACCAGACCGGAATGAGCCGCAGGTCCCACACCATAAAGGAGGAGCTGAGAGATTTATTTATCTGACCTCCGGAGACATCAGGAGAAAGCCCACAGAAGCCAGATCTCCAAATGGGCCGGTCCTAGCGGGCATGGTAAGCAGGTTCCTCTGCTTCAACCTTGACAAGAAAAGTAACCAGACCCACCGGAGTCCTTTACGAGAGACGGTCGTCTGTTCTACTGCTCTACTCTTGTTCGACTGTTCTACTCTTATAAAAGAGACAACCCCCTTGTGTTGTGTTTCCCGCTTCCTTTTCTGTCTATAAAATCACAGCCTCCTCTGCTAGGTTCATTGGGATGGGCATTCTCAACACTGATCAAGATCTTTAATCTAAACTTGTTGTAATTTTGTCTTCTGGCACTGGCAACGGGAGGTTCTGGAATGGCCTCATGGCCTTGTCCTTCTCTTCTTTGCTCCCCACTCTCCTAACTGTACCTTAAGGGGTCTCTCAATTACATGTGTGGACATTGGAGTCCAGTTCCCCATCCAGCCACCCCAGAGCAGCTGCCCTGACCAGCCCCCCTCCCTGCAAGCACTGGGCTCCCTGCGAGCACCAGGCTGGGCACGCATCTCCCTTCCTTGGTGCTCACCCACTTGAGAGCAGACCCAGAGTGACATTGACAGGCAGACAGGGTGCACCCCATACACCTGGGCCAAGTCTGCGGCTGACTGCACCCTCCTCCTCACCATGCAGGCTCAAGGGAGGGACTGCCGGGCCCTGACCCAGAGGCCAGGTTTCTGATCTGTCTTGGCCACAGGGAGGTCACACTCTTCTCTAAAGTTCAGCTTTACCACCTGAAAAGGAGGAAGTCAATCATTCTGACGTTTCCTCTTGGCTCTTACAATCTATGATACCCACTAATTCGAGGACAGATCCCAGTAATTATCTTCAACCAAAGAATTAAAACAATAGACAAAAATGAGACCTTGACTCATATAATTAAAGGTTATGTTCTGATTAGGACAGGAAAATTAACATATGCGTTAGAGTTTGAAGTCCGAATTTTGGACCATATTGCCATATGGAAATTAAGAGCAGGCTGATAAACACAGTCCCAGCTTTGGGCATGAAGAATCCCTTTTGTTCCAGATCTAAACAGCACCTGCATGGGTTGAATGAGTGATTTAGCCTTGAAGTCAATACTTGAAATAGAAAATTGGGATTTCTTCTTTCCTCTGCCAACTCTTTGCCAGAGGCACTACTGAGCCATGATGTGCTTCAAAGAGGGTCAGAATGAACGATGGGATGCATCTAGTTATAATAATTTACTCTTAATAATATATAATAAAAGCTTGGAAATCCACATTAGAAATGTATGATCTTTAAATATAAAAAGCCAAATTTGTGCATTATTTATTTCAAGAAACCATGTGCATGAATTTTTAATATTTAATGTCATTGCATTTGGTGTTTGAGAATTTACTCATCAATATAGTTCACATCATAGTTTAAAATATTCTTTTAACTGGAAATGATGATGGAAGCCTATAAAATGGTCAACACTTTGAACAAAAATCTAGATTGTTTTATACAATAAAGACAATAAAATAAATTCAAATGAGAAGAGAAATAAACACAAGATTATTATAGTAAAGATGATGTCTTCAGGATCATCAGAGACTGCTGATGCTTTTGATTCAGGGCCCAAGGGCTTTCATGTCCTGATGACCAGACCATTCAGGGTGACCATGTAAGAACCCGCTCCACCTTCCACATCACAGCATCCGATTTGCCACTGATGCCCATGATGGAACTGAAACAACATTTTTGTCATTGCAGTTTGAGTGTTCCTTGCCTTCGGATGCCCACTCTCTGCTTGGAGGGAATGCCCATGATTTTAGTTGTTGGACAGCTTTTGGTTTTGATTTTTAATTACAAAGAAAAAGCACACAACTATTACAGAGTGCCTCTCATAGATGTTAGTTTCAGAGCAAATTTTGGGACAAATTAATAAGTGACCCCAGCAAATGATCTCAATTCAAAGCACAGCTCCCTTTGGTATTCATTCCATGGGCGGCATTTGTGAGCCAGGCCCACATACTCGGGAGTGATGGACCAGACACCCTCTGCGGTGCCCCCTCGTTCCCCAGGTCCCAAACCACACGGGACAGCAGTTTAGAGAATCACCAGGACTTGGCCTCTGACCTTTGTGGTGACTGAGATAGGAAAATTCATTTGTCTGGCCACAGTCTAAGGGAGGGCTGTGTAACATCCCAAAACACTATGGGTAAAATCAACCCGCTCAGTTGGCCACTCCCATTCAGTGATCTCAGTGGACCCTAATGGGTAGGAAGCCCAGTCTCCCTATTCCAGACCGACTTTCTCTCTGATCCCCCACTCCTGTGCCGCCCTGGAATTTTCAGAGCAGGAACAGGCCTCTGGCCTACGTGTAAGGCTCACTCATGCCCTTGCTGTATGTGAGGTGTAAGCGCTTGATGTAAACATTCCCCACAAACGGCCATATTTGATCTGCTAATACACGTCCGTCTCTGGACATTGGAGCTACTGGCATTCCCGGTTTCCTTGCTCTTCGGTGTCTGTGTGTCCAGTTTGCTTTGCCCGCTCCTGGTCCACCTGCCCAGAACGGGGATGATGCTGCATCCTCCCCTCTCCCCAGGAGCTCTATCCCAGTGATCTTAGTGCTTTGCCTTATTTTGATGACCCCCTCCCCCAATGCTATTAATTCCTAAAAATGTGTCTCCCCCTGGGTCCTCATCAGAGAGTTTGGGTCCCATGTGTGACTCTTTGAATGGCATATTCACTGGTATGCCACCAAGATGTGTCAAAGCTGAACTCATAATCACCTCCTGCCTCTGGGCTCAAATTCCCTTTGTCCAAGTCCTCCTTTCTCAGTATGCAACCAGGAAGTTCTCATTCCAGTTACTGCTGAATGTCTGGGCTCAAATTCCCTTTGTCCAAGTCCTCCTTTCTCAGTATGCAACCAGGAAGTTCTCATTCCAGTTACTGTGGAATGTCTGGAGGAACACCAATACTTTGCCAAGACAACTAAAACATTTGGACAAAATCGGGGGGAGCATCCATGCATATGCAAATTAGGCAGGTCTCATGGTTTCAGATCTTAAGAAAATAAGACTCAGAAAAGTGATGGTCCTATCAGTGTTGTCTTTCTATTGAGGCATTTTAAAAATGTGTAACCTCCGTGAATCAAGAAGCTAAGAAACCCAAGAGAACAGAGCTGCAAATCAGACTGGATTCTGGGCGGTGCTGGAGGTGGAAGTTGAGACCAGGATTTCTGAAGAGTGAGGGGCCCCAGGGATCCCATAGGCTCCTTCAGGGTACCCTGGAAGCCCCTGCTCTAAGGGTACCCTGGAAGCCCTTGCCCTGAGGGGTGAGTGGGATAATCAGAGCCTCCTGCAAGCCACACGCCAGCCTCCTGGTAACTGAAATCTCCACTTTAGGTGTAACGTATGGCCCACATATTGGCATTAACATTGGCCATTTAAATGACAGCTTTATACACACATGAAATAGATAATAGCACGGATAGTTTTACCACAATGATGGAATCCATATAAAAGAAGCAAATAGAAATTCTAGAATCGAGGAGACAATCGCTGTAATGAAGAGCTCACCGGATGTAAATGCCAGAGTGGGCAGAGCAAAGAAGAATCAATGCCGTAGAAGTTACTTTGTTAGAAAATACTGAAGTTGAAGAACAGAGAGCCAAAAAATGCAGACACCATATGAAAGGCATACTGGACATGATAAAATGTCTAACATGCATGCAATTGGATTGATAAAAACCAAAGCATGTCAGTAAACATTCTAATTCAAGCATAGTACAGATGAAAAAAAATAATAAAAAAGCAACACCATGTCAACTGTGCCAGGGACAGAATCAAAAGCTGGAACTCATGGGCCATGTGAGCCCCAGAAGAGAATAATAACACATCAAAATGGATGAAACATTTGTAGAAAATAACTTAATCAGAAACAGTGATTCTCAGCTCCAGGAAACACAGCAAGCCGTCAGAGGCCAGAGGCTGAAAGCTGAAGATAAGCTGGACTCTTAGGAGCCACCTGATAGGAACAATGATACAGCTGACTAATGATGCTTTGTCACAAAACTAATGGAATACAGAAGAATGGCGTGAACCCGGGAGGCGGAGCTTGCAGTGAGCCGAGATCGCGCCACTGCACTCCAGCCTGGGCGACAGAGCGAGACTCCGTCTCAAAAAAAAAAAAAAAAAAAAAAAAGAAGAAAATGTCACCAAAAATAAAAAGACTTTCAACTGACAAACATATCTAGAAAAACTATCTTTCAAAGATGAAGGGTAAATAAAAACATTTTAAGATGAATTAAAGCTGGATGAGTGTGTTGCCAGCAGATCCACACTTCAAAAAACGCTAAAGAAAATTCTTCAGGCTGAAGAGAAATTATACCCGATGAAAAATGGTGTCATAAAGTAATGAAGAATACTAGAGATAATAAATATGAAAATAAATAAAAACAATTATTTTCCTTCTTTGCTTAAATTCTTCAAAATTAATTGGTTATTTCAAACAAAAATAGAAAAGATAGTTTTATAACATAAAATTTAAATGTGAGGCAACACTTGCAGATAGCAGGGAAGACAAGTGGATTTATAGTAGCATGAGGTTATTTTACTGTAGATGAAGTCACACAATATTACATCAGAGTAGACCATAAAAATAAAAATGGATATAATAATTTTAAGAGAAAACACTGAAAAAAATAATGCAGTCAAAAAGTCAATAAAAGGACGAAATGCATAATAAAATTTACTAATTTATGCCAAAATAAAACAGGAAAATAAAAGGACAAGAAAAGAGGACATACTGAAAAGGAATGTTGAGGTGGGAGGCCTCTATTCACAGGCAGAGCGTCGGTGAGGCTGTCAGTGAACCTTGGGCCTCATGACGTTGGGAGACCTCAATTCACAGGCAGAGTGTCGGTGAGGCTGTCAGTGAACCTTGGGCCTCATGACGTTGGGAGACCTCAATTCACAGGCAGAGTGTTGGTGAGGCTGTCAGTGCCCTTGGGACTCATGACGTTGGGAGACCTCGATTCACAGGCAGAGTGTCGGTGAGGCTGTCGGTGCCCTTGGGACTCATGACGTTGGGAGACCTTGATTCACAGGCAGAGCATCGGTGAGGCTGTCAGTAAACCTTGGGCCTCATGACATTGGGGGACCTCGATTCACAGGCAGAGCGTTGGTGAGGCTGTTGGTGCCCTTGGGCCTCATGACGTTAGGAGGCCTTGATTCACAGGCAGAGTGTCAGTGAGGCTGTCGATGACCCTTGGGACTCATGATGTTGGGAGGCCTCTATTCACAGGTAGAGCCTTGGGGAGGCTGTCGGTGACCCTTGGGACTCATGAAATTCTTCAAAATGAGGTTAATGTGGTGGACAGACCAGACCCTAGCAGCGTCACATTTTCATGACTGTATAATCCCTTCCTTTGAGTGTGGGTGGGACCAGTCACTTGTTTCTAACCAATATAAAATGGCAGCAGTGATGGGAATCACTCTCTTCGTTACATGACCATATTCATATATAGCTCTGTCTTGCTCACATTCACCAGAAGGACTCTCTTTCCACTACTGCCTTGAATAAGTGAGTTGCTGCATCATGAGAGGCCTCTGGAGGTGTCAATGGCAAGGAACTGCAGGGGAGCTGTATCCGCTGGCTGAAAGGAGCCCCCAGCTGACATCCACAACAGAACAGAACCTTAGTCCTCCAACTACAAGGAGATGAATTCAGCCAACAACACGAAGGAGCTTGGAAGCAGACCTTTCCCTTCCCCAGTTCAACCTCTGATGAGCCCACAGCCTTGGCCAACACCCGGACTGTAGCCTTTTGAGACCCTGAGCAGATGACACAGCTAAGCTGAACCCTGACTTTTCACCTACAGAAACTGTGAGATAATAAAAGAGTGTTGAGCTTCTAAGTTTTTGGTAATGTGTTATGCAGCAATAAAAAAACTAGTATGTCCATTGAAAACAAATGAGGCTTGGCCGGGCATGGTGGCTCACACCTGTAATCCCAGCACTTTGGGAGGCTGAGGCTGATGGATTGCCTGAGGTCAGGAGTTTGAGACCAGCCTGGCTAACATGGTAAAACCCCATCTCTACTAAAAATGCAAAAAAGAAAATTAGCTGGGCATGGTGGCACATGGCTGTAGTCCCAGCTACTTGGGAGGCTGAGGCAGGAGAATTGTTTGAACCCAGGAGGCGGAGGTTGCAGTGAGCCAAGATTGTGCCACTGCACCCCAGCCTGGGCCACAGAGCAAGACTCCATTCCAAAAAAAAAGAGGCTTAACTAACCACACATGAAACACGCAGGAAGAACACAGTAAGCTGGTATGGAGGTGCCAGGGGATGGGTTCCCTTCTGTGTTCTTTCTCTTATCTTTCCAGTCATAAACTATAAACTGTTCCCTGAACATCTCAACACAGGATTTGCAGAGTTTTACTGACTGTCAAATATCTTCCCACATGTCCTGTCATCATGAGCTTGTGTCTAACAAGACCCATGCTGCACGGGGCCACAGGTCCTCATCATGTGACAGTTTTATCACTAGGCACAGGTGCACTCCACAGGGGTGTGGATCCCTGTCCTCAGATAAACAACCTGCAGCAGGCTTTCCCAGCTCTATGTACTGAAGGAGTCTTAGAAATCAGAACTCACAGCCATCTGGATGGAGTTTTCTTTGTAGGAAGGTTTTAATTAACAAATTCAAATTTCAGGCTATACTGATTTTGTATTTTTTGTTCATCACCTTTGTAAATTATATTTTCAATGAATTTGATGATTTCATCTATGTTGCTATTTATCACATTCCTTATAATTTTAATGTCTCTAGGATCTCTACTGGTGCCTCCTCTTACATAATGACTTATTTTTGGAAATTTGGGTTTGTTAATCGATTTGCCTAAGGGCTTATCAATTTTCTAATCATTTTGAAGCACAGATTTTTGCACATAATGGTCAGATCTGCCCCAATGGCTCATCGTGCTTCTCAGAAAGCAGTTTGTCCATTTCTTACTATTTGGATATGTAGATTTTTTTCTACTTTTCCACCCTAACGTGAACATCTGAATATATTTCCTTATATAAATATATTAGTGATACTCTAAGATATATTTTAAAGCTGGAATTGCTATGTTATAGCAGATGCACACTGAAATTTTAATGGACACTGTAAAATGGCTCTTCAGCCTGGTTGTATAAATATCTACTCCAACATCTTGTTTATAAGAGTTCATTTTCTCTACATCCATGATAACTTACTTGCCCATATCTGTTATTTTTTTAAAGCAAATAACTAAGAAATTACATCTTTGATGTCTGTACTCTTAATTAACAGTGATGCTGATTTTTTTCATAAACTTATTATCTATTTGGTTATTTTCTCCTGGGTGAATTATCCATTCTTTGTCTGTTTCCTTTTTTTCTCATTTGTCTCCATGTATTTGATGAGTAGATGGCCTTTATGTAATCCTGATACTAATGCTGTATTACACATTGCAAATAACTTCCCAAACTAAAATCTGGCTAGATATGCAATTTCTATAGTGTATTTTTAACTTGTATTTTCTATTTAGAGAACCACTGTGTTCACAAATAATGAATATTTCCCCCATATTCCCATTGACTTGCTTCATTTCACTTGCTAACACCTGCAGTAAAATTTTGAAATTTATGAAAATTTATAAAAAAGACATTTTTAGTCTTGCCTTAAGTGGAAATGAAGGTAATTTTTCACTATTAAAGGATTGATATAAGGTTGTGGTAGATACTTTTTTAAAAAATCAAATTTAAGAAATCTCTTTTATTATTATTTTATAAATATTTGTATTGTAACTGATTGGTTGAATTGTATCAATTTTTTTTCTTCTGTTGAAATGGCTTTTATTTTTTACCCTTTCAATTTGTTAAGGTAATGAAGAAGGTAAATGATAGGTTGTTTAGCTCTTGAATAATCTTTGTATTCCTGAGATAAGTGTTAATTACTCAAGATGGATTTATGTTTCTTTGTAAACAGCTACGTATGACTTATTTATTTTATTTAAGCTTTTTGTATCTGTGTTCATAAATAATGTTGAACTATGATTACTGTTTTGTTTTGCCTTTAAAAAACAAAATTTTCACACTTTTTTATAAAAAAAATACTTCAATTCAGCAACGTCTTGTTTTGTTGCTGACTTATGTCCTCACATTGCTTGCAGACACTGACCCTTTTCTTAGGGTCAAATTCTCTTCTGGTTGAAATGGTCTTTTAGATTTTTTCAATTGTTTCAAATGAGAGATTGGAGCTCCTAATCTTTCTTTGAATAAAATTATTTTATTCTTATATTTTTATATAACTCCTTATTGTGGAAAATTTCAAATACATACCTAGGGGAGATTATGGCATAATTAACTCTAATTTACCCATGACCTGCCTTGAGCATTGATCAGCTCAGAGCCCATCTCATTTCCTCTGCTTCTCACCCTCTCCCCTTGCCCAAGATGACCTCATTCAATACCTTGGCCTAGGTCTAGCCTTCTTTCTATCGCTGTACCAATTCTTTTGTCCATTTTGTACTATCTGGATACTTATATTTTTTCTACCTTTTCACCTGATCAAATTATGTGCCAGTGAATATCCTTGTATGTTTCCTTATTCCATTGTGCTAGTAATTCCAATGTATATTTCTGCACATATTTCTAAATATTTCTACATGTATATTCAAAAGACACACCAACACCTTTAAACATAGTGACAATTTATTATCAAACTTGAAATTAATCCACAGTAATCTCTTAATATCATCAAATATTCAAGCACTCCTCACATTTCTATAATCATTCTAATGAATTTAAAATACATTTTAAGGCCAGGCGTGATGGCTCATGCCTGTAATCCCAGCACTTTGGGAGGTCGAGGTGGGCAGATCACAAGGTCAAGAAATCGAGACTATCCTGGCCAACATGGTGAAACCCCGTCTCTACTAAAAATACAAAAATTAGCTGGGCATGATGGTTCGCGCCTGTAGTCCCAGCTACTTGGGAGGCTGAGGCAGGAGAATTGCTTGAACCTGGGAGGCGGAGGTTGCAGTGAGCTGAGATCATGCCACTGCACTCCAGCCTGGGTGAAAAAGCGAGACTCTGTCTCAAAAAAATAAATAGTTTGTGCAGTTGAAACAATTCAAACACGTTACATGAATTATTATTAATTAAAATATCCCTGAAGACTCTACTGCTCTAGGTATTCCTCCTTCATTTCTTTTTTTTCCCCTTACATTTTTTTTTTTTTTTTTGCTGTTGTTGAAGAAACTGGATTTTTTGTTATATGGATGTCCTATTAGCTAGTTTAGCGATCATAGTTCTCATTTTTTTAAGTACTTTTTTTTTCTGTTCCCCATACTTCCAGTAAATGGATAGATCAAGATGCTTAACCGTATTCATGGTTGATGTTTTTGGCAAGAGTATTTATCGTGATCTTGTGTACAACTGTCAAGAAGGGCAGACGTGGAGGCTGAAGCAGCTCCACCTTGGATAACAACCTGCCATGTTGACTTTCGATTAACTCCAGTTCCAGGAAGTCCTCTAAGATTTCCAGTTTATCTTGAGACAGCATAAGGACAGGACTTGGCCCCCATAGGAACTTGGCCCATTCCCACTGATGTGTCTTCCCATGCACATCAGCTAAGCACCTGAGCTCGCCCCACCACCCCCACTGTCTCCATAGACCCTGGAGAAACCAAGCTAACAAGGGTTCCACTGGAAACCTTACTCACGGGAGTCACCTCTATCACTGGCATGTGCACAAGACCAGAAGAACGGCTGAGCTTTACCTCTTGCCTCATTAGAATGGTAAAATCCCCACCCAGGAGGGGCATAGGTGTTATTTATTATGCACGATGTATGTATCAGCCTGATTTTTCACTGTGCCCATGCACCCCGAGCTCTGTCCCACACATGTAATGATGTTCGCATGCTTCATGCTTATCTCTGACATCCTTCCTAACACACCGAAAAGACCTGCCCTCGGGGAGCCAGCCCGAGACCTCTCTCTCCAGTGCTGTCCCCTCGTATTCAAGCACAGACTCCTGACAAAGCCTCCTCTGGGGAACATGCATGGCCCCGTGACCTCTCTGTTGCATGGGAGCGTAAGAACCCGTGGCTGGTAACACTCTTTTCCTTGTGTGTGAGTAAGTATCTACCATAAATCGTGCCCTTGGGTCCAGACAACCTTGATGTTGCTGTACTTCAGTTGTCCCACCCATGCCTTCTGAACCACCCCTTCACCATGGCTCAGAGGCCCTGGGCCTGGAGGTTATGGGTGGGGATCCACCATCTTGTCTGGCTGCAGACACAGCTTCTGTCCCTAAGTTCCTACTAAATGTTTCTTTCTGAAAAACCAGGTTTTCTGGCCTCTTTCTCTGGCCTCTCAGCTTCCTTGGACTTTGAGGGCAGTTGCACCTGGACCTCCCCACTGTGGAACAATACAGTATCTAGTGTGTCTCATGTTTTAATGTAAGCAGCCTTGATAATCACCACATAGGTATATTAATGCATCATGGGTAGCAAATTTGTAATATTTTAATGTTACCATCTTTTCTTATTTATTAGCTGAAATATTTCTATGAAGAGAAACTTCCCCTTGTTGACTCTTTCCTCGCCCTGAGGTACAGTTTTTATACGAAAGGCAGGATCAATGCTTTTCCCTTCTCTCCATTTTCAAAATTATGAGGTTTTTTCCTCTGTTATTTCCCAAAAGTGATCACGGATTCCTTTGATTTTAGGTGTTGTTGAGAATGATTAATAATTCATGGGATTTAAACTATAGATGTGTTTAGAGTCCCTCAAGGTTATCATTATTCTTGATGTTAAAACAGTCCCATTCTTTTCCAGGGGAAGCTGTTCATGTTCTATCCTGCGTGTTCTCGAGAAAGTTTTGATGACAGAAAACATCACACAGAAAGGGGAAGGCATCGCAAGTTTCCAGCTCCATGGATTTTTGCAAACTGAGCACATTTGTGGGCCAGGAGTGGGGCCCACAGCGAGAATATCCTTCCTGCTGCTCCTGCCATCCATCCACCAGCACAGCCAGTTCCCAGCTGTGGAACACACAGGTTAGTTCTGTCTGTTTTGTTGTTTATGCAAATGGGACCATACAGTGTTCAGTCTTAAGTCTGGCTTCCCTGCTCAACATCATGTGTGTAAAATTAACCTGCACTGATGTGTGGAGCATCTCACGGGCCATCCCTGTGGCTCTCCATCATCCCTTGTGAGAATGGATAACACTGTTGTTCATTTTACTCCTCGTGGGACTTCCTAGTTTCCTCGTCTGCTGCTGTGACTATTCTCACACACATCCTGTGGCTTTGAAGCAAGAGTTGTCTCCGAGGGGTTTTTTGTTTTGTTTTGTTTTGTTGTTTTCTCCTGGCGTAACATGATGCTGTGGCTCACTTTGTGCCTGTCTTCACCAGAAATAGAACCAGCCATTTTTCCAAGGAGCAGTGATCCTTTCCATGGAAAATGAGGGTTAGGGACCAAAGCATTTTCACTTTATTTTATTTTATTTTATTTATTTTTTTTCTTTTATTATTATACTTTAAGTTTTAGGGTACATGTGCACATTGTGCAGGTTAGTTACATATGTATACATGTGCCATGCTGGTGCGCTGCACCCACTAACTCGTCATCTAGCATTAGGTATATCTCCCAAAGCTATCACTCCCCCCTCCCCCCACCCCACAACAGTCCCCAGAGTGTGATGTTCCCCTTCCTGTGTCCATGTGATCTCATTGTTCAATTCCCACCTATAAGTGAGAATATGCGGTGTTTGGTTTTTTGTTCTTGCGATAGTTTACTGAGAATGATGATTTCCAATTTCATCTATGTCCCTACAAAGGACATGAACTCATCATTTTTTATGGCTGCATAGTATTCCATGGTGCATATGTGCCACATTTTCTTAATCCAGTCTATCATTGTTGGACATTTGGGTTGGTTCCAAGACTTTGCTATTGTGAATAGTGCCTCAATAAACATACGTGTGCATGTGTCTTTATAGCAGCATGATTTATAGTCCTTTGGGTATATACCCAGTAATGGGATGGCTGGGTCAAATGGTATTTCTAGTTCTAGATCCCTGAGGAATCGCCACACTGACTTCCACAATGGTTGAACTAGTTTACAGTCCCACCAACAGTGTAAAAGTGTTCCTATTTCTCCACATCCTCTCCAGCACCTGTTGTTTCCTGACTTTTTAATGATTGCCATTCTAACTGGTGTGAGATGGTATCTCATTGTGGTTTTGATTTGCATTTCTCTGATGGCCAGTGATGAGCATTTTTTCATGTGTTTTTTGGCTGCATAAATGTCTTCTTTTGAGAAGTGTCTGTTCATGTCCTTTGCCCACTTTTTGATGGGGTTGTTTGTTTTTTTCTTGTAAATTTGTTTAAGTTCATTGTAGATTCTGGATATTAGCCCTTTGTCAGATGAGTAGGTTGCAAAAATTTTCTCCCATTTTGTAGGTTGCCTGTTCATTCTGATGGTAGTTTCTTTTGCTGTACAGAAGCTCTTTTGTTTAATTAGATCCCATTTGTCAATTTTGGCTTTTGTTGCCATTGCTTTTGGTGTTTTAGACATGAAGTCCTTGCCCGTGCCTATGTCCTGAATGGTAATGCCTAGGTTTTCTTCTAGGGTTTTTATGGTTTTAGGTCTAACGTTTAAGTCTTTAATCCATCTTGAATTGATTTTTGTATAAGGTGTAAGGAAGGGATCCAGTTTCAGCTTTCCACATATGGCTAGCCAGTTTTCCCAGCACCATTTATTAAATAGGGAATCCTTTCCCCATTGCTTGTTTTTGTCAGGTTTGTCAAAGATCAGATAGTTGTAGATATGCGGCATTATTTCTGAGGCTCTGTTCTGTTCCATTGATCTATATCTCTGTTTTGGTACCAGTACCATGCTGTTTTGGTTACTGTAGCCTTGTAGTATAGTTTGAAGTCAGGTAGTGTGATGCCTCCAGCTTTGTTCTTTTGGCTTAGGATTGACTTGGCAATGCGGGCTCTTTTTTGGTTCCATGTGAACTTTAAAGTAGTTTTTTCCAATTCTGTGAAGTAAGGCATTGGTAGCTTGATGGGGATGGCATTGAATCTGTAAATTACCTTGGGCAGTATGGCCATTTTCACGATATTGATTCTTCCTACCCATGAGCATGGAATGTTCTTCCATTTGTTTGTATCCTCTTTTATTTCCTTGAGCAGTGGTTTGTAGTTCTCCTTGAAGAGGTCCTTCACGTCCCTTGTAAGTTGGATTCCTAGGTATTTTATTCTCTTTGAAGCAATTGTGAATGGGAGTTCACTCATGATTTGGCTCTCTATTTGTCTGTCGTTGGCGTATAAGAATGCTTGTGATTTTTGTACATTGATTTTGTATCCTGAGACTTTGCTGAAGTTGCTTATCAGCTTAAGGAGATTTTGGGCTGAGACAATGGGGTTTTCTAGATATACAATCATGTGGTCTGCAAACAGGGACAATTTGACTTCCTCTTTTCCTAATTGAATACCCTTTATTTCCTTCTCCTGCCTAATTGCCCTGGCCAGAACTTCCAACACTATGTTGAATAGGAGCGGTGAGAGCGGGCATCCCTGTCTTGTGCCAGTTTTCAAAGGGAATGCTTCCAGTTTTTGCCCATTCAGTATGATGTTGGCTGTGGGTTTGTCATAGATAGCTCTTATTATTTTGAAATATGTCCCATCAATACCTAATTTATTGAGAGTTTTTAGCATGAAGCGTTGTTGAATTTTGTCAAAGGCCTTTTCTGCATCTATTGAGATAATCATGTGGTTTTTGTCTTTGGCTCTGTTTATATGCTGGATTACATTTATTGATTTGCATATATTGAACCAGCCTTGCATCCCAGGGATGAAGCCCACTTGATCATGGTGGATAAGCTTTTTGATGTGCTGCTGGATTCGGTTTGCCAGTATTTTATTGAGGATTTTTGCATCAATGTTCATCAAGGATATTGGTCTAAAATTCTCTTTTTTGGTTGTGTCTCTGCCCGGCTTTGGTATCAGGATGATGCTGGCCTCATAAAATGAGTTAGGGAGGATTCCCTCTTTTTCTATTGATTGGAATAGTTTCAGAAGGAATGGTACCAGCTCCTCCTTGTACCTCTGGTAGAATTCGGCTGTGAATCCATCTGGTCCTGGACTCTTTTTGGTTGGTAAGCTATTGATTATTGCCACAATTTCAGCTCCTGTTATTGGTCTATTCAGAGATTCAACTTCTTCCTGGTTTAGTCTTGGGAGAGTGTATGTGTCGAGGAATTTATCCATTTCTTTTAGATTTTCTAGTTTATTTGTGTAGAGGTGTTTGTAGTATTCTCTGATGGTAGTTTGTATTTCTGTGGGATCGGTGGTGATATCCCCTTTATCATTTTTTATTGCGTCTATTTGATTCTTCTCTCTTTTCTTCTTTATTAGTCTTGCTAGCGGTCTATTTTGTTGACCCTTTCAAAAAACCAGCTCCTGGATTCATTAATTTTTTGAAGGGTTTTTTGTGTCTCTATTTCCTTCAGTTCTGCTCTGATTTTAGTTATTTCTTGCCTTCTGCTAGCTTTTGAATGTGTTTGCTCTTGCTTTTCTAGTTCTTTTAATTGTGATGTTAGGGTGTCAATTTTGGATCTTCCCTGCTTTCTCTTGTGGGCATTTAGTGCTATAAATTTCCCTCTACACACTGCTTTGATTGCGTCCCAGAGATTCTGGTATGTTGTGTCTTTGTTCTCGTTGGTTTCAAAGAACATCTTTATTTCTGCCTTCATTTCGTTATGTACCCAGTAGTCATTCAGGAGCAGGTTGTTCAGTTTCCATGTAGTTGAGCGGTTTTGAGTGAGATTCTTAATCCTGAGTTCTAGTTTGATTGCACTGTGGTCTGAGAGATAGTTTGTTATAATTTGTGTTCTTTTACATTTGCTGAGGAGAGCTTTACTTCCAAGTATGTGGTCAATTTTGGAATAGGTGTGGTGTGGTGCTGAAAAAAATGTATATTCTGTTGATTTGGGGTGGAGAGTTCTGTAGATGTCTATTAGGTCCGCTTGGTGCAGAGCTGAGTTCAATTCCTGGGTATCCTTGTTGACTTTCTGTCTCATTGATCTGTCTAATGTTGACAATGGGGTGTTAAAGTCTCCCATTATTAATGTGTGGGAGTCTAAGTCTCTTTGTAGGTCACTCAGGACTTGCTTTATGAATCTGGGTGCTCCTGTATTGGGTGCATATATATTTAGGATAGTTAGCTCTTCTTGTTGAATTGATCCCTTTACCATTATGTAATGGCCTTCTTTGTCTCTTTTGATCTTTGTTGGTTTAAAGTCTGTTTTATCAGAGACTAGGATTGCAACCACTGCCTTTTTTTGTTTTCCATTTGCTTGGTAGATCTTCCTCCATCCTTTTATTTTGAGCCTATGTGTGTCTCTGCATGTGAGATGGGTTTCCTGAATATAGCACACTGATGGGTCTTCACTCTTTATCCAATTTGCCAGTCTGTGTCTTTTAATTGGAGCATTTAGTCCATTTACATTTAAAGTTAATATTGTTATGTGTGAATTTGATCCTGTCATGATGATGTTAGCTGGTTATTTTGCTCGTTAGTTGATGCAGTTTCTTCCTAGTCTCAATGGTCTTTACATTTTGGCATGATTTTGCGGCGGCTGGTACCGGTTGTTCCTTTCCATGTTTAGCGCTTCCTTCAGGAGCTCTTTTAGGGCAGGCCTGGTGGTGACAAAATCTCTCAGCATTTGCTTGTCTGTAAAGTATTTTATTTCTCCTTCACTTATGAAGCTTAGTTTGGCTGGATATGAAATTCTGGGTTGAAAATTCTTTTCTTTAAGAATGTTGAATATTGGCCCCCACTCTCTTCTGGCTTGTAGGGTTTCTGCTGAGAGGTCCGCTGTTAGTCTGATGGGCTTCCCTTTGAGGGTAACCCGACCTTTCTCTCTGGCTGCCCTTAACATTTTTTCCTTCATTTCAACTTTGGTGAATCTGACAATTATGTGTCTTGGAGTTGCTCTTCTCGAGGAGAATCTTTGTGGCGTTCTCTGTATTTCCTGAATCTGAATGTTGGCCTGCCTTGCTAGATTGGGGAAGTTCTCCTGGATAATATCCTGAAGAGTGTTTTCCAACTTGGTTCCATTCTCCCCGTCACTTTCAGGTACACCAATCAGACGTAGATTTGGTCTTTTCACATAGTCCCATATTTCTTGGAGGCTTTGCTCGTTTCTTTTTATTCTTTTTTCTCTAAACTTCCCTTTTCGCTTCATTTCATTCATTTCATCTTCCATTGCTGATACCCTTTCTTCCAGTTGATCGCATCGGCTCCTGAGGCTTCTGCATTCTTCACGTAGTTCTCGAGCCTTGGTTTTCAGCTCCATCAGCTCCTTTAAGCACTTCTCTGTATTGGTTATTCTAGTTATACATTCTTCTAAATTTTTTTCAAAGTTTTCAACTTCTTTGCCTTTGGTTTGAATGTCCTCCCGTAGCTCAGAGTAATTTGATCGTCTGAAGCCTTCTTCTCTCAGCTCGTCAAAGTCATTCTCCGTCCAGCTTTGTTCCATTGCTGGTGAGGAACTGCGTTCCTTTGGAGGAGGAGAGGCGCTCTGCTTTTTAGAGTTTCCAGTTTTTCTGTTCTGTTTTTTCCCCATCTTTGTGGTTTTATCTACTTTTGGTCTTTGATGATGGTGATGTACAGACGGGTTTTTGGTGTGGATGTCCTTTCTGTTTGTTAGTTTTCCTTCTAACAGACAGGACCCTCAGCTGCAGGTCTGTTGGAATACCCTGCCGTGTGAGGTGTCAGTGTGCTCCTGCTGGCGGGTGCCTCCTAGTTAGGCTGCTCGGGGGTCAGGGGTCAGGGACCCACTTGAGGAGGCAGTCTGCCCGTTCTCAGATCTCCAGCTGCGTACTGGGAGAACCACTGCTCTCTTCAAAGCTGTCAGACAGGGACATTTAAGTCTGCAGAGGTTACTGCTGTCTTTTTGTTTGTCTGTGCCCTGCCCCCAGAGGTGGAGCCTACAGAGGCAGGCAGGCCTCCTTGAGCTGTGGTGGGCTCCACCCAGTTTGAGCTTCCGGGCTGCTTTGTTTACCTAAGCAAGCCTGGGCAATGGCGGGCGCCCCTCCCCCAGCCTCGCTGCCGCCTTGCAGTTTGATCTCAGACTGCTGTGCTAGCAATCAGTGAGACTCCGTGGGCGTAGGACCCTCCGAGCCAGGTGCGGGATATAATCTCGTTGTGCGCCTTTTTTTAAGCCCGTCGGAAAAGCGCAATATTCGGGTGGGAGTGACCCGATTTTCCAGGTGCAGTCTGTCACCTCTTTCTTTGACTAGGAAAGGGAACTCCCTGACCCCTTGCGCTTCCCGAGTGAGGCAATGCCTCGCCCTGCTTTGGCTCGCGCACGGTGCGCGCACCCACTGACCTGCGCCCACTGTCTGGCACTCCCTAGTGAGATGAACCCGGTACCTCAGATGGAAATGCAGAAATCACCCGTCTTCTGCGTGGCTCACGCTGGGAGCTGCAGACTGGAGCTGTTCCTATTCGGCCATCTTGGCTCCTCCCCCCTATTTTATTTTATTTATTTATTTTTTAATTTTTACCTAAAACTTAGAAACAATCCTATTCAACTAAATAACTTATAAAAATTAGTAAATAGCAAAATAAATTCCTTTAGTTTTCAAAAGGTTTCTCTTTAATTATCAGTGCTTTATGCAGTTGAATAACACAAATGTTAGCATGGCGGGGACAAGAAAAATAAACCCTGGCCCGGAATACTTCAGAGTTGGATTTCGAACTTAGAGAAAAAGCATGGTATTAACAAGCCCTGTCATCTGCAGCAAAGAATATGGTTGTGGTTTTAACAAAAGATTAGTTAAATCATTTACTCACAGTTTATGCCATAATAAACTGTTTTCGAATCAAATATTTAAATGTAAAATCTAAAACTATATAAGCACCAAAAAACATGAAGATATTTTCTTATGGTTTCAGAATGAGAAATGTTTCCAAGTATTACTATAAGTAGAACAATTAAAATTTATAATTTGATCAATATTTTAAAAGTGTCATGGTTCCAAGGAAATGGACAAATCATGAAATTCGTTGCTATCATAAAGCACATTTTTTAAATGATTAAATGGATTCTACAATTCAGTAATAAAAATACCAATAATCCGACTGAAAAAATGGCCAAAAGATGAGACAATAAACAGAGTACAAATGCTCTAAAGGATGCTTAATTTAATTAAAAATAAGAAAACTATTGAAATCATGAATTATGATTTTTGATTTCTGCCTCTAGGATTAGGAATAATTGGATCATTAAGAATGTGGAAAGATGTGTGCTCTCTTCCACATTGCTGGTAGAATTGCAAACCAGCTTAGCATTTATAAAAAGCATTTGAAAATTAGACACTAAAGATAAAACGCTCCTACTCTTTTGACCTGATAATTTGATATCTTAAATTTTATTAGATATATGTTATCACATATGTATAAAGTATATAGATTGATGTATTAAAAAATAATTAAATACCTTATAAGTAATTCAATAAGGCATTGCTTAAATAAACAAGGCCGTACCTACTCAATGGAAAATAACATTTCTTTTCAAAAGAATGATAAGCTCTATACTAGTAAGGCATAATCTTCAAGATATATGGTTAAGTGATAAAACCTGATTTTAGATTGTGTGCATCATGTGTTTTTGTGTGTATAAGAATTAAAGTTGGAAAACATTAGCAGAATATAAATAATACGTTATAAGCAACATATAATAGACAGTGCACAATGTAGGTCACGATGATACAGGAGGGGCAGGAAAGGGCTGGGTAGAGAAGGGCAGGCTCCCAGTGAGGGCTCCACCCTCGGGCCTGTGTCCATGGACCTAAGTGAGAGCAGGCACTTCTGTTTTCCCACCTGAATGTTGCATTTCCAAGACCACTCTGGCCTGCCACACCCCCCATCCTGTGCCCATATAAACCCGAGACCTTAGCAGGCAGACACACAAACTGCTGAATGTCAAGAGAAGTGGCAGAGAGCAGCAGAGAGCGGTGGAGAGAGGCAGAGAGCAACACTGTGGCCCGGCAGAGAAGGAGGGAAGAGGCACCTGAACACCAAGAGGAGTTCACTGACAACAGCCAAACTCCAGGAGAAGATGATCTCCCCCGCTCCTCCACCTTCCAGCTCCCCGTCCATCTGCTGAGAGCCACCTTCACCACTCAACAGAACCCTGCACTCATCCTTCGATCCTGCTTGTGATTCGATTCTTCCAGGACGCTAGACAAGAGCTCGGGATACAGAAGGCTGTCCCATTGGCTCTCTGCCCTTGTGATAAGGCAGAAGGTCTGCTGAGCTGGTTAACACTCAAGCCATGTACAGGCAGCCAAGCTGAGAGAGCTCTGTGACACGGGGGTTGCACGCACTCACCTCTAGAAACTACTGCAGGGCCAAGAGCCCAAAGTCCTTGCCCCAGCTTCTGCCCCTGCCCCTCTGCATGCTCCTGCTAGGGGTTTGAGCTGCAAGGTGGCCAAACAGGTGAGCCACACTCCTGTAGTATGTCCTGCGAGGGGAATTCAGAGAATTCTCCAGTTTCAACAATATGCTGTATCATACAGTGTGTAACATACAACAGGTGTAATGCAGAACATGTAGCATGCACTGTGCACTGTGTGCGTGGGACATCTTCCTGTCTATAAACGGGACTATATATATACACACATATATGTATACATGTAGCATGCACTGTGCACTGTGTGTGTGCAGGGGCACCTTCCTGTCTATGAACAGGGGAATATATATATAAACACACATATATACATGTAGTATGCACTGTGCACTGTGTGTGTGCAGGGGCACCTCCCTGTCTATAAACAGGGGACTACACACACACACACACACACACACACACACACATATACATGGATGCTATTTGCTGTTATTTGTTGCACATGGATGGACTGTTTCTGGGATCATCCAGAAGACACAGAAAAAGCAATTAACTTCAGACAGGGAGTTCTGTTGCTGGGTGAACAAGTAGACAAGGTGGGATTTTACTTACTTATTTTTTATTTTAAATTTTGAACCAATTAAACACACTCAAATACATTCAAACATTAAAACAGTCGGATTTTGAGAATTACTTCATACTGGGCTCTGTAGGAACAGTCAAGGCCTCCCCCTCCCTCTAGGTCATAACTGGTCTGGGCTCAACACCAACTCATCAGGTGAGAAGGAGCCAGAAACAGCCGGATGGGTGCAGGCAGCTGCAGGGGGCCTGGCTCACTCACCCAGGTTCACAGCCTCAGGGGCTGTGTGGGGCTGTCACCCCAGCAGCCGGGTTCCAGAGCCCCACTCTAGATGTACCCCACCCAACTCAAAGGCAAGCACACCTTCCTGGGGGTGCAGCTGGCACTGTCAGCCGTATGGAGCCTCAAGCTACTTCCAAGGGGAGCCCATGACCCTTGATTCCTTAAAAAAAAAAAAAGGAATGATTTTCCTTATTCCAGGCACGTCTTTCCTAATAGTGGAGCAGAGAGAGTGCCGCTGCGCTGAATCCCGGACGGAGTGGCGTCCATGTTCACGTTCCACGCAACGTAATATTGACTCACCAGACTGAAGTCCCCACTACAGCAGCCGGCCCCGGCAGAGCTTTCAAGGAAGGTTGTAGGGGCTGGTGTTTCCCACAGCTGCTGGGCTGCTCGCTTCCCGGGATCCCTGGGTAGTGGTAGGGATGCGTGGCTGTGCAAAGTCTTCCAGGCGGGAAGAGAGCAGCCAGGATCCCGCAGCGCAGTGCAGGATGCGGCCTCAGGACTGCCTGGAGTCAGGCCTTGTGCGGGAGCAGGGAGGGTGCCCAAGGCCTGTTCCCAGGGGCCTGAGGGAGTGGAGGGCCCCCACTCCTGGGTGTCAAATCAAGTGTGGCCTAAAGCTGCCTCCTTACATATTTTAAGTTCGGCCTAGAGGTTTCTCTGTACGTGGTGAGCTATAACCTAAGCGGAGTTGTACACAGACTGTAGCCTATACTTGCGCCAATCACCGAGATTTGGCCACTCAGACGTAGCCGGTTGTTTGAACCCTGTTAAAATAAGGCAAATGCGGGCTGTAATCAGTCCAGCTGTCTCTGTCCCTCACGTCCGTTTCTGTCTGTTACTTTCCCTTCCCTGTCCATAAATCTTCCTCCCCGACGCGGCTGCGCTGGAGTCTCTGAGCCTCCTCCGGCTGGGAAGGCTGCCCGATCATTGCTCGGTTAAACTCTGTTCAACTTAATTTGCCTGAAGTTTTTCTTTTACCAAGGGCTTTCACTGTTGGGCCAGACTCCTCCAGACAGAGCCCTGGGGCCCTGCGGGGCAGGCTGTTCCAGGTTAGGAACGAGCTGGTGACTCTGGCCCATCATTCCCGCCCGTGCCAGCTCCCCCCAGGGCCCCCAGGGCAGGCTCTGTGGGCCATTCCTTGTAAAATTAAGTTCCAGGTCCACCCGCTGCAGCTCCTGACTCCACGTGCCTGGGCCATGGAGGTCCTGGTGGCCCTGTGGGTGCCTTTAGTGACAGTTGGTGAGCCCCTGCCTCCGTCCCCGTCTTCCCTGGTCCACACTGAGTGTGTCCCTTGTATGTGGAGTCTGCGTGTGTGCCGGGTGACCTGATACCCGGTCCTGTGTTCTCTAGGCCAGTTGGTGGCAAGCGTCAGGTGTGTTTTTTCCACACCGTTCTTCCTCCCGCTGTCAGTATCTCAATACATTAGGAGCCTCACTGTGCAGCTTGCGTAGGAGCTGCAGAGCTATGAATCAGGCACTCGATCAAAGTAAAGTAAATTTTGTTTAATAGCATGTGGCCATCAGCACTGCAGACCATCCGGGGGGCTTCCAGGGAGAATCCCACGCCTGATGTTGTGTCTATTCCTTTTCAGCAGCTGTGGAAAAGAGCTATTTGCTTGCTGTGTTTCCTTTTCTTCTAGCTGCGAAAACCAGAGCGCAGGATGTTCTTGAACGACATGGAATCAACCCAAATAAAATGCCTCCTGCTGTGAAAAATCATAGAACGACCACTTCAGATTTCCAGGCTCCGGGATAGCAAAGCGTCTGTGAATTCTACAAGACAGCCAGTTCCCACTGGGAGCTGATCCATTTTGTCTAAAGCACCAACTGTTTTGAGCAATAAGCCAAAAACAAGGTTTTACAGATGGTTCGTCTCCCACAAAGGCAAAATAACCTATGGGGCATCATTTGACAACTCCACACGTGGGCACTGGGACAGGAACAGGTGGCCAGGCCTTTCCTTCCCTGTGGTTTGTTTCCTCCCTTTCTGGCCGCAGACCTCACTCAGTTCAGTACGTGCCAAAGGCCTGGCCTCAGCATCTGCCATACGCCTCGGAGCCCAGCCCCACTCAGCTTCCAAGTCACCGGGCCTGCCTGGAGCACCGAGTCTCTGCACCGGCTCTTCCCTCGAGACAGCATCTTCTCCATGGCTCTGGAGGGCCACACGCCCACCTTACACTTCCTCACCTGCTCATTTGCAACTGGAAGCTTGACGAGTGTGATCAGCCAGAGAGTTGATTCACCAGAATGTCTGCATTCTCTTACGGGCTTTGCAAATGCCAAATCGTCGAGTGTTTCTGCTTTTAAAGTTTAAATCCTCTCGCTGGTAAGCGAATAATTATTCTTAAAAGTAGACTCTACTGGAAAGGTCACTAAGAGGGTTATTTCCATTAAAAATACATTTATGTTTCTTGAAATGTGTTAAGTGGCCTTTGTCAAGGTGTTTATAATAGAAGAGTATATAAAAATGAATTTCTCTAGAGATGCAGCATACTCTAAAGATCCATCATTAGATAATTAAAAATATGTAAGTCATGCTAACATTTCCATATATAAATGGAGAACATTAACTCTCCTACTGTTTAGTTATAAAATACCAAATTTTGTAATTATCCTATCTTGAATTACACTATACTGCAAAAATGCCAGTTACTCACTTTTAAATTTGACAATGTATGTGATGAATTATAAATTTAATAGCCTACATCTTTTCTCTTGTATCAAATTCTCAGAACTTAATCTTAAACTTTTGTTACTGGAGTTAAAAGGTTGCTGCTAAGATGGAAAAATACCGATTTAGAAAAAAATAATGTATATAATGGAAACATCTGTTAATTTAAACATATACATTATGCAAATGAGCATACTATTTTGTACTTTGAGGTCAGAGAGGATAAAATATACAATGTGTGCTCTAAATAGATTTGGAACACTTTATAATATCAAAGAATTTAAAAACGGTAAGATTGTCTAGCTCTTCCATTCATGGGACAAAAAATTAAAAATAAGAAAAATTAAGCAATCAGTTAAAGACAACAACAGCTGGGATCCTCCCTGTGACTCCCAGGCGAGGGCCATTTCTACAGCTTCTCCAGTGTGTGGAGTGGGTCAGTCCTTAAACTGGAAGCCTTGACTAGCAGTGAAACAGCCCGACAAATGTTACCTATTTTCTACACTTTTTTTCAAATATGGTGAAAGTTGTCAGAATGAAAGTGGAGTCGCTTTTGTTAAAACCTGGATGAGCTGAGCTGGGGAAGGCCTTGGAAGGAGGGCTCTGCTGCACGAATGCCTGACAGCAAGAACTATCACCAAAGACTCTGCAAACACCACATCCATGCACAAAAGCCCCAAGGACCTCGCAAGGGCTCTGCTGCACGAATGCCTTGACAACAAGAGCTAAAGACCCTACAGACACGACATCCACGTACAAAAGCCCCGGAGACCTCAGTCAGAAAGCACCTCTGTGAGGACATCTGCCCAGCACCTGCCTGTCCCACCCCACACTGGCACCACCCTTGCTATGGGCCCTTGTAGGCAAGGATAATTGTCTCCAAACAACTTACGTTTTCTTTAAAAATTCTTGTCTTCCTTGACCTCCCTGAATGTATTCACTGACTCCCATTGCAATGCTCAATTCCCAAATATTCTTTTCTTCAGAGGGTCTTTCTGTCTCTTATTTAGGTTGGCAATAATAAAGTCAAATTACAAAGAACTCAGAAGAAAGTTCAAACCTGTTTTCAGGGACGAATGGTCTCTCGACACTGTGTCTTCTTAGAGTAGCACCTGGTTCCACCTGTGTGCTGGTTCCGCCTGTGTGCTGGTTCCGCCTGTGTGCCGGTTCCACCTGTGTGCTGGTGTTGGCTCTCGACACTGTGTCTTCTTGGAGCAGCGCCTGGTTCCGCCTGTGTGCTGGTTCCACCTGTGTGCTGGTTCCTCCTGTGTGCTGGTTCCGCCTGTGTGCTGGTGTCCTCCTGTTTTCAGGGATGAATGGTCTCTCGACACTGTGTCTTCTTGGAGCAGCGCCTGGTTCCGCCTGTGTGCTGGTTCCACCTGTGTGCTGGTTCCGCCTGTGTGCTGGTGCCCTCTTTTCTGCCATTATTTTTATTTCCTAAAATGTTTTCCATCCTCTTTTCTTCTGTGTTCAGCCTGTGAGTGCAAAAGTAATTGTGCTGTTTGCATTGTTGGAATTTGCCATTTGATATTGGAAAACATTTTAAAATACATGTGGTTACGTTATGCATCATTTTAATGAGCATTTCTCACTTTATGTTTTTTTGCTAATAACTTATTACTTGCTGTTATTTAACGTTTATTTTAGACTATGGAAATGATGTTAGGAAAAAAGCAAATTCAAGCAATTTTCTTATTCAGGTTCAAAATGGGTCATAAAGTAGCTGAGATGACTTGAAACATCAACGATGCATTTGGCCTCGGAGCTGCTAACGAACGTAGAGTGCAGTGGTGGTTCAAGAGGTTTTGCAAAATGATGAGGGCCTTGAAGATGAAGAGCGTAGTGACAGGCCATCGGAAGTTGACAATGACCAATTGAGAGCAATTATCAAGCTGATCCTCTTACAACCACACAAGAAGCTGCCAAAGAACTCAGCGTCGGCCATTCTATGGTCGTTTGGCATTTGAAGCAAACTGGAAAGGTGGAAAGCTTAATAAGTGGGTGCCTCGCGAGCTGAGTGAAATTTTTTTTAAAAATTGTCATTTTGAAGTGTCTTCTCATTCTACACAACAACGAACCGTTTCTCAATCAGACTGTGACGTGCGACAAAAAGTGGATTTTATACAACAACCCGTGATGACCAGCTCAGTGGTTGGACTGAGAAGAAGCTCCAAAGCACTTCCCAAAGCCAAACTTGCACCAAAAAAGGTCCTGGTCACTGGTGGTCTGTGCCCGTCTGATCCACTACCGTTCTGAATCCAAGTGCAGCCATTACACCTGAGAAGCATGCTCAAAAAACCAATGAGATGCACGAGAAACTGCAATGCCTGCAGCTGGCATTGGTCAATAAAAAGGACCCAACTCTTCTCCACCACAATGCCTGACCACACGTCTCACAACCAACACTTCAAAAGTTGAATGAATTGGGCTACAAATTTTGCCTCATCTGCCATATTCACCTGACCTCTTGCCAGCCGACTACCACTTCTTCGAGCATCTTGACAACTTTTTGCAGGGAAAACACTTCCACACCCAACAGGATGCAGAAAATGTTTTCCAAGAGCTCGTCAAATCCTGAAGCATGGATTTTTATGCTATGGGAATAAACAAACTTATTTCTCCTTGGCAAAAAATGTGCTTATTGTAATGGTTCCTATTTTGATTCATGAAGATGTGTTTGAACCTAGTTATAATGATTTAAAATTCATGGTCCAAAACCACAATTACTTTTGCACCAACCTAATATTTTCTGCTTTATGTGCCATCCAGTTGACTATCTCAATCACTTCCAATACCCACGTGTTTGGTGCTTAGCTGCAATTATTTTATTTTCCAGTTACACAACTTTCATTTGTTGCATTTTTTGAAAAAGATAATTTGTGTCTGATTGGCTCCTCCACCTCATGGCTGGTATTCTTGGAGGACACCTTCATTGTAATCTGCGTCTCTTCACCACAGAGGCTGGTGCTCCCTGATCAGCTTCTCTTGTCCTTTTCTTACAGGGTCTTTGGGTGTCGTTTTTTGGTCCAGAAACCTCTGTGGCTGGTGGCACCTTTGCCTGAGTTTTGCTCAAGCCCACTGTGCTGGTTCTCCCCACTTGGCCTAGCACGCTGTGCTCCACTCACACAACCAGCCTGGGTCCGTGCCTGTTAAGGGCAAGTCAAGCATGGAGCAGCAAGGGGTGCATGAGGGAGTGTGGAGTCCAGCCAGTGTGCAGTCAGCACACCGGTTGCTGCAGTGGGGCAGGCAGCTCCAGGTACCAGCATGGGTGCCAGCTCTCTGCAAGGCTGCGGCTTGACTAGGCACACCACAAGCAGCTTCCATGGCTGGCACTGGGGAATGCAGTGGCACTTGGAGGCCTGAAGACACCAAGAACTGCAGGGCCTCAAAGAGGTAGTCACAGCCTTGGCTTGGGGAGCTCTGAGGTCTGGGATCCCCAGAGGGCCACAGCGCTTCTCTCACTCTCTTTGCCTGCAATGTGGTGAGCAAGGGGAGTATTTCAGCCCCATTTTTATGACAGCTTTTTTAGCCATGCCACTCGGTAGGTCCCAAATTCTTGTCCTGTGACCAGGAAGAATGAAGTATGCAGACAAGTGGAGGGTGAGCAGGATGAAGGGGAGCTTTATTGAGTGATAGAACAGCTCAGAGAAGGGGATAGCTCCTTTCCACAGCCAGAGTGCCCCGATGAGTGTCCAGCTCCTAGCAGATGGTAGCTCCTCTCTGTGGCAGGTCATCCCACCATCTCCCCAGCTCCTAGCAGAGAGGAGGCCCTGGAGTGGGTAGCTCCTCTCTGCAGCAGGTCATCCAGATGTCTGCTCACCTCTGGCTGAGCCCAGAGCTTTTATGGGCCTCAGAGGGGAGGAAGTGAATGCCAAATGATCCGTGGGCAGCCATGGGCAGGCCCAGAAAAGACACCACAAGTTTTCACTTTGGTTTGCAAGACCCCAAACCTTCAGGCCCTTCCTGGTCTGAAGGTGAGGCCTCACCAGGGACCTGTCCCCTCTGCTCAGGAACCTGCTTGCCTCCTGCCATGCTTCATGGCGCCCAGACTGTAGGTGCCAAGGATGCATGCAGGCCAGCCCTGAGCTGCCTTCAGCCTCCCCTTGGCTTCCCTCCTATGCTCCTTGGTGCCCAAAGTCTGGAGGTGGGCTGAGGCAGCAGGGGGCTGGTGTATCAGCACTGCCTGGAGCATGTGCACACCCAGCCAGGCTGAGACAGTGCCTGGGCTTGGCCCTAACTTTGCTCCAAGATTGGAGTGAGTGCCAACAGCAGGGAGAAGCCAGGCAGCAGGAGCAGGAACTTCTGAGCCTGTGAGGTCAGAGGAGGCATTTTTGGGCCCCCAAGAGTGCAGAGATGCCTGGGTCCACAGCCGTGGTTTGGGTGGCTGCAGCTGCACACATGGGGGTGTGGATCCTGCCTGCTCTGTGGAGCAGGAGGCCTGGGTCTGCAGCCATGACATGGGTGTCCTGCCTGCTCCCACCCCATCAACTCAGAGGGGTCAGGGATCCCACCTGTCCTGGCTCCCACTGGCTCTGTGGAATGTGCAGCCTCTGCCGTGCCTCCCCTCTGCAGCGGCTTCTGGCTGCTCTAGATGGGCCTCCCCTGCCATTACTTCTCTTCTCTACTCTCCTTTTATTTTTAGTTTGCTTTGTCCTCTCACTGGTTTACTTGGTAATCTTTAACTGAATGCTATGCTATGAATTGAATGGTGACCACCAATTTATAAGTTGACACCTGACCCTCAGTAATTGAGAATGTGACCTTATTTGAAGATGGAGCCTTTGAAAACATAATCAAGTGAAAATGAGGTCATTCAGGTGGGCTGATCCAGGATGATGGGGGGTCTTGTGACTTCTTATGTCCAGGGGAAAGGAGGACACAGAGCCGCACATAGGGGATGACCACGTGAGGACACAGCAGGAAGGCTGCCGTCCACCCATGAACGGAAGAAGCCCCAGGAGAATGCAACTCTGCCCCCACCTTCATCTCGAACGTCTGTCCTCCCAAATCACAAGAGAACACAGTTGCGCTGCTTAAGACACCCAGTGTGTGATATTTTGTTATGCAGCAACCCTAGCAAACAAATGCAGCCAGTTACAATGTGTGATGCTGTAGAGAGTCCAGGCCAGAGCACGCTGACCACCTTAGCTAAGCATTCCCTTTCTGGCTGTAGCCAGATATGATGTGTGAGTCTGCAGATCATGCTGGCCCCCTTGACGAAGCATGCACTTTCTGGCCTAGGCCGGATACGATGTGTGAGGCCACGGAGAGTCCAGGCCGGAGCACACTGACCGCCTTGGCTAAGCATTCATTTCCGTGTCCTGGCTGCCATCAGAGAGGAGGCAGGTCCCACAGATCTGCTCTTGTTTCTGCTGGTCTGAAGTGGGGTTTCAGTTTCTGTGTGGAACAATTCATTAGGGGTTTGATCTCAAAGCCCAGGCATTGGCCTGTACCTGTTCCTTCACGGAGCCGAACTCCTGCTTATGGTCCCCAGCCTACAGGCAGCCAAATGGGCTAGCCCCAGCCAAGGGGCTGTTTGGCGACCTCTGAACCACAGCTCTCCATGGTCTCTTGTTTTCCAGGCCTGAGCCACTTACAAACTGCAGACGTTTCATTCAGGGAGAAAGCTGCACATGCTCCGAGACCCACCTGAGAAAGCTCCATCCTTTCAGAATCTAGGCCCCTCTGGTCCTGCCATTTTGGTGATATGCTTTGGCTCTGTGTCCCCACCCAAATCTCATCTCAATTTATAATCCCCACGTGTCGAGGGAGGGACCTGGTGGGAGATCATTGGACCATGGGGGCATTTTCTCCCATGCTGTTCTCATGATAGTGCGTGAGTTCTTATAAGAGCTGATGGCTGTAGTGTGGCACTTCCCCGCTCTTTCTCACTCTCTCTCCTGCCACCTTGTGAGGAAGGTCCTTCTTCCCTTTCACCTCCACTATGATTGTAAGTTTCCTGAGGCCTCCGTAGCCATGTGGACCTCTAAGTCAATTAAACCTCTTGTTTATAAATTACCCAGGCTTAGGTAGTATCTTTATAGCAGTGGGAGTAACCTTGAGTGCTGAATTTTTTCTGGACAGCTGTGTTTGTCTGCTCAGAACTCAGCATATGGTTTGGCTGTCACCCATGTCTTTAAGGTCAGCTCTCTGGACTCTCCAGCCCTAGATAACACTGCACTAGCAAATGCCCAGAAAGGGAGAACCCCACAAAAAGCCAGGCCTGCCTCAACCTGCTTCTCTTCTGTCCAGAATGCGGCCCCTTGGTGAGTCTGAGATAGCGCCTGGAAGACATCTCTTCTTTTGTCCAGTGGTTCTCATTCCTGGTGGGAAGATTAGTCAGCAGGATGGCTCTGCCAAAATTGGAAGTGAAATTTTAAGAATACAGTATTTAGGAAAATAGTTTGAATATTCCTCAAGGAAAATGGCAATAGCAAGAAAGAGAATTGATAATAGTTTCTGGAAAAAATACTGTGCTGAGATAAGAATTGATGAATCAGGAAGTTAGCAGAAGAGCTGGCCATTCATTCGATTCACCTTTGATTCACGTGCTCCCGCTCCTGATTCCTTCTCTGTTGAGATACTGCTCTTTCCCTGAGTCGTGATGTAGTCACCGGTTTAAACTTTATGAGTTTTAAATTTTATGCTTTTGGGAGTCTTATTTAGGAAATCTACACTAGCCTTATACCATAAAGATGTTTGGGTACATATTCTATGCACTTAATAATTTTCCTCTAATATTTACATTTTTAAGCTTTAAAAGGTTACTTTTATGTGTGGTTTAAGTGAAGGATGGTGATTTATTATTCATCATACAATGAACCAGGTTTCTAACCATGCTAGTGAGTATGAGAAGGTATTTCATTGTAGTTCTAATTTGCATTTCCCCGAAGATGAATGACATTGAGCATTTTTGCATTTGCTTATCAGCCATCCATATGTCTTCTTTGGTAAAGTGCATGTTCATATGTTTTGACAATTTTTTTTATTATACTTAAAGTTCTAGGGTACATGTGCACAACGTGCAGGTTAGTTACATATGTATACATGTGGCATGTTGGTGTGCTACACCCATTAACTCATCATTTAACATTAGGTATATCTCCTAATGCTATCCCTCCCCCCTCCCCCCACCCCACAACAGGCCCCGGTGTGTGATGTTCCCTTTCATGTTTCCATGTGTTCCCGTTGTTCAGTTCCCACCTATGAGTGGGAACATGCAGTGTTTGGTATTTTGTCCTTGCGATAGTTTGCTGAGAATGATGGTTTCCAGCTTCATCCATGTCCCTACAAAGGACATGAACTCACCATTTTTTATGGCTGCATTGTGGAAGTCAGTGTGGCGATTCCTCAGGGATCTAGAACTAGAAATACCATTTGACCCAGCCATCCCATTACTGGGTATATACCCAAAGGATTATAAATCATGCTGCTATAAAGACACATGCACACATATGTTTATTGCGGCACTATTCACAATAGCAAAGACTTGGAACCAACCCAAATGTCCAACAATGATAGACTGGATTAAGAAAATGTGGCACATTTACACCATGTTTTGACAAATTTTTAATCTCACCTTTGAGAAAATCAATTGACAGTAAATGTTGGGATTTATTCCTGGACTCTCATCTGTTCCCTGGTCTCTACATGTATCTTCACGCTGGTGCCACATGTCCTGATAGCTGCCATTTCCTAGTATGCTTCAAAATCAGGAAGTTAAAGTCTTTTATCTATTTTTTTTTCAAAATTGATTTGGTTATTCTTGGCATTTTTCATTTTCATAAAAATATTAGGATAAGGTTGTCAATTTCTTTAAAAAGCTGTATGGAATTTTGATGGAGAGTGCATTGAATCCATATCAATTTGGAGAGAATTGTCTTCTTGATTAGCTTTCTATTGTAAGAAATTACCACAAATTTAATGGCTAAAATTAGCACAGATTTATTACCTCACAGCTCTGGAAGTCAGAAGTCCAAAGTTGGTTTCACCAGGCTAAGATGAAGGTGTTGGCAGGGTTGTATTCCTTCCACAGGCCCCAGAAGTCTTTTTCCTGGCATTTTCCATGTTCTAGAGGCACCTGACTTCTTCAGCCAGTGGCCCTTCCCTCTGCCTTCCTTCCTGTAGCTCTCCCACCTCCCGCTTTTTCCCACAGGGATCCACATGATGACACTAGACTGGCCCAGGCAATGCAGGAGAATCTCATCACTCAAAATCCTTCAGCACACCTGCAATGCCAATTTTTGCCAAGTAACATATTCAAAGGTGTCTGGGATTTGAACATGTTATCTTGTGGGGTGGGGCATTATTTTGCACATTAAATCAATGTTAAGTCTCACAATCCATGAACAGAAAATGTCTCTCCATATCTTTAAAGCCACTTTAATTCCTATTAGTAACATTTTCTAATTTACAATGCACGTGACTTGCACTACTTTTGTTAAATTTATTCCTACGTATTTCATAATTTTGGATGATATGAATAAAATTGCATTCTTAATTGCCTTTTCAGGTTGTTCATTGCTTACATATGGAAATACAATTGATTTCATATTAATTTGTATTCTGTAAACTTGCTGTGCTTTCAAAAATTAGTTTTAATAGTTGTTTGTGGATTCCTCAGGATTTTTTACGTGCAGACTCTGACATCTCCAAATGCAAATAGTGTATTTCTTTCTTCCAATGTGGGCGTCTTTTTGCCCTGTTCGCACAGGGTGTACCAGGTTGGAAAGGAGATGAGAGGAGATGTCCTTGCCTTTTTGCTGAACTCAGAGGGATGTGGTCCGTCCCCCTCCATTTAGCCTGGTGTCGGCTTGGGGATTGTATTTACATTTTCTTTATCGGTTTTTAGTTTATTAGATTCCTAGTTTGTGGAGTGCTTTTGTCATGAAAGTGTATTGAATTTTGTTCAGTGCTTTTTCTGCATCTATTGAAATGATTATGTGGTTTTTGTACAAATAGGATGCTTTACATTGATTTTTGAATGTTAAACCAACCTCTTTTCTCTGGGACAAATCCCTCTTGATCATAGTGTTTAGCCTTGTTGTAATGTGATGTGGCTTTAGTTTGCTAATATTTTGTCAAGAGCTTTTCCATTTATGTATGAGAGATATTGGTCTGCAGTTTTCTTTCTTGCTATGCCTTTGGCTTTTCTATCAGGGTGATAGACAGGTGTCCATCAGGGTGATAGACAGGTAAACAGCACAGTACACTTTCAGTCTCTTGCTAAAATTCTCAGTTGCAAGCAACAATGAGGATTTCCAAGCCTTTGATTTGATTTTAAAGCCCTGTATTACTTTTTACAAAATGCAATGAGTTCATTCAGCAGTTCTGTGTCCATCTATCTTTTGTGAAAGGTGGGCTCAACACACACACTCTCTTGTCTCATTGAATCATAGAATGAGTTGTTAATCATTCTTTTCTCCTCTATTTAATGGCAGAGTTTGTGAGATATTGATATTACATGTTTAAATATTTGATAAAAAATTACTATCTGGGTGAGACCATCTGGGCCTGAATTTTTCTTTGTCTGAAGATTTTTAATTCTTCATTCAACTTCTTTACTTGCTATACATTTATTCAGATTTTCTATTATATCTGGAGTCATTTTGCTAATTTGTTCCTTTCTAGAAATTTGACAACTATATCAATGTCGTAGAATTTATTCCCAAAATGTTGTTCAGAGAATTCTTTTGTAATTTTTAATTTCAGAGGAGTCACCGGTAATGTCTCCTCTTTCATTCATAAATTTCACTATCTGTGTCTTCTCTTCTCTGCCTTTTTTTTTCGTTTGTTTTGTTTTGTTTCGTTTGACAGAGTCTTGCTCTGTCGCCCAGGCTGGAGTGCGGTGGCCCAATCTCGGCTCACTGCAACCTCTGCCTCCTGAGTTCAAGCGATTCTCCTGCTTTAGCCTCCTGAGTAGCTGGGATTATAGGCACGCGCCACCATGCCCAGCTAATTTTCTTGTATTTTTAGTAGAGACAGGGTTTCACCATGTTGGTCAGGCTGCTCTCAAAATCCTGACCTCGGGATATGCCCACTTCCACCCCCCAAAGTGCTGGGATTACAGGCATGAGCCACCACGCCTGGCCTGTCTTTTTTTTTCTTCAAGCTAAAGGCTTATCAATTTTGTTGATCTTTTCAAAGCATGAACTTTTGGTTCCCTCAAATTTTCTCTATTTTTCTATTTCATTAATTCTTTAATCTTTAGTGTTTCTTTTATTGGCCTGTCTTCAGTTTAATTTGCTTTTCTTTTTCTAGGTTTTCAGTGCAGAAGCTCAGATTATTGACTTCAGATCTTTGTTATCTTTTCATGGAGGCATTTAAAGCTATAAAATTTCCTCTAAGCACTGCTTTAGCTTGTCCCATAACTTTTGATGTGTTGATTTTATTGTCATTTAGAAAAGCATACTTTCTAATTTCCCTTGTAATTTCTCTTTTGACTCATGAATTATTTAGAAATGTGTTGTTTAATTTATAAATACTTTTGGATTTCTCAAATTTCCTTCTGTTGTTAATTTCCAATTTAAATCAATTGTGGCCCAAGAGCATTGCCTGCATGATATCAGCACTTTCAAATGAGTCAATACTTGTTAAGTTGCCATATTAAGTATATATTTCATTTATTCTATTAGCCATTATTAGCCCTGAGATGTGATAGGTTCTTATTTATGGTTATTTTGTTAACTTCTCTCAAGCAAGCCCAAAATTAAATAACACATCACACTTTCAGTCTCTTGCTGAAATTCTCAGTTGCAAGCAACAGTGAGGGTTTCCAAACCTTCACTGTGATTTTAAACCCTGTATTATTTTTATAAAAATGGAATGGATTCTTCCATCATTTATGTGTCCATTTATCTTTTGTGAAAATTGGGCTCAACACACATTCTCTTCTAAAGCGTTTTTGCCCTGCACAGTGAATAAGCACAGAAAAAAAGAACTTGCGGAAGGCAATGTGTCCCCATCCCGTAGACTCATCTTCTCAGCCTCTGTAATGGTAAAAGATGGGACTTAAATTGCTTGCTTGTGACAGAATTCGTGTAAGCAACTAGAATACCAGGTAAGAAATGAGTTGTTCTGGGAGTTCAGAGAGTGGGTAGCAGCCGGGATTGCTGGATTTGCCAAATAAAAATACAGGATGCCCACCTAAATTTAAACTTCAGATAAACAGTCCCCCGTTTTAAGTAGGTCCCATCCAGTTCTCAGCAGCTATTTATACTAGAACAGAAGGTGCTGTTGATATGACATGAGAGCTTAGCAGGTGCTCTGTGTTGTATGTGTTGATCCCAAAGTGACTGCAAGGATGCGGCTCTAGGATAGGACAGCATCCACACTGTTCCACCCCGGCTCCCTTCTGCCCACCGGCCTCCCTTCCAATGGGCCTGGGGTCCAGCAGCCAACCAGCTAAGGTCATGGGCCCCAGAGACCACCTCCCTGGGCCAGAGCATGGCAGAGGTGGATCCTGTCTGAGAAGAGACAGGCACGCTCTGCAGAGAATGTGCCGGAGCTCATGCCCAGGCGTGGATTGATGGTCACTACCTGGCCCATTCCGCTCATTTCCAGGCAATTCCAAATAGCCTCCAAGGTGGCTGCATCATGTTGGCTTACCAACCTGGGCTGTCCCTCCACAAAGTCTATTCAACACTGCCTGGCATCGGCAGACCTTGCAGTGCTGCAGTATTAGATATAAAAGGCATCTCATCAAGCTTTTCATTTACATTTTCTGATTATTAATGATTCATATGAATTTTGGTCTTTGGAGTGACAGTTTGCAATTCTTGCCCACTTTGCATCAGTTTTTATTTCATCTTTTATTGATTTGTAGGTATTCTTTACATACTCTGAATTCAAATTTTTGTTAGTTTAAGAAGTTTCGGGTGTCTTCTCTTTTCCTTTTATTTTGCAACTTGATGAAGCGTATAGTTTGGAACTAAAGCAAGACTCCAAGGGCACCAGAAACAAGAGCTATCTTGGTCACCAGAACGGTGCTGTGCTAAGCATCTTGCAAACTGACCAACTGGCTTTAAAACAAAATGGAACTCTCCTAGGTTCTTTCTAAAGTTCCTCCCTAAACTCCCCTGTAAGTATTCCTGGATGAAGGTGCCCATGGCACTCAAGGGGTTCCCAGGGGTATGAATTATAAGGTGAACTACATTCAGGTGTCTAATAGGACCCCTGCTAAAAAGCAACCTGCACCCTGCTCTTGAGTTCAGCGGTTCGCTGGGGATGAAGGCAGACACTGGGGCCCTAGTGCAAGGGCGTCAGCACATGGCAGGTGTCAGGGAGGAAGCCAGGGTGGAGACGACACAGGGACGGCTTGGAGGGGGAGCACCTTCAGGTGTGGCCTGGAATTGTGCATGGGAATTTTAAAACTTGAAATGAAAGATGGGAGAGGGGGAAGACGTGAACAAATGCCAAATGCTTGAACATTCTGGTCACTGATAATGAAGGGCAAGAGTCAAAGTGTTTTCTGTGCAGAAAATTGAAAATATTCTTGGAAAATATATATTGAGAAATCTGTAAACCTTGACACTTCATCAAAATCTATTCCATCTGGGAGCATTTAGGGCTTTAACTTACTGACCTAAAAAATGAATTTCCTATCTGTCAGAGTTAATACTGTGACTTTTTTTTTTTTTTTTTTTTTTTTTTGAGACAAAGTCTCACTCTCACCCAGGCTGGAGTGCAGTGACACAATCATGGCTCACTGCAGCCTCGACCTCCTGGGCTCAAATGACCCTTCCACCTTAGCCCCCTGAATAGCTAGGACTACAAGTGTGCACCACCACACCCAGCTAATTAAAAAAAAAATTGTAAAGACAAGGTCTCACTATGTTGCCCAGGCTGGTTTTGAACTCCTGGACTTAAGAGATCCTCTTGCCTCAGCATCCCAAAGGGCTGAGCTTACAGGCATGAGCCACCAAGGCTGGCAATTGTAACTTTTTAAGTCTTGGCTTGGAATGTGGGGAATATTAACTTTCATGAAGAAATATAACATAGCTCATGTCAGCAGAGACACTGTTTTCAGGCTCTTCCATATAGAAATAAAATACAGAGATGAAATAGGATGTTTCTGTTGGGAAAAAGGTGACTAAGAAGTGAGAAGGAACACCAGTCCAGTTGCTAAGCTTGAGTTGAGTGTGCGTGTGTCTCTGTCCCTCCGTGCTGCTGTAACAAAATACCACAGACTGGGTAATTCACAAGTAATAGAAAGTAACTTAAAAGCAATGGAAATTTATTTTTCACAGTGCTGAAGGCTGGGAGTCCAAGATCAAGTTGCTGGCAGGGTCGGTGTCTGGTGAAGGCTGCTGTCTGTATCCAAGGTGGCCTTGGGGCGGGTGCCTGGTCCTCACTGGGTGGTAGGCGGAAGGCCTGTGGCAGCCTTAGCCGCCTTCCTCCAGCCCCTGCACAAGGCAATCATCCCTTCACTTCCCAAGGGCCCCGCATCCTCACGCCACCACAATGGGATTCAGTTTCAACATGAATTTGAAGGGTCACACGTTGAAACCACAGTAGACTCTCTTTTTTTAAATTTAGAGCTGTGCACTGTTGAGTTGATCACGATGAGAACAGTGAGTGTCTCTCACCTGTGGCTGCACTTGCTGGAAGCACCGCCTGCTCTGGCCTCTTTGCTCCAGAACATTCCCTGCTGAACAGTGACACCAGGGAAGGCCAAGGATGGGCACACAAGGCTCAGTCCTTCACCTGATGGCGGCTTGGCCATGTTCATCTTTCCCTTTTCTCAAAGACCTGTGTGGGGCCAGAGAAAGCTGGGGTTTCCGGTGGCCTGCAGTGTGGCAGAAAGCAGAGCCTTCCACTGGGAAAAGGGGAAAAAGGGAATTCTTCCGAAGAGAAGGATGAAGCCAGCAGCAGGGGTCCCGGCAGGCCTGACCCCCATGGAGCTGATGAGGCCGAGTGTCAGGAAGCACTCCCATTGTCCTCGAAAACAGACACAGGTCAACCTGCGTTACGGGGTCTGCGAGGTCATCAGATAACCCCACAGTGTCGAATACTGTAACTACATGCCTGCCTAAGATGACCTGGTATACTGTAGGTGCACACAAGATTCTCCATAGTGAAAGTACATATACAATTGTTGCTAATTTTTGATCCTAGAAAATCCACTGGATTGATACTTTAGAAGAGGATAATGGATAAAATCAATCGATCGGAAAATTCAAATATTTAGAAAATACTAGTTTCAATCTACTGTAAAAATATCATAAATTTGTACTGAACTATTTTTCCTTATTACAAAAATATTCGAGCAATAAAAATGTCGGATATTACTGTGGACTATGCTGTAATTGCTTATCTGAAAATCACATTTATGTTGATATGCGGGAACCCTTGACATTACCTTTTATGTTCCCTTGGACACTGAGGTGTTGTGTAGGGTGATTTTGATAAGCAAGTTTTATTCCTGGAATATCTGATACAGCATTTACTCCTTCATATAATGTGATCATAAAACAAGGAGACTGGTTTTAGCAGGGGTTTCTGAACACGATTTGTATGATATGCATTATCTATACTACAATGAACTTATGCCATCCTCTAGACAGACATAAGCACCTTTGGGCAAATTATATTAATTTAGTGTTCCCAAATTTTTGTAACATTTCCTGGAATAAGGAAAATGTACCATTTATAATTGTCATATGGGAGAGCACTAGATTCTTTAATATCTATTACCTTGTAGCTATAATCAGATCAAAACATTTTTAATGCAATAGGTATATTGTTATTTTTCTTTTTGAAATACATACCGACAAAATAGTGGCAAAAGATTTTAGTCTTTTCCTTAAGGTTTAACAAGCAGAGGAGCTATGGACTATAACCAAAGGGATAAAAGCGGAATTTCATCTTTTAAAAGAAAAAAAGATCAAATTACTGCCTGGGGCGGCGTTATAATGAGACGTCTCTCAGGAAGCTGAGCACATCTGCGCCCACCTTCTAACCTCCACGGGACGGCACAGGCCACAGCCCAGCCGTGAGCTCCAGCCCTGGAAAGAGTCGCTCGTGCGGACGAGGATAATTCAGGGAAAAGTGCCTGGATGGAAAACTCATCTTCCAAATCTAATTAACACAGACTTATTTTTTATTAACAGGAAGACCAGAGGCAGAATGATGAGGACTTCAGTTTCTGTCCTTACATTCCTGGGGGTGGGGATGGCTTGGGTTTCTCCGCAGATGAAAAATGATGCGAAAACATGGGTTGGAGGAGGAGGTTTTGCTCCCTCCCCTGTCACTCATAACAAATGCTGATGTGAAGGTTGTTCTTCCGAAGAGCTTTACACTGTGATAAGCAGATAGTGTGAGGTCGTGTCTATGATGACACCATAGGAGGGAAAACAAAAGCCCTGGAGTGCCTGGTGTCCCAGCTAAGAAGACGGCCGTCTCCAGGCTGCCTACTGTGCGAGTCGGTGAATCAAACGCTGGTTTCCAGGGGAAAACGACGTTTTCCTGAAGCAAAAAGAGGAACTGGCCATGGGCATGGGGGTGAGTGCAGGTGGGGTCCATTCCACACCCCTCGGCTCTCCCCTGCGTGGTGCCTGCTCGGGTTGTGGAAGAGAGTGAGTGTCTACTGGCAAACACGGGGCCTACTGGATCTTGTCCCATTGCTATGTTTTGTAACTGGACAGACTGACGCCACTCCTGCCCTTGCTGGGCTCCCCTCACCAGCAAATGCACTGTTGCCTGTTGCAGGACCAACTCACGTCCACAGAGCCGTGCACAGGGACCTCGGTTGTTCTGATAGCTTGAGAAATTCTTCCAAAGTTTGTAATTCTGAAGGCCTCGTGCCGACAGAGCCAGTGGGCAGCCCTGCCAAGTTCCCTAAGGCCCCAGGAGGACACACGGGGCCTTCGGAGTCCTGTGGTCCTGGACACAGGAGGGCGGCAGCCTTCTGCTGAGCCCAGCACGTCATCGTGTTTATGTCTCTGCAGAGGAAACACAGCAGCCTTAGCAGGATCCTGGACCCTGGTGTGCACACTGCACTCGGGGTCACTCCTACCCTTTATCGGGTGATTTGTGGATGCCCAGCTTCACCCAAGGCTGTCCTGTGGCTGCAGGATGCCTGCTGTCCCCCTCAGCCTGTGGGGCCCAGGAGGTCAGAAGGTGCTGGCTGATGTATCCCTGTGATCAGGGCTCTGTGGGGAATCTCTGGGGGTCTCAGTTGCCCCACATGGATTCGGCAAGCCCAGAGTCAGCGTCGCCTTTTGGGGCAGATGCTGCCTGTCCTGTGTCAGCCCCCATGGCCCCCTGGGCCCCCTAAACCTGGGTGCTGGCTGCGGGCTGTCTGGCGACCTGCAGACTGAGCTGCCTGTGATGACCAGATGTGGTCTCATTCTCCAGGCCATGACGTGGGATGGCCCAGGCAGGTGTCCTGATCCACTGTACAGGGTAGAGGGTGGAGCTGGCAGCCTCAGTTGGTTTAGGGATGGGAGCCACATCCACCTCTGCAGCCTGACACAGTCAGGGGCTCCTGGGACCACCTACCAGGGAGCACTCGGCCTCTGTGCATACCTGGATAAGCACCATATGCTGTTGCTCATGAAGAGTGGACCGTTCCCACTCCAGACGGCCCAGAGCACACAGAGAAAGGCCATGTCCCAGAGGTCAGGTTCGTGAGCCCAGCGTTGGGCCCTCCCAGGAACTGACAGACTTTTAGAGACCATGGGTCTTCCCTGCCTCCCATTCCCACCTGAGACAGCCGAGGAAGGGCCCAACTGACCGCAGGGCTGAGAACACTTACTTCAGACCTTTCACAGCCACCTCCAGGAAACAGCAAGACAGCCCTGAACTGCCTTCCAGTGCCGGGGAGCAGGGCTGCGGGCTGGGGAGATTTGGGACAGGACACGCAGGGCCGTGATGTCCGGACAGATGAGGCACCGTCGACGTCCAGACACCACTCAGAAGGAGTTTCAGGAGGACACTGGGGAGGCCAGAGCCACAGCCGTGGTGGCCCGAGGCCCAGCTGGGAAGCGTCCGGGATGGGGAAGGGTTTCCACAAAGAAACTCAGCCCGGAGGGCTCTGCTGTGACTCCTGCCAAGATAGGAATGAAATGATGCCCATGCCCCATGAATTCCTTCACAAACTCAAGGAGAAGGACCATTCCCCCACTTATGCAATCCAGCCAGCATCACCCCGATACCAAACCCAGAGGCAAGAGCGGCTGCGCAGCAGCCTTCGTGAACACAGATGCTGGGCTCATAACCACAGGTTTCGATCCAGCAGGGAACACAGCTCCTCGCTTGGTTGAACATTCAGGTGACATTGATGGATTTGTCCTGTTTACAGAAAGAGAAACCCGTGACTACCTCAGTACATGCAGAAAACACATTTCACAAAATCAAACACTGACTCAAAAAACAAACAGGTGCTAGCAAACAAGGACTAGAACGAGGGAGCTTCCTCAAGCTCCTCCAGGGCCTTGATGAAAACCCTAGAGCCAGCGTCCCACGTAGCATGGGATGGAGGGGTTCCCTGCAGTCCGTCTCCCTCCCAGGAGCCTCACGCCGGACGTCCTGCCCAGGGTAATGAGGCCGGGAGAAAAAGACCAACAGCTGCCTCCATTCAGAAGACATGCTTGTCTACGCAGAGAATCACAGGGAATTTAGGAAAAAGCTACTAAGATAAGTACATGAGTTTAGCAAGTTTTCAGGACACTCAGCCAATACCTAAAAATAAGTTGAGTTTTTACGTAATAGCAACAAGTGATTGGAAATTGTAACTTTTAAAAAAATTACCATTTATAAGAGCACCCAAAATATGAGATATTTAGGGTTATTTTTACATTTACTTCTGTCAGTACCCCCCGCAGCTGCCAATGGCCGGAGAATAACTTCGTGTTATTTTACCAGCTGGGAGACTGTTATTCTACACAAAGCAAAGTTGAACTCCAAGCCCATGTGAGGGCTGATCTCCACTTATAAATGCACGACAGCAATGTCTCATTTCCACCTCTAAGTACTGGCCAACTTCTGTGATGCCTTCCTTTCCACTAGGTTTTTTTTTTTTTTTTTTTAATTCACACTATCACTGAGACATCTCTTCATGAACCGTGGCTGTATCTGTGTTGCAACTCAAATGTGGTGGCCATTCAAATCGCCACCCTCTGCATAATTAAAAGCAACCCAGGGAGAACAACTACTGTGAGGGATTATGGAGGTTTTCAAAAAGCTATGGTGAGTTTTAAGTCACATTTGGATATCTACTTTTTGTAGATTTTATTTTTTCTCAAAAACCTTGTTATTTGTAGTTATTTATTATACACTTCTACATACTAATACATGATTGTTTAGATATATATCTGGTATGTATTTAGGAGTAAATATTTTAGTTTAGAAGTATAAAATAAAAATAATAAAACAATTGTAAACCTGGTCACAATTCTAAATTTGAGAGCGAAAGAAACATGAATGGTAAAAGATAGAATAAGATAAATTTATGCATTTCTTTACTTCATTCACGATGTTGGGCACAGTAAGTTATTTGAATGAGAATGAGAATTAATTCCTTCACATTTTGAGAACTAAAAATAAGGAACATTCTCATCCAGAATAGTGACTTAAGTGCTTTTACAACCACCCCCGCATTTAATAATTAAGCAGGTGAGGTTGGCTGAAGTTAAAATGTATTTTTGGCCTTTTTATTAAGATGATGATGCCGCTGTGTATTTCCATGAGCGATGAAGAAGACGCCCATGCCTTATTCCAGGTGCTGATTTGGAAACTGTTCATTAAAACTTTCATGCTGTTCCTATAATTGTCCCTCTCACAGTTTTTTCTTTAATCCACTCTGTCATTTCTAAATAATGAAAAGGGTTTTAAAACTAGTGAATAATCAGGCCCTGTGGAATCAGAGGTGAGCACAACATGAAAATGACTGCGTTGGATTCACACCAGATTCATTTCAGATCCGTCATGTTCCTCAATGCTGCACTTGCTGTCGTGATTTTTAGGAACAAAAAAGTGAGGGGAAGAGTCTCACAACTCCCAAACGCACTGGGTTTTTCCAAGCACGGTGACACACACAGCTAGGTGATTAGCTATTAATTATCTAACTGAGGTGAAGGGCCTTCTTTTGGGAAGAAAATGCCTTGTACTGGCTGTGGAACATTGATTCACTCCCTGGAAATTTTTGTAAATTCAGTTTCAATTTTTTTTCGGTGTAATGTAACAGTAAGGCAATTTATTTTCATATTATGGATCTATAAGGGGAATGTGGCTGCTGGAAGCTGTAATCGGTTATCAGGCTTAATTGATGTTCATGGGGGCAGAGTCTTACATATTTCCGAGGTGTGGCTACTTTTAAAAATACACCCGCCAGCGGAGCATCCCCTTCCAACAGACTCCAACAGACCAATAATAACCCCCTGGCAGTGATGGCTCCTCAAGCTCCTGATGCAGCCTGGAGGGCTTTTTGGCTGGAGCCTCAGGCAGGCCTGAAAGGAAGAATTCCGGGCCCCCCAGGGATCACTGCTTCCTGCTGAGTCACTGCCCAGCCACACACCTGCCAGCCAGAAGGGCCCTTTCAGACCGTCACAGGCAGGCCCCTGCCTCCACACCACCTCAAATACCATCACACGTGGACTGTAATCCTGAAAACAGCCTCTATGATACCCCCTCTCCTTTGTCCTTTTCCTTAAAGGCTCAGATCTCTCTTTTGTTCTCCAGGACGTTTCTCAAGGTACCCTGAAACTTTCCTGCCATCCCTCTAATTTGGCTCGAATAAACTCTTCATTGTTTAAGCTGCCTCAGTTATTTCAGGTCCACCTAAGCTTCCCATCCTCAGTGCTTTCCACAGTGCCAATGGCCAGCTTTCTAGAACACAACCTCACCTCACTTCCCCTCCTCAGACCCCGTGCAGCCCACTCCTGCCTCTCGGGTGCACCAGGCTGGGGGTCACACGGTGCCTGCTGGGTGGGTGAGCCAGGCTGGGGGACAATGTGTCTGCTGGGTGGGGCTCCATTCTAGGGGTCACAGGGTGCCTGCTGTGGGGAGGCAGGATGGGGGCCAGTGTGTCTGCTGGGTGGGGGCACCAGACTGGGGGACAGTGTGTCTGCTGGGTGGGGCTTCAAGCTGGGGGACAGTGTTCCTGCTCGGGGGGCAGCCTGGGGGACAGTGTGTCTGCTGGGTGCCAGGCTGGGGGTCACAGGGTGCCTGCTGGGTGGGGGCACCAGGCTGGGGGACAATGTGTCTGCTGGGTGGGGCACCAGGCTGGGGGACAGCGTGCCTGCTGGGTGGGGGCACCAGACTGTGGGACAGTGTGTCTGCTGGGTGGGGCTTCAAGCTGGCAGAGAGTGTTCCTGCTTGGGGGGCAGGCTGGGGGACGGCGTGTCTGCTGGGTGGGGCATCAGGCTGGGGGACAGTGCCTGCTGGGTGGGGTTCCATTCTGAGGGTCACAGGGTGCCTGCTGGGGGGAAACAGGATGGGAGCCAGTGTGTCTGCTGGGTGGGGGCACCAGACTGGGGGAGAGGATGCCTGCTAGGTGGGGGCGCCAGGCCTGGGGGACAGGGTACCTGCTGGGGGGGCACTGGCACCAGGCTGTGGGCATGGGAGCCCGTGTTCACACCAGGTACACGCCTCACGCTCCACCAGCAGTTGGCCCTCTTCACATGTGTTTCTTCCTTCAAAAGACAATTATTAACTAAAGTGCTGGAGATAAGAGGTGAGCCAGACACCCCAAGACCCATCCTTTCATGCAAGTGTGGTGTGGACAAACCCCAACGAAACTCTCAGAGTGACAATGAGCACAGGCAGCAGGAACATCCAAGGCTGCACACAGTCTCCTCGGACAGAAGCCCTTGGAAGCCACACATTTGTCTAATTAAGAGGATGACATTGTTGTCTTTAACCCAACAGTGCGGGAGCACAGAAGCTGCCTGTTTGTGCACTGACTGTGTGAGCACGTGTGTGCTGCAGCCGGGGATTTTCACTTGGATGCTCCCTCAGCAGTTTCCTCCAAGGTACTCAGATGCATTCACCATTTAAGAAAATGATTTTTTTCTACATTTTTTCATAAGTGAAGGAAATTCCACATAGGGCCTGAGCTGATGGTTAACACAGTTCTAATCACCATGCGTGGTTGACCTGGGACGGGCCACATCTTTCTCAGATGTTGACACCGTTCACTCATTTAGTGCTCTTACCACCATCTCTGAAGTAACACGGTGCCCTTTTTGGGCTGATAAAACTCAAACAGAAGATGTACTCTGCCCAGGATCACAGACGGTAATAACAGAGTCAGGAATTCAACCTCTTCTGGAATTAAAAACCTGTGGTTCTTCTGGTTATATTTTAGATCAAAGTAAGCAGCGTTGGAGGCCTGAAATGCAGCGACTGACCACGGTCTCACAGATCCCACACCATCAGCCCCTCTTCTCTTAAGGACCGTGATATACAAAGAGTGGGGTTTTAGGGAATGTCACTCCTAAAGTGTCCATTCAGCTTTTAGAGATATTTGCCCCCACACGGGTTAATGAAGTCAAATGGCATAAATTAGCTGCCCGGAGCCTTGGCCGGCCCACACTGCGGTGGGAACCTGAGGCAGCACCCGGTCCCACAGCACCAGCTGGTGTCCTGGGTGGTCACCCTCCATTGTCCAGACCCAGCTCCTGGGCCCCCGCTCTGAATTTCCTTGCTGTGTCCCGTTTACGCCTTTCTTCCCTCCTGCTTTTCTTCTTAATTCAGTGCCGGGTCCAGGGCATTGCTGTCCTTTGGGAAATGGGGTGGTTTATGCTCTAGGGTTCCATGAACTGCTTCTCACCTGTTGTTGGTGGCCGTGTCTCAGGGCCTTGGATAAAATGCAGAGTCCTCGAATTCACGTGCTATTTCTCGCCGGTTTCTCTTCAAATGATTCTTTCCCTGCCATTTTCCATATATTCTGTGTATACATCCTAACACGTGAAATTCCAGAATTTACCCTCCGTCTCAGACACTCTTTAACTTTCACACACCATCTCGTTTTCTAGTCAGACTTCCAGAAACAAATTGGTGTTGACCTACCATTAAATTAAATATCTAAATAGCAGACCCACAATTTTCATGGATAATTTCATATGAGACTATTAAATAGTTAAATTAATTCAGTTTAAAGATGAATATTGGATAACTAGGAATATGCCAGGTGTACAAGGAAGACAACGTTGTGAAGATCCTTAAATGCTGAAGGCCTGACAGTTGCTGAGCAGCAGGCACCTCTCTGAGCTGGCTCATGGTCTGGGTCTCCAGAAAAGCCACCCTGACCCTGCGGCCTCAGAGGTGATCTCCCCAGCCTACCCCGAGCGAAGCAGCTCTGGTGGGCTCACTTGCATGGCTGGCTGCACTCACCCTCACTGGTGAATCCGACACCGGGTCACCTGTCCACCCAGGAGCCCGTGTGGCTGTGGAGCCGGGCTGGGCGTTATGCTCACTTGCACGGCTGGCTGCACTCACCCTCACTGGTGACTCTGACACCAGGTCACCTGTCTACCCAGGAGCCCGTGTGGCTGTGGAGCCGGGCTGGGCGTTATGCTCAGAGCAGCCTGTGTAGGGCTGCTTTGACTTCTCAGGAGGTCATTGGTCAACTTTCCCATGCACTGTTGATGGAGGGTCTGTGTCGCGTCAGCTGCTGAGCTGGGCTCCATCCTCGGTATGTTAGAGAGCAACACGGAGAAGCTGCCCTGTGTGGATTTGAGAAGACACTACCCTGAATAGATAGGCACAGCAGGAGATGCATGAGAAATAGACTTTGGAGTCCATTCTTGGAAAGGGTATTTAATCCCCACCTCTTTTTCCCATGGATGAGAATGGGTCCCGCCCTGGAGTCCTGGGAAGGGCAGAACACAGGACCCTGGGCTCTGGGCAGATGGACAGACAGCAGGTTATTAATCACAGCCCTGGGCAGGAGCACTGCAGACCACCTGAGGGTGCCTCGGGAGCCGTGTGAAGAGACAGGGCCTCGGGAGGCAGGCTTGGTAGTAACAAGACGGGGAGGCAATGCCTGGCTCCTGAAGAATGATGGAATTGACTGACTTGAACAGTTTTGCCAGCCGGCCAGGAGCTGAATGAGGCTCTCTGCTCAGGTGGAGCTGGTGCCTGGTCCCTGGGAGGAGGGGGGCATTTGTCTATGGGGTCTCACCCAAGGGAGCAGAGTGTGGAGGGGACAGTGGCAAGGTCATTTGGGGCCTCTTGATTTCCCCTGATGCCAAAGCTCACATAATATTGAACCTTAATCTTAGATCTTAGAAAACCATGTGACTGAAGCCTTGGGGGCTAGCTGAGTTCTCCAGGGAATGAATGGAGTTGGCCTGTGCACAGCACAGATGTACACTGTGCAGGTCCCTTACATGTCTGTTTTCTACCTGCTCCACCACCTCTGAATCAGCCATACTGACCTCTCCTCTCCCACAGCACAGATGTATGCTGAGCAGGTCCCTTACACACCTGTTTCTACCTGCTCTACCACCTCTGAAACAGCCACATTGACCCCTCTTCTCCCCCCTCCTCCTCAGCCTGCTCAACAGGAAGACAAGAATGAAGACCTTTATATGGTCTACCTCCACTTAATGAATGGTGAATGTACTTTCTCTTCCTTATGGTTTCCTGAATATCATTTTCTTTTCTCCACCTTCCTTCTTTGGGAGAATACAGTAGATAATGCATAGAACATAGAAAATATGTCTTCATCAGCTTTTTATGTTGTCAGTAAGACTTTGGTCAACAGTAGGCTATTCATAGTTACATTTTGGGGAAACAAAAAGTTATATGTGGATTTTCAACTGTGTGAAGGCTCAGCACCCCTAAGCCCCAAGTTATTCAAGGGTCAACAGTATAATTATCATCCCAAGAGTTTTTGGAAGTTTCACAACTTTAGCCTATCTGATATCTGTGGAGCCCCTCTGTTCCAGACTGGAGCTCTAGATATTGTGGGGGAGAAAGTGTGCTCTTTGTTATTTTATAAAAGGTACTCAGAGAAGATCTCATGCAAAAGATGTTATTGGGGTTGAAACCTCAAAGGATGCCAGCATGGATTCAGGAAAAGATGGTGCCCAGAAGAAGAAATGACAAGTGAGAGGGCCTGAGAAGGAAATGTGCCCAAGGAACAGAAATGGGGGTGTTGCCATGGCACAGAGTGGGAAGGGAGCCTCAGAGGCCACGAAGACCACACTGGGGCCTCTGCTGTTACTCTGAGTCACACAGGAAGCCATGGGCCGGGATGTAAAGAAAAGGCATCTTTATAAACACTCACTTCCATCTCTTCACTCATCCTTAAAATATTTTATCTTTGCCTTTGAAAAACCCTTTTTTCCCTGAAATCCAAGCTAAAACCTCCCTTACAATCAAATTTTATATCTTTGTGTATTTACTTACTTACTTATTTTTCGAGACAAGGTCTCACTCTATTTTCCAGGCTGGCTGGCTAGCTTACTGCAGCCTTGAACTTCTGGGCTCGAAGAATCCTCCCCCTCAGCCTCCTGAGTAGCTGGGACCAAAGGCACATGCCACCATGCCTGGGTAATTTTATTTGTTTATATTTTTTGTAGAGATGCAGTCTCGCTTTGTTGCCCAGGCTGGTCTTAAACACCTGGGCTCAAGCGATCCTCCTACTAGGCCTCTAAAAGTGCTAGGATTATAGGTATGAGCCACCTCACCTGGCCTATAATCAAATTTTAGTATCCATATGACAAAAATAAAACTTTTCATAACATCTCTAATACTTTGTGTTCTCTACTGTTTCATAGTCAATGTAATTTATCTTGGTGTGGTCATTAAATGCATGAAATTCTTCCCTAGAAGACCAAGAAAGTCAGCCTGCCTGGTGATAATGAAACAAGGGTGATGCAAAGTTAAGGTAAATAAATGAGATCATGAAAATCATAAATTGTTACAAGGATTCAACTGTAAAGTTCTCCTATCAATCTCTAGCACATAAAAGTCCTTACTTTAAGTAATTATCACTGTATTAGTGTATTATCATGCTGCTAATAAAGACATACCCAAAATTGGGTACTTTATAAAGCAAAGAGGTTTAATCGACTCACAGTTCAGCATGGCTTAGGAGGGTCAGGAAACTTACAGTCATGGTGGAAGGGGAAGCAAACACGTCCTTCTTCACATGGTGGCAGGAGAGAGAAGTGCCAAGCAAAGGGGGAAAAGTCCCACGTAAAACTATCAGATCTCATGAGAACTCACTCATTATTACGAGAACAACATGAGGGTAACCGCCCCCCTGATTAAACTACCTCCCACTGGGTCCATCCCAAGACATATGGGGACTATAGGAACTACAATTCAAGATGGGATTTGGGTGGGGACACAGCCAAACCGTATCACTCACTAATACTAGTGATCTCACCAGGATTAACTGCCAGTCACCACGCCCATGTCTAGTGGAAGGTTCTTTCACACGATGCTTCTGGCTTCTGTACTTCCTTCTGCCCTTCCCACCCCTGAGACATGACGGGTTCTGTGGGAGTCTGAACAGGACGGCATCTGGGAGTCCTTGGGTGTGGATTCACCGTTTCACTTAAATACAAACCCCTGCCGTGTGGCAAATCATAACCAGGCTCATTATCACAGCACTGCAGTCATCAGGAAGCAATTATGAAAAGGTCGATAGAGTTTGTAGCGTTAGATGATGTCAAATATCCTGGTGGGAATGCGAATTTTTGAATTTACTAACTGTCCATGAGACCCTGAGGTACTATTTTTTAAAAATGAAAGGAAGCACAGTGTGGTCACTCAGCCCTAGTTATCTAAGGGACTTGGTCTTATAAGAGTAAATGTTAATTCATGCCCAATTTTAACTTAAATAATCACAATATCACATGAAATTTGTACCATAGATTCATAACTCAGTAATATCCATTAGAGTTGACTCTATTAAGAAGAAAAAATGTGTTTAAGCCTAAGATTTACAGAGCTAAATAATGAATTTCTCTGCTACCCCAAGTGCATCCTAAAAGACAGGTTTGCGGAAGCCAGCACAGTGTCCCAGGCGTGAATCAGCCTTGGGGGCCTCTGTGGTTTCTGGCTATCGAGCCACAAAATATGTTTTCAGTATTTGAAATCTATTTTCCAAAATCAGCAAAGGTAACCAGTGAATGAAGTTCCAGAACACGTGACTCTGAAGTAAAAAGAGGCTTTGGTTTCATTAATATAATTTATATGAGGCTGGGAAACCATTTATCAGTCTGTCACATGTCAAATTTAAGTTTAATTTATTGGGAAAAGAGTTAATGGATTGGAATACAACTCCATTTATCAAATCATCATTAAATTTAAATCCTAGATTAGCTATGGATCAAAGAATTCAGCAGAAATCAATGAAATCTTTTTGTGAGAATCAACTAGCTTTGGAATTTACAGAAATTATTTAAATGTTTACAATGTATTATTTGTGAATTGCCTGCTGTGGCTGCTTTGCGTCACCCACAGGATTTGGTTGGGAGAGTCGTTAAACCCGCAAAGGCAAACTGCGAGGGTGGGAGGTGAGGCAACCAGAAGGCCCCTGCTGTGGTGGTTCCCGGGGATGGGGCCAGCAGATGGGGATCACGTGGTGCAGGCGTGGGTACCTGCAAGCCGCAGGGGTTCAGGCTCTGAATAGACTAGAAGTTTCTTCTAGTTAAACCACAGATGTTCTTGTATTTCTCAGTAGATGCTGAGCTAATGTTGCAGGAAGAGTGCCCGAAATATTTAGGAAACTATAATAAAAAAAGCTCTGTAACCCTGGATATCTGAATAGGTTCACTGTTCGTATTTTCATTTCCTCTCCTTAAAATAAGTACATGAAATAGAAAACTTTTTGATTGTAACAATCTCCTTTACTCCCCATCCTTGCTCTTCTAACCATCATTACTAGGACCAGGGCTCATTAATTCTTATTTTAGGATCTGACTTGCCTTTTTAAACCAAAGGCAATCTTTTTCCAGGTCCAAACAAAATAAAAGCCTCTCCGACCTGCTGTCCTGCTGCCTTAGGTCTGTGTCTTCCTTCGCAGATCCTGGGACCTTGCTATTGTTTTTCATTGTATTTTTTCTCTGTAACTTGGACCTTGCCTGCTTTTCCTACCCCACACCCAACCTCCTGCCCACTGGATCCTCTGTGGCTATGGCAAGGCTATGCGTCCTCATGGTGGACTCTCATGGACCCTGGATGGGTGTCCCACATCCCAGGACTTGGTGTCCCTTGTGGGCAAGGAGGGTCCTTGGTCCCTGGAAGGTTCTGAACCTCCCTGATCCTCAGTGCCCTGCTCTGCAAGACGCTGCCCACAGCGACCACCCACGTTCCTGTCTTGCTTGTATCCTTGGTGGTGCATTTTACAGATAACACATCTCTCTGATAAATGGTGGCACATTCTCCCCTTGAACTGGTTGAAACCCTGGCTAAGGAAATACCGACCTTACTTTTGGCTTCTCTTGCTGGCTCACCTTGGGCCCTCAGTTCCCAGTAAGGAACTTCAGTTTTCCTCTCCTGCACCTCTCAGCTGGCGTGGCCGTGATGCTACTGTCTGAGGCCTGGTCAACCTGCCCCTGGTGGGGTCTGATTGTCGCCCACCTACTCACTGGCCATCCCGAGGGCCCACTCCAACCACAGGTGCCGGGCCTCAGACCAACCCCGGTGAGAGCTCAGTCCAGCTTCCTCGCCTCCCCCAAGGCCAACACCATGGTCCTGTTGCCTGTGCTGACCTCTCCTCCGTGGCCTGCTCCAGGGACACAGACAGTGACGCATCCCCTTGAGAGAAAGCAGCTGAACCCAGACCTCCGACAGCCCCACCCCAGCCTGGAGCATTTTTCATTTCTAAACTCTGGTTTCGTGATGTTTACTCACAAGTCATGCAATCGCATGCAGCGTTTTCATTCTGTGTAGGAAGCACATCATTCATATTCTGAAGCAGATAATTGAGTCCAGTGAGCAATGGTGAGAATCAGCCTCCCGCTGCCGCCTCCTGCTTCAGACCTGCTCATGGTGGACTCCATCCACTCAACAGACATTTCCCTCTTGGTGGAAGAGGTGGCAGCTGGTCTTCATCAGCAAAACTGTTAGCCTATGGAGAGATTTTAGAGCCTGATACCAGCATTTCTGTCCTGTGGCTCTGGTGTTGGAAGCTCGGGGGATTGGCGATGAGTGCATGGGGGCTGCAGGTCTCTGACCTGGTCTGGCTTTCCCAGCACCTGACCGAGGGTGACTGTGGCATCCTGTTGCATAGGTGAGGGCACCGGGGTGCAGAGCAGTGAAACAGCAGCAGCAGCTCGCTCCGTAGAGACACAGAGAGGCCCAGGGCTCCTCCCAGGCTTTCCTCTCAGCTGCTGAGCCACTCACTGCCTTCCTCTGCCTCAGTCTCCTTGGTAGGTACAGGGCGGAGAGGAGTAAGTATCTTACTGAGAGAGAGCCAGGTAGGACACCCTGCAGAAGGAAATGAGGTGGCCTCATTGAACACTGAGCATAAACCAAGCACGTGCTCCAAATACACTAATGCAGCACCCACATGCACACACACATTCATACGTGCACGCACGTACACATGTACACACATGCACACACATGTACACTCATGTATACACATACATGCACAGCAATGCACATGTTTGCACATGTACATATCAGCACAGATGTGCACAGCCATGTACGTGTATTGAATGCACATGTACACACATTCACATAAGCGTCCACACATGAGTGTACATTGCATATATTACACATGTAAGTAAAATATCTCTGTAATCATATTTCTTTTGAGCTTAATTTTATTAGCTTAACATTTTAAATTTTATTATTGTAAAATAAAATATTGGTGTATACGATTCCTTTGTTAGAAAAACATCCAACACTTAATGTTCCAACTATGTACTGCTGTATCACAAATCTTAGCCAAAACTTAGTGGCTTCACAAAAGTCCAATCATTTATTTTGTCTGCAGATCTGAAACCCAGAGAGCTTCTGTCCGGGGTGGCTCATCGCAAGCCAGGCCTGGTCACTGGAGCTGGAGGGTGCAGGGCCAGGATGGAGGCCCTCAGGAGATGCAGGTCCGGCTGCTGTCCTGAGAGCTCAGTTTAGCTTGAAGGGCCCAGTCTTTTCCATGGGTCTCCTTGTGGCTTCCAAAAGCAAGTGTTCCAAGAGGTGGGAGAGGAAGCTATGATCTCTTAGGAGCTGAGCCTGCAAACTCAAGCCCGGCATGTCCTTCAGTCAATAACCCCAATACTCAGCAGTGACAATTTCGCAGGAGCCGGCCGAGCTCAAGGGCAGGGGACATAGACAGCATCTCTCAAGGAAAAAGCAGTGCCAGCCATCTGTGACCACTGCAGTGAACCACATTTAGAGATGTAGTGGGGCAGAAAAGCACCCTGTAGTATTTTCTAAGAGTAGGTACTTTTTTTTTCCAAATCAAGTTTTTAAAAGACCAAGTCAATATCAAGGCTAGAATCAGTGAAACATTCACGAAGGTAGGCATGTTCCAATGCTTCTTAACAAGTTCTATCTTTCTGGCCCAGAGTAGAAAGCACCAAGTCTCCCAAACATGGTACCTGCTACACTGTGTTAGAAAATGGCTCCAGGGTCTTTGGCACATGGTGGAACCAGCCCATTAGAGGACCACCTGCTGAAAACCCTGACCACACAGCAGCAAGACGGTGAAGAATATTGGCCCCCACACGTGGACAAGAGTCAGATACACTGACCGGCAAAGACTGGACAGTTAAAGGCTCTGGAATGAGACAGAGTCCAGGCCTGGCAGGATGTCCGAGGTGTGGGAGCTGCAGGCTTCTTCTGTCTCTGAAGCTTGTCCGTCTGGAGCCCCTGTCTCATTGCCAGCTTTGCCAGCAGCTGACTCTGGCTCTGTTACATTCCTCAGAACACCCAGGAGCCCTGAGTCACTTGCCTTAAAGCAAGACAGACCTGACAAATGCCATTCAGCTTCCAAGGAGCTGAAAATTGACCACAGCCTTGTTTTTTGAAGACATGGTTCTCAAACGAAGTTTCTACACAGTAAATAGAGCGCGGATTTTTGCAAGACTATTGAGTTTTCAAACATAACCTCGTGCTCATGAACTCACTCTAGTTTTATAACAGCCCAGGGAAGGAGGGACTCCAGAGTGAATGAACTGGACAGTACTGGACATTCCGATCATGCCCTGTGGGGGCCATGTCCCGCATACCCAAGGTCCTTCTGGGAAAACCCAGGGATGCGGTCTCTATGGCTGTGTCCATGTTCCTCCTACAGGTGAGTGAGTGACCCGTGCTGTCACCACTGGGGCCAAATGGTCAAAGCCATAGCCTGAGACCAATGAGACAGGCGTGGGACTGCATGTGAGGACCAGCATAATTCTCAGATTGGTTCGGAAGGCAAACTCTGGAGTTTCTGGAATTCGATTCAAACTGTGGATTTGGCACTTACTGCAGCGTTCGAAATGGCCCCTAACCACTCCATCTTCACCTTCTCTCCTGCAAGGCAGCACCAGATCCCAGGGTTACCCCTCCATCTTCACCTTCTCCCCTGCAAGGCGGCACCAGAACCCCGGGTTACCGCTCCACCTTCACCTTCTCCCCTGCAAGGCGGCACCAGAACCCAGGGCTGTCGTGACGATCCCCTGGTACAGTGCATAGAAAGTGCTTATCATCCCGGGTAGGCCAAGTAAACTCCAAAAAATGAAACTCATTCTCATCAGTTAAATGTCCAGAAATTTGGCATCTTGACAATATTGAGTCTCAGAATTGAGCCTCACTTCCTATAGTCACAGAATTGAGCCTCACTGGCCATAGTCACAGAGTATCTCTTCACTTATTTACTTACAGAAGACATTCAAGCTATAATGTTTTGTAAGAAAGCAAATAAAACACAAAGCAAAGCACTGTAATCCTAAATACACACACAGTCACACACTTGCACACGCACATTTGCACACATGCATACACATTTACACACATGCACATACAGGCAGAAGGGGAAAGAGCTCACCCCAGGTTACATCTGCACAGTGGTGTGCAGGTGGAGGGTATCTTGTATTTTCCTATGCTTTCTAACTATTACAAAATAAACCCATGTGACTTTTATCATCAGGAAAAAGAAACTTTAACAAAATGATTTCACTTTAGTGGTGTAAAAAATATGACTGTGGATTGAATAGCAATGACCCAAACATATTCTCAGATTTCAGTATGCTTCACAGAAGCCTGTTTCTCTCTTAATTCTTCCTCCTTTAAATTCCTCTGAAGTTAGAATTCTTTCATCCTTAGCCTCCACTCACTTTCATGACCTAATCATATAACATCAAAGCGCTTGTCAATTTCCTGTGACCCTCGAGCCCTCTCTTCATGAACCAGGCCCTCCATTGCCTGCTGTGCACTTGCTCCAGCTTCACTTGGAGTCACAGAGCGTGGCGAGGTCACTTCTAATTGAACCCCAGCTGCTCATTTTTTTTTTTTTGTCATTGACTTTTTTTAGTGATTCCAATTAGATTTGATGCTTATTGACAGAGTCTGCTGTATTTTTCTTATGAGGAAGAATATATGAGAAGTGGATGCTTTTGATAATTTTGATGAAATTAATGCTTAAAAACAACATGGTTATTTAGTTAGACATGGGTTACATTGCTACAGTCTCTCTGAGTTTCCCCTACACTGTCATTATTTTGCCTGCACTAGAGCTGGTAGTTAATTAATTATAAAACCATATGTATAATTTAATTAATCCTTATTGTCTAGTGGGTTTTAGTCATTGTCCCTTTGTTTTTTTCTGTCATTAGTTGGCTTAGTTGCTGAGAGATTATATGAAACCCCGCACACGGTAGGCCAGTCTTTAGCGGATAGAAAAATGAGTAAAAACATGTTGCCTCCTGTTCTCTTCTGCATACCATGGATTTCTGCTTGAATTGCAGTTATCATTTGAAGAATATAAACATCGTATTTCCAAAAGCTAGATCTCTAAAGATACTCTGATGTTAAAATCAAATAGATGCATATACATGTACATATACATGTGTATCTGTGTGCATTTCTCTATGTATGTATCAATACATATTACATATTCACCCTGCAGATGCCATCAACAATAAAAACAAAATATCTCAGTCCTAGCATTAAAAAATAGAGATTTTAAATGCACACATAAAATATTTATCTATTCTTTGAAACTGAGTACTTTTTGAAGAGATATGATAGAAGGAAAAAAAGATCCCACAACCTTTTAAAGAAAATTACTTCTTTAAGGTGCCTAGAAGAATGACAGGTCTATACTTTTACAAACAAAATTATGAAAATTGCCTCTATTTCTGAGACAGGCTAAAATTAAGATGACTTTGAAAGCACTTCAAACAGTTTTCAAAATTCTTTTAGGAGAAAGCCCTAATTACTAAAGTAAAACAGCTTTATTGGGCACTCTCATCTTAAAAGCATGCTGTTTAAAAATTAAACCTACACTGAGCTGAGGGTGTGTGACTCCTGGTCTCAGGGGTCTTGAGGCCCCAGTCCTGTGAAGACGTCCAGGGGAGTGTTCTGAGCCTGGTGTGGGTGAGCCCTGCTGACCTGGGTGGCTCCTGCGGTGGGAATGGGGTTCAGAGCTCCCCGCTCAGGTAAACAAGAACGATGCACTCTTCTCACCTCAGGGGCGTGGACACTTTCAACCCATCCATAGGGCTTTCACAAGTCATACAGAAGAGCCTGTGGACTTGTAACATTCTCCCAAGGGCTCCATGTGCAGTCAGGACATTTGGGGACTTGTGTTCAGGATTTGGAGGGGGCGTCTGCCTTCCAGGAACTTTCCAGTTTGTTTTGGTAAAAAATGACAGTGAAGAAAGAAATTAGTAGAAACCAACAGGTGCTAAGCTGTGTTTGAGGGACGTGTTCTGGTTAAGTTTAGGTGTTTTTGTTTGTTTGTTTATTTACCCATTTTCTAGATGCCACAAAGGAGAAATTCTTAGCTAGTAGAATAAAATGAGTTATAGCAATTCTATTGAACTATTGAGTTAATTAAGGGCATTTGTGTTGGGGTCGGACAGGGCAAAGAAAATGCCAGCTGTGTGGGAGGGTGAGGAAAAGCAGTGATTAATCTGGGGGTGAATTTCAGCCAATCCACCAGCTTCTGGAAATGCCCCTCCGGCTGTTTTTTTTTTTTCCAGTAAAATTGGTGCTGTTTTGCCAATGAAAAGATGGTAGCTATTCTGATAGTAAATTTAATGCCTGGAAATATTTTTTGGTACTTTGGGGTTTCAATGCAAGGTCAAATTGTTATTACATGAAATTTTAGCATTTTTGAATAGAAATTAACAAAATTTAGAGTTGTTAATTTATAGTCACAGAAATTAAAGTATGATTTTCTGCTCTTGCTCTATACCTACTACAATGAGTAACTAGACTGATTTACAAAGACACATGACCCCAGTTCACAGAGAGACCTGATTGCAAGACATCCCTGGGGCTGGGGCCTGCCCATCAGCTTCATCCTAAGAGTTTCCTGGGGGCCCTGGCTTCCCTGCAGCATCTGAAGGCACTCAGGCCCCACCTGGAAGGATGCAGAGAGCAGTCCTTCGCATTTTCAGGTGAATTTGTGCAGAGAAATAGTCTTGACCTAAGAACATGGAGCTAAAAGGCCTTTCGACAAAACACTAAACTGCTTCCTGCCCTGCAGGAATAAGCAGCACCTAGAGCTCTCTGCTGATAGCCTTTGAAAATCGGAGGGACTGAGGGAAGCTTCAGGCGGTTTCTGTTTTTGTTTTGTTTTGCTTTTCCATGGAAATTACATATATCTCAGTATTTGCCTATTAAAGATAACTTTGTTAGAAAGATGAGCTCTTGATAATATCCCACAATTGTTAGAAAATACCAATTAGTGAATAATATTCAGATGAGGAAGGAATTGTCTGAGGACACCTAAATAAAGTTTCAAAGTTTGAGGTGTTCTTGGCAGTGACACACATGAAAGCGCAGGTCCAGTGCTGTGAGCGGCTGTGTTTACCATTTCCCAATTGTGGTGGGTGTGCCCAGAATTCATTGTGGAGCGCGATCTCCAACCACAGGGAGCAGAAAAATAAAACAAAAAGAAATGCATGGAAGTAACTAGTTGGGATTTACTCAGGGGAAGGGAAAAAGCATAAAAGAGAAAAGCTAAAGCCGTATTTCCAAAAATTCAAATAATATTTTTAAAAAGAATGCAATCTCACTGGCAATAGCAGATGATAAAAAGCTACTCTTTTTACCAATAAAGTAGGCAAATATTGACCACATTATAGACACACACATATATATAATCACATAGAGACATCATTGCACACCCACAAACATACGCGGCACATGCTACCCGTGAGGCGGTGGCTTGACTGGCCTAGATAAAGGAGACTGGAATCCTCAGGAAGTATTTCTGTAGGTGCAGAAGGGGATGCAATATTGTTGGAAGGCATTGTGGCAGTTTTTCTCTCAAACATATATACATTCCATATCTACAAAATCATCCTCAGTAATATCGATATTACAGATCTGTTCATCTCAATACCATTGCTAAAATTAAAGGCAGCAAACGAAGGAAGGTTATATAAATTGCTATGTCATGCAGTTATTAAAAATTCTACTTAAAAGTGCTTATTGAAATTGATAGGTTAAAGCTATTATAAAGAAAATTATACTATTACATAGACTGTAATTATATTTTTGAACTAAATATTCATGTATGTATGTGCACAAATGAAATGACAGATATGCTAAACCAAACGTGAACAGTGATTACCACTGGGTAATGAAATTGCAGGGGAGTTTTCTCTTCTTTTCACCTGTCTATTGTAATGTTTTTAGGTGAAAATATACATGTTTTTGAGACAGGGCGTTGCTCCATGGGCCAGGCTGGAATGCAGTGGCACGACCACAGCTCACTGTGGCCTCCAACTTCCGGGAGCAATCTTACCACCTCAGCCTCCCCAGTAGCTGGAACTCAAGCACACACCACCACACCTGGCTAATTTTATTTGTATTTTTCATAGAGAAGGCGTTTCGCCATGTTGCCCAGGCTGATCTTGAACTCCTGGGTTCAAGCTATCCTCCAGCTTCAGACTCTCAAAGTGTTGGGATTATAGGCGTAAACCACTGTGCCTGCCCACTTTTTTAACATATGAAATAAAATCTATATCATAGATGTATGTGCATGTGTATATAAGAGATGTCTGTGTGTATGCGAACATGTGGAGAATAATTTCACTTCATCCAAGTGTTATCTCTTGAAAGATAAATCAAAACGAGAGATTTTGCAGAAAGACAAATGGGATGTACTTTGGAAGAAAGTGCCTTGTTTTGGAGAATATGCAATAATAATCCTCTTGCCCTCTCACTAGTCTTCAAAACTGAATTCCCCGAAGAACTGAGGCTTAGGCAGCATTTTGAGAAGAGGACAGAGCTGCTTGTTGAATGAGGGATGCAAACAGCAGGTGTGGGGACAGTGCCGCATCCATCCCTGAGGTTTCCTGCGCGTGATTCTTCACCCTTCAAACCAGCCCAAGTTCCTCTTTCCAGATGCCCCTGAGCTTCTTCCAGGCACTCAGCCCAGCGGCTCTCATGGGACCCTGTGCCCCCTGCACTGTTGACCACCAGTTTAGGACAGGAATGACCAGCTGCTTCAAGGATGGGGCGATGGCATTCAGGAAAGGAGAGATGCTCACCCATAGGCCAGTGCCTGGGAGGAGGTGCACCCCGCAGCAGGGCGGCTGTGCTACCTCGGGCGGCTGTGTCACGGCTTCCTTCCCCAACTCTCCACTCCAGTATCCTGGGGATCACTCCACAGTAGGAATCAAACAATACACTTGTTAAAGTGTTTGGAACAATTAGATACACAATGCCCAAAGGCATTGCTCAGTGAATGCTGGCTCTATCAGAACTATTATCAGCAGTAGCTGTTTCTGTGGTTGGGACTCTTTGCAAGAGCTATAAAATGCTAAACTGACAAACCACAGGGAAGCTGGGAAGTCAGGGAAATACGACAACCCCTTTAACCAGAGTATGAAATCTCAGGGAAGTCAGTGTTTTGTCTTTTTTTTTTTTTTTTTTTTGAGACGGAGCCTTGCTCTGTTGCCCAGGCTACAGTGCAATGGTGTGATCTCGGCTCACTGCAGCCTCCGCCTCCTGGGTTCAAGTGATTCTCCTGCCTCAGCCTCCCCAGTAGCTGAGATTACAGGCACCCACCACCATGCCCGGCTAATTTTTTGTATTTTTAGTAGAGACGGGGTTTTGCCATGTTGACCAGGCTGGTCTTGAACTCCTGAGCTTAGGCAATCCACCCGCCTTGGCCTCCCAAAGTGCTGGGATTACAGGCATGAGCCACCACACCTGGCCTTTTTCTTATTATTAGTAATAACCCTTAATATAAGATCTACTCTTTAGCAGATTTTAAGTATACAATATAATATTGCTAACCATATGCCCTGTGCTGTATTGTAGCTCTCTAGATATTATTTATCTTGCATAAATGAAACTTTGTACTTTTGGCTATCACATCTCCATTGCTCTGTTACCTCAGTCCCTGGAAGCCACCATTCTACTCTCTGCTTCCATGAGTTTGACTATTTTAAATTCCACATATAAGTGATATCACACAGCATTTGTCTTTCTGTGTCTGGCTGATTTCACTTTGCATCATGTTCTTCGTGTTCATCCATATTGCTGCAAATGGCATAGTTTCCTTCTTTTTTAAAGGCTGCATAGTATTCCATGATGTATGCGTACCACATTTTCTTTACCCATTCATCTGTTGATGGACACTTGGGTTGATTCCATATCTTGGCTATTGTGAATAGTGCTGAAGTAAACATAAGATTGCAGATACCTCTTTCACATACTGATTTTCTTTCCTTTGGACAAATACCCAGAGTGGGTTTGCTAAATTATATGGTAGTTTCATTTTTGTTTCTGCTAAGAAACCTGTCTGTTTTTGTTCCAGGATGATGCTGTTTTGATTACCATAGGTTTGTAATATAACTTAAAATTGGCAGGTGTGATCCCTCCAGCTTTGTTCTACTTGTTTAATTGGTCCCATATGAAATTGAGGATTTGGTTTTATTTCTGTGAAAAATGCCATTGGAGTTTTCATAGGGATCACATTGAATCTGTAGATCACTTTTGGTAGTATGGACATTTTAATTATTTAATATTAATTCTTCCAGTCCATGAGCACAGTATCTTAATACGTTCTGGCTGCTGTAACAAAATACCATAAACTGAGCAGCTTATAAACCACAGAAATGTATTTCTCACAGTTCTGGAGGCTGGGAAGTCCAAGATCAAGGTGTCAGCAGATTCATTATCTGAGGAGGGCCCACTTTCTGGTTCCTGGATAGCACTTTCTCACTGTGTTCTCACAGTGGGGAGGTGGAAGGGAACTCTCTAAGGTTTTTTAGTAGGGCACTAACCTCAACCAGGAGGACTCCTCTCTCACCACCTCATCACCTCCCAAAGGCCCCTCCCCTCCAAACACTGTGACTTTGGGGGTGAAGATTTCAACATAAATATAGGGGGCCACAAACATTCAGACCATAACTCATGGGATATCTTTCTATTTATTTGTATCTTAATTTTTTAAATCAATGTTTTATTGTTCAGTGTACTGATCTTTTACCTCCTTGGTTAAACTTATTCCTAAGTGTTTGTTGGTGCTATGTTAAATGGGCCAAGGTGGGAGTTGTTTCTTAATTTCTTTTTCAGAGAGTTTATTGTTAGTGTATAAAAATGCATTTTATTTTGTATGCTGATTTTGTAGATTGCAATTATACTGAAGTTATTATTATAAATAATTGTTTGATGGAGTCTAGGGTTTTCTATGTACTTTAGTTCTTTAATCATAGTTTCTTCTAGCTCTTTGAGCATATTTGTCATAAATTCTGTGAAGTATTCCTCTGCTAAGTACAATATGGGGGCCTTTCTCAAGGCATTTGCATAAGCTGTTGTTTTTTGTTTCTGTGTTACACTTTAATTTTTTTTAATGCCTTATACCTTTCTGCTGAAACCTGGGCATTTTGAATAACATAACAACTCTGGACACCGATCCCTCCCATCCCAGTTTGCTTACGGGACTGTCCATTTGTTCAGTGTCTTGGCTGGCCTAGTTCGGTGAAGTCTGTGTCCTCTGCTTCTCAGAGGGCAGAGCTCTGGGCATATGCACAGTCTTCTTGACCACCAGGGACCCTGTGGTTTCAGCGAGGCTGTCTCTGAAATGGTCTGTTTCCCTGATCCCTCTGCTGAGGATGTGGCTTCTCTTCCTCTGTTGGTATCACATCCAACTGTCATCCTTCACAAATTGCTTGTGGATCACCCTACTGTTTTCCACAAGATCATGGGGTATGACTTGCTCTACTCTGATCCAATTAAATCTGGGTCCCTTGGCAGGGGAAGGGTGCTGCTCATCTTTGAGGCATGAGAGACCTTACCTAGAGAGTCCTCTTCTCTAGGGACCCAGAGATGGGAGACTGGACCCCTCCTCCTCTTGATCTCTTTGGGTCCTCTCTGGGTAGCATGAACTAGAGACGGGACAGGCACCACCTTCCCAGCACTGCCAGTAGCTCCATGTGGGCCTGTGTGGAACTCTGCTGTGGAGAATAAATCTGCCCATGTTCATTGGCTGCCAAACCCACTCAGGACAGTTCTTCCCCACCAGGTGCTGAACAGGATGAGAACTGCCCATGGTCACCGGTTTCCCAGCCTGCTGGAGAGGTTCTTCCTTACTGCAGAACTGTGGATGGATGGAGGGAATTCCTACAGCAAATGCCCTGTCCTCCCACTATTCTTGCCAAGTATCTGTAGATTTTGTTTAACAAATTCTTCTCCGGTTCTGTAAGCCCTTTGATCAATCTCCAGTGATTTGGAATGATTGATTTTGCTGATTTTGATCAGCATAATAATGGATGCCTCTCTGGGAGAACAGTTTCCACAGCCTTCTTAAGCCATGCCACTCCAGAAGTCATGCCTCCAAGTTGCTTCTCTCTTAAAACCCTAGTAAGTTGAAAAATGTCTGCAGGTCTCTGCATGCTCTCTATAATGATGCCTCATGTCTTTGAACCTGCAGTTCTCTCCCCGTCAATGTCCGACTTTCATTTTTATCATCGTTCCCCTTAAAGATCTACTTAGATGTCACCTGCCTTAAAAAGACCCCTGGAGGGTTTTTAGATTATTAACATCTGAAGATTTTAGAACTGTTCTAAATGGTATAAAATATTTAAATCTTCTTGTAAAACTCTGATTGGGCGAGTTGCTTTAGTGGAATTCAGTCTAGAATGATCAGCAGTAACTAGTATTTGACTTTGAAGACGATGCTGCCTGCTTTAGCCTGGTACGTAGGCACTGGTGATGATGCTGCCTGCTTTAGCCTGGCATGCAGGCACTGGTACTGGTTTTTAGGCACTCTGAGTAGACAGAAAATGTCATAGTAGTTTCTATTTTAATTCAAGGAGGAAAATGCAGGATATCAATGCTGCTACATAGACACTGACTTTTCTAAAAATATGCCACATTTGTCATTATAGTATCTAAGTTTTATGGAACATACATCTGGACATTATATATACTTCTAGATTTTACCATTGAATCCTTAACATTGTGCTTAAATATTATTATAGCCCATTTATTTTTTTTCACCTTTTTTTTTTCTAACCTTTGATTTTTTTTTATTATACTTTAAGTTTTAGGGTACATGTGCACATTGTGCAGGTTAGTTACATATGTATACATGTGCCATGCTGGTGCACTGCACCCACTAACTCGTCATCTAGCATTAGGTATATCTCCCAGTGCTATCCCTTCCCCTTCCCCCCACCCCACCACAGTCCCCAGAGTGTGATATTCCCCTTCCTGTGTCCATGTGATCTCATTGTTCAATTCCCATATAGCCCATTTATATAGAGAGAAGCTGCAGTTTAAAAATGGATGTTCAAAGTCTCTCAGGTGCACAGAGCTAACAAGAGCAAAGTCCAGATTTTAAAAACTTCTTAAGTCACACCAAATACCACAGCTCCTTATTTGGATTTTACTATTGCGTTTACTTCCAGGAGATGAATTTCTATTCCCAGGAAATATCTGCGTAAATAATATAGAAATATATAAGTATTTAGAATGTCAGAAAAACAAATAAGAGATTCATAAGTTTTATATGGAAAACAAGCAGATATAAACAAAATAGGGTTTTAAAGTACTAAGCCATGAACATGCTAAACTTAAATTCATATTTTGTAATAGGATGCATTAGTTGAGCAACACTTAATATAAAATCCCTGAAAGATAAGATAGCAAGCAATGAGACTGTGGTTTTCACTTTAGATTTCAAAACTATTAGGAAAAATTAATTTCTGTCATGCTTAGATACAATATTCTCACATTTTAAATATGAAAATAAAAATAGTGCAGGAAAGTCCATTTTCTTCTATGGATCCAGTGGTCACATTTCTTTAGAAGAGCAAGCAAATATCATGACTACTGGGAATTGCCTGCATTATATTCATAACCAGGTACAAGACAGTTTATTTCCTAAGTAGTTAAGTGCAATGAATTCATCTTAAGTCCTTAAAACTTCCCATGTGAACTCTGCACAAAAGCACTTCCGTGAAGACGTTCTCAATATTTGGAGGAAGAATTCGTAAAGAGTTAATGCTTGAATTAATTCAATTGGTCATTAATTTCCTATGCAGCTAATTGCTATTGATGACATTAAATGCCAACCTCATCATTGCTTTGTCTTGAACAAGGGCAATGACATCAGATTACCCCTGGCTACAGCTGGCCTCACTGGCAGCACCCGTGGGACCAAGCGGATACGTGTGGAGCCTGTGCACCCCTCTCCAGCCGCCTCCTGCAGGTGCATCCCGCGCTTCCTTCAGAACTCAGGTGGTGTTCACTTAGCCTTCCGTCAGCTCCTTTTGGATGGACAGGGTGGACTTCCTCTTTCTCCCTCTTCACCTTGTATCCACTTTCAATGAAATGTCCATAGCAGATTATGTGTCTAAACATTTGTTTTCCACATTTGATGGTGCACTTCTTAAATGTGGGTATTAAGTTTCTCCTAGCATTTGGTATGATGGCCAGACTCTAGTATTGCTGAAAAGATGTCTGAGCAATAGATGCTCATGGAAGGGAGAGTGTCATCGAGGCAGATGCCCTAAGAATGTCTTTATGGAGAAGGGAAGTACTAACCTGGCCCGAGGTGATGAGTAGTAGCAAAGAAGGCTAAAAACGGAAGGGAGAGAAGCCCAACACAGGAACCTGTTTCCTGAATATTGGAACGGCCAGAGCAGGACACCTCTTCCTGACCAAACAGAACAGAGGCTTCTACCTGGAGAACATGGATGTCTTCCAAAAGATCTGGGGATGCCCACCTTTAGGGTGATTTAATAAGAAATTAAGGGCAGACAAAATTCTCTGGCATTTTCTTCATCATGATGACTCTGAGGTGTGTCCCACCCCGCGGTGGGTCAGAGCGGGCGTGTGCTTGTCACGTGCTCACCCGTGTCTCCAGCGCCCAGAAGTGCAGGTTGCATGTGCTACACTCAGTAAACACTGGCCAGTTTCACAGATAAACTCAGGAAGACACGAAGAGTCACATTATTTTCTCTGGAACAAGTAAGTCTGAAGCCCAGTTCCCATCACAGGGAGATTTTCTCCCAGTCACCACTGGAACTCACTCAGCCTCTACCCAGGGTTACCCAGGGTCGGCGTGGATCATGACACCTTCAGGAGGGAGACATAGGGTGTGGATCGCCATGTAGGAATTTCACGTACTGGGATAGAGGAGCAGGAAAAAACATTCTATCTTAAAACTGGAGTTTGCAGCCTCTGGGGGACGGCTGACGTGGAACCGTGATGGTGCTACCGGCATCTGCTATGTTACCCTCGTGCCTGCTGTTGTGTGTCAGGTTTTATATGTTAATAAATTGTTAGGATTATAAAAACATAATATGCCATAAAATGGCAACAATATGAATAGGAGAAAGTAGATTTTTCATCAGAAGACCCAGATTCAATCTAAATTGTCTTCCTTAGGAGTCGAGTGTGACTGGGCGACTCGCTACTTCCAACCTCCATTTTTGCACGTTCTCACCATCCCATAATATTATGAGAATTAAATAATAGAATATATATGAAATATCTAATGGAATATTTGGAAGCAAATATTTGCTCAATGATATTTTGAATAAATAAATTAATGGATAATAAACATACAATCATAACACCATAAACAAAACCTACAGAACAAAAGCATTTCTATCCCAGATATTAAAAGTCCCTGTTGTAGATGAGGACAGGTAAGTGGCCTAAGGTCATTCCCAGGCTGGGTCCAAATAGAACAGTGTTCACGCCACGCAGACACCAGCAGGCGTCCCCTGAGAGGTCCCTGCAGGCACCTCAACACCTGCAGATGCCTCACCCTTCACCTGTGGCCCCAGAACGCTGTGGAAAAATGACTTGACAGAAGCACAGGGACAAACATGGGGTTTCAAGGCCATCGGAAGCCCAGAGCAGCAGCTAGACCCGAGGAACTCGGCCATGGTGGCTTTTGAGTGAGGAAAGAGGAGTGGCTGAGATTTGACTGGGGTCATTGTTCAGCGGTCATGTGGGCTTAAGGGGTGAGTACAGGGAGGGATAGTTGCGTTTACGCATAAATCAAAGTGGAGAGTGGTCTGGCCCCTTCAAATGTGCACACACACAGCATTCAGCATTTGCATTTTTAATTCCTGTTTCCTATGTTGCTTCCCTTGGAAATGATTTTTAGTTAATACTTAAAACAGACACTGCCCAGGTACAAGCAGCTTAGTCAATGCTCCATGTCTGAGGGAGGATGGTTTTTGCCTGCCCTCCAAGAGTTTCCCAGAATATCCAGTGTTTCTTGAGTGCGATAAGTGGAGCCCAAGTGGAAAAATCTTTCCCATGAGGAAGCGATGGGTCGGCAGCTCCACGCGAGACTCACACCATTGCTGAGTTTCCACACATTGACTCCACCACGCCATGTTCCGTGGTCATCAGAGCAGGTGTCTGTCCTGCGGCCCCACTTTGCACTCCCCTCACTAGAACCTTCGTATAGTAAAGGCTTCAACTTCACTGAAGGTCTTCTGTGTTTACCATCTCATGATTAATTACCAAGGGAGAATAAGAGGTGGATTTGTCAGCTGGAATTTTACTCAGGCCTTTAATTTTGAAAATTAAAAGTTTTCAAATGATTTAGAACATGTTGAGGAAAAAAGCCATGTCTGTTTGCAGATATTTTTGTGTGTTGCTCATGCCTTTCTACCAAAAGTACAAGCCTTTTCAGGGTCTGTGAGCCCGCCAACCATTGCAAAATAATTCACAAATACACATTTAAGATAAAAAACAAAACTGGCCGGGCATGGTGGCTCAGGCCCGTAATCTCAGGGCTTTTGGAGGCTGAAGGGAGAGGATTGCTTGAGGCCAGGAGTTCAAGATCAGCCTGGGCAACATAGCAAGGCACTGTCTCTACAAAACGTATATAAAAAATTATCCAGCCAGGCGTGGTGGCTCACACTTGTAATCCCAGCACTTTGGGAGGCAGAGGCAGGTGGATCACGAGGTCAGGAGTTCAAGACCAGCCTGGCCAAGATGGTGAAACCCTGTCTCTACAAAAATTAGTTGGGTGTGGTGGCGGGCACCTGTAATCCCAGCTACTCAGGAAGCTGAGGCAGGAGAATCACTTGAACCTGGGATGGTGGAGACTGGAGTGAGCTGAGATCGTGCCACTGTATTCTAGCCTGGGCATCAGAGCAGGACTCTGTCTCAGAAAAAGAAAAAAAAGAATTAGCCAAGTGTGGTGATGTGTACTTGTAGTCTCAGCTACTCAGGAAGCTGAAATGGGAATATCTTTTCAGCCCAAGAGTTTGAGGCTGCAGAGAGCTGCTATCACGCCACTGCACTCCAGTCTGGGCAACAGAGAAAGGCCCTGTCTCAAAAATAAAATAAAATAAAATAAAATAAACAGGTGACAACTCAGTTTTAAACATTTAAGCCAATGAAAACCCTAATTAATAGCTATTTTATAACTGGAATTAACTAAAGTTCTACTGCACTGATCTAGATGTCAGCAATACCTGAGTTAAAGCCCATTTCTAGGACTCAGGTAATATTAGTCTATGAATTTAATTTATTCACCTGTAAACTAGAAATAATGTGTCAGACCACACGGGGTTTTTATGATCTAAGTAGATGACAGACATAAAAGCAACAAGCATAATGTCTCACCCGAAGTAGAATTCAATATTATTGTTTGTTTTTTCTTTATCCTTCCTCTGAATTTAGGCATAAGTAGATAAAGCACAAGAAAATTACCTGAGCTTTGAAACTGCAAACAGAAGCCACCATTTCAGAGCATCCCCTTCTGCACCCAGCACTTCCTTCATCAGCTGCACCTCCCTCACTGATGTGGGCGAGCACCCTGAGCCTTTCAACACCCTGCATGAAAAATCCATTACTTCACTAAGTCATATTTGCCAAGGCAAGGAAGAGTTGGCCCAAAATATTTCCTCCTGAGAGAGGACTTGTCCCACCCACATCAGATGTAAGACACCCATCTCATTCTGTTTTGTTCCTTTCAAAGGATTTGCTATTATTTGTAACTATGTTTTAGATAAAGGTATTTATTCTTCTTTCCCCCCAGTGCGAGGACAGGGAAAGTGTGATCTGGACCCTGGTGTCACCAGCCCGGTGTCTGGAGCACACGAGATAATAAATGTTGAAATCATGAGTGAACAAATACAATGTATAAAATTTCAGTAAATACTGTTTATTTTTTAAATTTTGCCATAATCTATACAATAAATATTAACCAATGATGGATCTTTTCTTTACAGAAGGTTACCAAACCAGTTTGCATTTGTTGACTTCGTTAGTGGAGGCTCCTCCATAACGAGCTCGTTAATTTTAGGCCACCTTGCGTGGCTTTGGTTGACACTCAGTGTGTGACAGCTAATGTGATGCTCCCTGAAAAGTATATCGCAGAGTCTCGCAGAATTACGAGGAAGGCAACGGAGCTCCGCAGCCCTGCGTTTAACCTTTATTTATTTATCCATCATAAAATGTGGGGCTTCTCCAGTTCCAGACAATATCTGAAAACTAGAGTAACAAAGATTAAGGGGACACACACAGCCTCTATGCAGACACGCTGACATACGGAGCTCAGCCCTCTATGCAGACACACTGAAATATGAAGACACCCACAGGCCTCTATGCAGACACGCTGACATACGGAGCTCGGCCCTCTATGCAGACACACTGAAATATGAAGACACCCACAGGCCTCTATGCAGACACGCTGAAATATAGAAACACACACAGCTCTCCATGCGGACATGCTGAAATACAGAGCACAGCCCTCTATGCAGACACACTGAAATATAGTCATTGGCAACTAAAATACAGTGTGAACACATCCAACAAAATGGGCGCACAGGGAGTTATGACAGGAACTTATGACAGCAAACGGCACATGGACCCACAGGTCTGATGATCTCTGGCCATCCCAAAGGTTGGGCCACTCCCTACCATATGCACCTCTGCTGAAGCAAGTTGAGAACTGACTCGCCGGGAGGGAGTCGCTGGCCAACGTGAGGCCAGCCTTGTGCACAGAGCGCGCATGGAAATGGTGCGGGTTCGCCGTCTCGGGAGTTGGATACGACTGCCATCTTTTTATAAATGAGAATTGCAGGATCATCGACCATTGTGTACTCACACATTTAAAGATGTGTAAGTCTTAAATAACCCTTTGGGAATATTAAGGAGCTGTCACAGGGGTTCTCAATTTTGGATGTGCATAAAAACACTTCTGTAGTGATTTTAAATGAAAGTGCCTGGTCTCAACTAACACCTGCTGAACCAGAATTGCCACGGTTTGGGTTTGAGAATCTGTTTTTTTGTTTTTGCTTTTATAAGTTTCAGAAGCAAAAGTGAGGGTCGCTGGTTTGCAGGTGATTGAAGGGTTTGGCCACCTGTGGGCCATGATGTCATTGTTGTTGGTGGTGGTAATGGTGAGGTTGGGGCTGTGATGTCGTTGTCATTGGTGGTAGTGATGGTGAGGTCAGGGCTGTGATGTCATTGTCATTGGTGGTGATGGTGAGGTCGGGGCTGTGATGTCGTTGTCATTGGTGGTGATGGTGAGGTCGGGGATGTTATGTCATTGTCATTGGTGGTGGTGATGGTGAGGTCGGGGCTGTAGCATCGTCATTGGTGGTGGTGATGGTGAGGTCGGGGCTGTGATGTCATTGTCATTGGTGGTGGTGATGGTGAGGTCAGGGCTGTAGTGTTGTCATTGGTGGTGGTGATGGTGAGGTCAGGGCTGTGATGTCGTTGTTGGTGGTGGTGATGGTGAGGTCAGGGCTGTAGTGTTGTCATTGGTGGTGGTGATGGTGAGGTCGGGGCTGTGATGTCGTTGTCGGTGGTGGTGGTGATGGTGAGGTCACTGTAGGAAAGCCCAGCAGAATGGCCCTGAAGCGTGGGCTCCGTCCCCGATATGCCTTCCCATGATCTCTTTTCCTAAGGAAAAATCCGAATAAATGAAGGGTGAAGGCAGCCTTGAAAATGAAGCAAATTATAAAGGTAAACTATAGGCGAAAACTTCAGGGGAGTCTAAACGTTTTATCTCGATGATTAATGGGTGCCTTGGGTAGCATTCTCTACATGTCTTAGGGCATCAGGAAACAGAACTGCCCTATTTTTTCTCAGAGATTTATTCATTCAATGAACATATATTAAGTACCAAGTATTTCCAGGTCTTATTCCAGTGATTGGAATTCAATAATACACTTACTGACAAATTCCCCTGTGTCTGTAGAACTTACAATCTGATGGGTAATAAAACAGGTCAGTAACAATAAAAATTGCAATAAATAAGTGGAGTAGGAATTAAATGATAAAAGGTACTATGTATGTAAGAATAAGGGATCCTGGACACAGTTGTGAGCAAGGCTGCGAGGCTAAGTGTGCAGTCAGGGTGGGCATCCCTGTGGAGGTGACGTCTGAGCCTCCATTACACTCAGATGTGGACATGAGCTGCCTCGGAAAGGAACATTCCAGAGAAAGGCACAGCTAGGGTAAGGCTCTGACCTGTGTCCTGCATGCTCAGTGAAGCTGTTTGGTTCAAGTGGAATGAAAATAAGGAGAATAAAATTTTTTTTAAGTATCAGAATTTGCTCAGATGCCATCTCTACAGGTCATGACCCAGCTCTGGGAGAGCCTTGGCAATCTGCTTTAACTAGGGAAATGCTGCAGGGTTTGAGTAGAGAAGGGGTCTGGCCTGACACAGCAGATATCTGGCCAGTGTTGAGAAGGGAGTCTGCACATTCGTCAGGAGTCCAGATGGAGATTATTGTGACGCAGGCCAGAATGGCTGAGGTCACGAGGGGTGGCTGAAGTTTGGGTACATCTGAAAGGTAGAGGCAATACGATGTCCTGATGGATTAGAGCTGAGGTTGAGAAAACAGATGAGTTAATGACTACGGCATCGCTCCTTTCTCCTGAGGATCTGAAGGTGTTGTCCGCGGAGCTGCTGTGACGACAACACCCCACATTGTTCCCCATACACTCAGCCTCCCTTGCTGTGGGTGAGGCCACGTGGCCATTTCTGGCCGATAGACTGCAAGGGGAAAAGCTATGCCACTTCTACCAAAGCAGGTAGAACAGAGCACATCTTCACCTTTGTGTCCTGCCCTATGTGAGGACCTCAGAATCCTCACACAGGGAGCGTGCAGCTGCTGCTGGTGGAGCCCAGCAGACAGACCCCGAGTGACTGTGGATTCATGAGTTTCTGTCATTAAACAATGTAATTTTTTAATGTGAAAAATAAATTGTGTGTTTTTATAATTAAGAAACAAATTTTCCAAAACGCAAAACATAACATTTGTTGGTGGTGGGGCGGGGGGAGGGGGGTGAAAAAAATATTAAAACCAAAATGATGCTGTGGTTTTCTGTGGCTGAACCTTTTTGTTCCACCGGTAGTTTTCATGCATTGATTAGTTTTTAAGATTTCTGAAGGATGCTCTAACTCATGAAGCATACAAGAAACCCCATGATAAAAGAAGTCAGGAATATTAAAGTTAAAATCTCTAAATAATGTGATAATATGATGATGAAAAAATTAAATTCATAAAAACTGACCCAGGATTTACACAGATATAGAATTATCAAATACATTTATAAATTACTATACCTGAATTAGGTATGTCCAAAAGTTAAGTAGAGACACTCATGATATATAAAAGACTCAAACCCAACTTCTAGAGGAAAAAAGCTACAACGTTTAAAATGAAAACTACAGTGGATGGGAGGAACAACAGATTACACATTGCAGAAGCATATAGGCATGAAGTTGGAGACACAGCAAAAGAAACTAACCACAATGAAACACAAAGTACACACAGTCAATGTACATAGAAAAAAAAGATGCTATAGGAGAGAGAAACAGAAAGAAAGAAAAGAGCATCATGATCTGTGGACAAGTCCAAGCAACCTGATATATTGGTAATTGTCATCCATAAAGATGGAGAAAGATGCTGAAAGCAGATGCTTGGAGAAAAATGTTCCAAGTTACCAAAACAGAGACCATATAGCCAAGACAATCCTAAGCAAAAAGAACAAAGCTGGAGGCATCATGCTACCAGACTTCAAACTATACTACAAGGCTACAGTAACCAAAACAGCATGGTACTGGTACCAAAACAGATATATAGACCAATGGAATAGAACAGAGGCCTCAGAAATAACACCACACATCTACAGCCATCTGATCTTTGATAAACCTGACAAAAACAAGCAATGGAGAAAGGATCCCCTATTTAATAAATGGTGTTGGGAAAACTGGCTAGCCATATGTGGAAAACTGAAACTGGACCCCTTCCTTACACCTTATACAAAAATTAACTCAAGGTGGATTAAAGATTTAAGCCTAAGACCTAAAACCATAAAAACCTTAGAAGAAAACCTAGGCAATACCACTTAGGACAGAGTCATGGACAAAGACTTCATGACTACAACACCAAAAGCAATTGCAATAAAAGCCAAAATTGACCAATGGGATCTAATTAAACTAAAGAGCTTCTGCACAGCAAAAGAAACTATCATCACAGTGAACAGGTAACCTACAGAATGGGAGAAAATTTTTGCAATCTATCCATCTGACAAAGGGCCAATATCCAGAACCTACAAGGAACTTAAACAAATTTACAAGAAAAAATCAAACAACCCCATCAAAAAGTGGGCAAAGGATATGAACAGACACTTTTCAAAAGAAGACATTTATGCAGCCAACAAACATATGAAAAAAAGCTCATCACTGGTCATTAGAGAAATGCAAATCAAAACCACAATGAGACACCATCTCATGCCAGTTAGAATGGCGATCATTAAAAAGTCAGGAAACAACAGATGCTGGAGAGGATGTGGAGAAATAGGAACACTTTTACACTGTTGGTGGGAGTGTAAATTAAAAATCCACAATGGTTGTGTAAGTTCCACACAAGGAGGCGAGAAGGGAAGAGTGCAACCATGATCTTCCCATCCCGGAGGTGAGAAGGGAAGAGGGCGACCATGACCCTCCCATCCGGGAGGGAATTCATCGAAGGTCACCTGATGGCTGCCCATGGAAAGTCATAGATCCCAATATGGTTACACATGGAAGGAAAAGGTTACTGATAAGTCAACAAAAATGACACAATAAAACAATTAAAACGTTCAATCCAAAAGAATGCGGAAAAGAGGAAAGAATCATGAAGAACAACTGAAGTAAATAGAAAACAAAGGAAATGATATTTGTGGATGAAATTTGCGATGGAAAAAATCAAACCCTCTAAGTGATTAAATGAAAATGTCTAAACATGCCAATCATGAAGCAGATTGTCAAACTGGTTAAAAATGCTGTCATGGCATATCCCACAGTTGTTACTTAGTATATATTCTGTGATTCTGTGATTCTTTCAAATGTCACCCTTTGGATGCTTAGTTTACCAATCTCCAGTCTTTGTCTTTTTTTTTTTTTTGGCATCAGCATTTAATGCTTAAAATTATACATTTTACTTGAAATAATGCTTTTGCTAAATATAACAGCTTTTGATACATAGTATTTTCATTGCTAGACAAATCTTACATCTTAAAATTTTCCATTGTGTCTATCTTATGATTGATTAACGTGTAGAAGAGTTTATTTTAATTGCCAAATAGGAGGTTTCATTTATCTTTAGTTATTGTCCTTTAAGTACACTTTTTCAGAAACATCCTTTTAATCTTGTATTATAGCAAAATACATAGTGAATTTTGTATAGTATTCTTAAGGATTTTAGAAAATCAATTCTCTAATTTGGATTTGTATGCCCAATAAATCAAAGTTTTAATTGCCTTGTTTAAGTCTTGTATTTTTGACTATCTTTTATTATCAAAATTGAGGGATATTTAAATCTCCCCAATGTGACAATTGATTAATATAACCATGGAATTCTATCAATCTGTGGGCTTTAAACATACTGAGGTGATATTATTAGATGAGAAAATATTTAGAATTGTTTATCATTCCTAGTGGGTCTCATGTTTACTAGTATGTACTGGCATTCTTTATCTATAATAATGCTTTTTGTCTACCTCTATTTTCTGTCTTTTCTTTTCAAATAATTATGTTATGTGCCAAATTGTTCATTATAGTGGCTGCATCATTTTGCATTCTTGCCAGCAGTGTAAGAGAGATCTGGTTTATCCACATTCTCACCAGGACTTATGTGTCTTTCTTTTTATTTGAGCTGTTTTAACAAGCATACAGTGACACCCCACTATGACTTTAATTTGCATTTTCTTAGTGGGTAACAATGCAGTCATTTCATGTGTTCGCCATTCCCGTATTAATTGTGTTGGAATATCTCTCCAAATCTTTTGCCCATTTTCTAGTTAGATTGTTATATTTTACTGTTGCATCTTGAGAGTTCTTTATATATTTCACAGATAAGCCCTCCTTCAGATGTGGTATATGCAAGTATTTTCCCCCATCTGTAGATCTTATTTTTGTTCTTTTAATAAGGCATTTTACAGAACAAATATTTCTAATTTTGGTGGAGTCTAATTTATAGGCTTATTGTTTTATAGATTATAGTTGTGATGTGTAGTCTAAGGACTATTCCTTTACTTCTAAGTACTGACTTTCTTTAAAGTTAGCTACATAAAATTGTTTCCCAGAAAACACCTCTTTTCTCCTTCAGTCACTGTCCTGTGTTTCATGATACACCTCTGGATTAAATATTTACCTGGTTCCAAAGATGGCAGAAATCCTAACGATGTAATTTCAAAAGGGGATATCGGCCCTAAGACATACTTTTTTTGCATTTTGGGAATACCAAAGAAAGAAAACATAAAATGGGAACTGCTTTTAGCAATCCATCTAGTGAATCACTTTACTACTCAAAATTTAAAAAAACTCAAGATGGAGCCTTGCTGGAGCTTCACCTCCACAGGCGAGGGCCACACACTTCTCCTGTGATGCTTTCCATCTGCCTCAACAATCTCCTCTCTTCTCTCTATTTAGAGTGCTCTTCTGTTCTAAGTTCAGTTCTCAGTGCTTCTGAAATTAAACGAGTCAAACTGAATATTCACTTTCAAACAGTGAATATGTTGAAATGGACACAGGCCAGAACTCAGATGTCCATTCTTGAAACCACACAGAGGCTGCATTCCCACTAAGCGATGGAGAACCCGGGCTTGGGGGCTGTGCCCTGTGTGCATCACAAACCCCGTCCGCTTCACGTAGTGTAAACTTGGAAACGGTCTCCAAGACGGATTACAATTTACTCACCACTCCCTCCACAGACTCCCACCTTGCCACATTCTATTTTCTGTATCCCCTGTGTGCATTTTGTTAGACTTTTGAGCATGTTCTCAAAATAAAAGTTACTTCTCTTACATTTTAGCCCCGTTCTACTGAGTTGGCAAAATGACCCAGGGTTCCTGTGACGGTGACGAACCCTGACATGCAGGTGAAACCCGAACACACTGGAAAACTCCGGAAACGCTTCCAATACTGCTCCTTGCAAACGCCTGCCTCAACACTTACTGGGAAAACACTCTGGTTGACCTAATTCTCACGTTCCCTTTCTCAAATCAAAATAGGAAGAAGAATGATCTAGAGAGAAAATAAAGATGTGCTCTCGACCCAGCCATCCGCCGTGGGAGTCGCCACCGCACCCAGCAAGTCACTATTGACTCACAATTAAATAGGACTACTTAGAATCTCACTAGATTCCACAGCAGGTACAGCAGTAAGAAAGTGTGCGTCGTAAAAACACCAGGGGCCCCTTCCTCAACTCAGAGTGAGGGCCCACAAATTTAAACGTCTTCTCTATCACCTGGTAATTTCGGTACCTTGTGTAAATCCACTTTTCCCTAGACTGCCAATGATTCTTTCCAAATCTGACAGAAACCATTAAGACATAATTTTACAAAACTTTTCCAATGCACCAAGCTGAACCCTCTCCTCCTTTGGCGGGGAAGGAAAAAACAAAACAAAAACCTCCAGGTCCAGTTTCACATAAACCAAGCAATGGAAAAATTGTGTTTAGGTTTTCAGGTCCTCAATTTAATTCAATGCATTTAAATTGCTATTTTACTCAGTGAATATTTTGTAATTTCTTCCTCACTTGTATCACATCAATATGGGAAGCATATTTTTAGACAAAATATAGAGAATTTCTAACAGAATTTTGAACAACTTTCAGTGCAAGAAGCAGTCTGGGAGAATTCCCAAAACATTATGGTGATTTCTGAGAAGAATAGAAACTTGGATAATTCCATAATTAAAGACCCTGTATCTTTTCTCATTGTACCCACCCACACGTACACTGGCATATGTCCCTCCACACATATGCATACATAATGCATGCATGATGATTATACACGTGTGGGTGCATGCCGTATGTCTAGAAATTGTATAAAATTTAAATCTGCTCCACAGGGTTGCTGACTTAAATAAACACTGTGCAATTCTTGAGGAATAAAACGGTGGCCGCTTTTCTCCGCCTGTTTGATAGACTTACAGTTTCTGGTCTGGGCTGACCTACAACAGTACGTTTTGCCCACTGCCTTTCAGTCGTGATCAATTTTCTCCAGTTACTGGTGCGTTGATTTTCCATATCTTTTGTAACAAATGACCAGACATTGGGCAGCTTGAACATCTCAAATGTATTTTCTCACAGCTCTGGAGGCCAGAAGTCCGACGTCCTCCTCACTGGGATGAAGTCGGGGTGTAGGCAGGGCCGCGCCCGCTCGCCGGGCTCTAAGGGAAGATCCTGGCTGCCTCTCCAGCTCTCCTGGCTGGGCCCCGCCCCCTCGCCAGGCTCTGAGGGAAGATCCTGGCTGCCACTCCAGCCCTCCTGGCTGGGCCACGCCCCCTCGCTGGGCTCTAACGGAAGATCTTCGCTGCCTCTCCAGCTCTCCTGGCTGGGCCGCGCCCCCTCGCCAGGCTCTGAGGGAAGATCCTCGCTGCCTCTCCAGCTCTCCTGGCTGGGCCACGCCCCCTCGCCACGCTCTTAGGGAAGATCCTCGCTGCCTCTCCAGCCCTCCTGGCTGGGCCACACCCCCTCGCTGGGCTCTAACGGAAGATCTTCGCTGCCTCTCCAGCTCTCCTGGCTGGGCCGCGCCCCCTAGATAGGCTCTGAGGGAAGATCCTCGCTGCCTCTCCAGCTCTCCTGGCTGGGCCGCGCCCCCTCGCCAGGCTCTGAGGGAAGATCCTGGCTGCCTCTCCAGCTCTCCTGGCTGGGCCCCGCCCCCTCCCCAGGCTCTGAGGGAAGATCTTCACTGCCTCTCCCGCCCTCCTGGCTGGGCCACGCCCCCTCGCCAGGCTCTGAGGGAACATCCTCGCTGCCTCTCCAGCTCTCCTGGCTGGGCCGCCCTCACTCGCCAGGCTCTGAGGGAAGATCCTGGCTGCCTCTCCAGCTCTCCTGGCTGGGCCGCGCTCCCTCGCTAGGCTCTGAGGGAAGATCCTCCGGGCCTCTCCAGCTCTCCTGGCTGGGCCGCGCCCCCTCGCCAGGCTCTGAGGGAAGATCTTCACTGCCTCTCCCGCCCTCCTGGCTGGGCCACGCCCCCTCGCCAGGCTCTGAGGGAACATCCTCGCTGCCTCTCCAGCTCTCCTGGCTGGGCCGCGCCCCCTCGCTAGGCTCTGAGGGAAGATCCTGGCTGCCTTCCTGGCTGGGCCGCGCCCCCTCACTAGGCTCTAACCCAAGATCCTCGCTGCCTCTCCAGCTTTCCTGGTGCCCGCAGTGCTTGGCTTGCGGCTGGTTCACTCCGATCTCTGCCTCCCTCTGACGAGGCCCTCTGCGATTCCAGTGGACCCCCCAGGACAGTCAGCTCCCATCTTCAGGCCCTTCGCTGAGCCCACCTGCAGGGTCCGTGGAAGGGACATTCACAGGCTCCGCCGACTGCAACATGGGTATCTGTAGGAGGCCATTATTTAGTCTACAATAGGGCCACTAACTACTCTCTAGTTTACATTCAAAATTTTTCTTACTTACATGTTTTTTTTTTCTGTGACTGCTGCATGGGGACATGAAAGTAATGAATAAATAAAAAGCTCATTCCTCCATGCACCTGTCACTTTGGGTCCTGTGACTCCAGCTCCCCACTCCCTGGCCCCCCATTCCCCTGCCTCCTGCACAGCAATGACGCACGTGTATGTCACAGGCACTAAGAGGACACATTTCAAATCTATGGCCCCAAAACAGCAAGTATGTGAGGCGCAGTGTGTGATTGGCTTGAGTTAATCCTTCTACACTGAAAACATACGTCATAGCATCGCATTGTGCTCCATAAATATCATACAATTATGATTTGTTAATTTAAAATAATGTAAATTATAAGCAAAACATAATTAGAAGCCTAGCGGTAAAGAAAATCCAGGTCTAAATGGCTTTCATGAAAAATTGTTCTAAGTGTGTAAAAGAAATAGGGCTCAGCTCACATCTCATCTTCCCAGGATAGGAAAAGAGGAAACGATTCTCGCCTAATGTTTTGGGGAGAGAATAGCATGGATGCTGAAACCTGGAGTTCACTACAAGAAAGAATTATCATTTAATTTTTCCCCAAAAAGTTGTTTTTTGGGGGAAATTTTCCAAAATTTCCCAAGAAATGTAAAAATAGCTAAACAGTTTAACAAATCACCATACAGTGAAATTTTAAATCAGAATAACACACTGTGATCAGGCTGTGTATTCCGGAAAATAAGGACTGTGTAATGACCAAAGATCAACAGAATCACTGATGTCTGCAAAAATAGCAGAGAGGAAAATCCAAGGTCTGTCCCTTCACAGAATCACTGAAAAAACTGAGCAAAACGGTCAGAATCAACTTTGTCAGAACTCTAGAAACACCGAAGGTTTATAGTAACCAAGCAAATGCCTGAGAGATTCACCACAGACGTAGGAGGCGTCTGTAAAAACACCTGCCCTGCCCCAGCCCTGAGGCCAGGCAGCAAACTTGATGTTTCTATTACTCTTGAAATATGCAGGATGTTTACAGACTGCACAAAAGAAAATAGAAATTATTAGTAAAACCTGACATTTAAAAACAATGGTTCAGTTGATGATAAGATAGAAATAAATTAATTCTATACTATTTCCATTATTTCTAATTATATGTGTGAATATATAGTACAGTTAAATTGTAAATCTTTGATCCAAGACATACAGCATTTAAACACAGCAGATTTCCTTTTCTGATATTTCAACACATTCCTAAATTGATACAGATAAATTGGTTACAAATTAATGACTACTTTAGAAAATCACCAACTAGTGCTATAACACATGAATAGATTTTAAAGTAACAAAATACAAAACAAGTAATTCATATCGGGGTAGAATACATGAAATTATCTAGATAATTCAAATATTAGAAAATTGGACATCTCATCTACAGAGTATACTTGCATTTCTATAACTAAGTTCATACATTAGCTAATTTTCACATAGTATTTACATATAGTATTTTTAAAATGTCTTAACCATTTTTTCTTTCTCTGGTCTAAAGGGAGTATATCACGAATTATATCTTCAGTTAACCTCAAATAAAATTTCTAAAGCTCCTAAAACAAATCTAAACAGAAATAACAGGAATGGTTTTAAATAGAATAAGACTTTTACTTAAGACATTTTTTAAGAATGTGGAAAGATAAGGCCCAGCACAGTGGCTCACGTCTGTAATCCCAGCTACTTGGGAGGCTGAGGCGAGTGGATTACTTGAGGTTGGGAGTTTGAGACCAGCCTGACCAACATGGAGAAACCCTGTCTCTTCTAAAAATAAAAAATTAGCCAGGCATGGTGGCACATGCCTGTAATTCCAGCTACGTGGAAGTCTGAGGCAGGAGAATCGCTTGAACTCGGGCGGCAGAGGTTGCGTTTGAGCCAAGATTGCACCATTGCACACCTGCCTGGGCTATAAGTTGATAGATATGAATATTTAACAGCATGAAATTTCATTTCTCCATAATGATATATAAAAACAACAATTCAAGAACTCCAAAAGGATTGATAATGGAACTAGATAAATTGATTCTACGATTTGTATGTGAGAGTAAAGGATCAAAACCTGCCCCGGCGTATCTCAGAAGAACAAGGTTAGGAAACTACTTTGCCAGGTATCAAGTAATAGAAATCACTATTGCCTAGTCACAGCACGAGGGGAAACAAACAGATTAGAGAACACAGAATAGAACACTAGGAATTGAGCATCTCATACATTCAAACAATGTAGCGCAGACATATTATTGTATATCAGTGAGTGAAAGAGGTTCCTGCAGTGAACAGTGCTGGAACGCCTGGTTATCAATATTGAAAAAATTAACTTGGATTCCTACATCTTATCTTGCATTTATTTATTCCACATATAATAGGCATTTTAATTTGAAAGGAAACCTAAAATATCTGCAAGAAAGTATGAAAATATCTTTATGAGCTGAGGATAGAAACATATTTCTTCAAATAAAAAAGCATGAGTCATGCATTAAGAGCTTGCTGACTTAGCACATTAAAAATAGAAAATTCTATTAATCAGAAAACACCATTAGAAGAAATATTTGAGCTGCAGATTGAAGAAGATAAGTGCATGACATATAACTGACAAAGCATTACTGTTGAGAATATAAAAATAATTACTGGGAGTTAATCTGGAATAGAAACACAGCACTGTGTGTGTACACCCATATACACACAAATATACAGACATGCATGTGCATACATTCCAGATACAAGGAAACAGAGGCCAATAAGTGTTTGAAAAGATGTTCAATGACATTGCAACCAGAAAAATGCCAACTAAAACCAAAAAAGCTATTTCCCCCGCATCAGACATTAAACCTCCTGCCCACAGTGTGCATTGGCGAGGAAGTGGAGGAAAGGGAGCCTCAAGCTCTCCTGGGGCAGGGACTCTGGGAAGGTGTGATTCGGTTATTTACTAAAGTGGACAGGTGCATCTCCTAAGACTCAAGAAACTCACTTGCAGATACAAACCCTAGACACACCCTTGCATGTGTGCCCCAGACATGGCTCAGGAATGTTTACAGCTGCGCTGCTTTTAATAATCCAGTGTTGGGGAGGCCTTCAATCACTTGTAGAATGGATAACATCTTGGGTATTTTATGCTAAATAATGTTATAAACACATAAAAATAGAGAACTATACTTTTGTGCCTCAACATAAACAGCAAAATGAGCAATACATTGTTTAAGGATGAATAGGTAGGTAGATGATTGATAGATAGATAGATAGATAGATAGATAATCGATAAATGATAGATGATGGCTAGATAGATAATAAATGAATAAATAGATGATTAATAGATATATACCATATAGATAAATGATAGATGGATAAATAGGTGAAAGAAAGATTGATAGATGATAGGTAAATAATAAATAGAAAGCTAGATGATAAATAAATCCATAGAAAGATGATGGATAGATATTAAGATAGATAGGTAGACAGAAAGACAGTAAATTATCCTGAGTTCTCTGGAGCTCAGCGGATTTGCTGACTTTGTATTGGGGGTGCAATCCCAAAAAAGTAAGATGAGGGAAGTGGAAGTGAGGCCCCTGGAGTTTGAAAGTGCAAACCAGAACAGTTCAGGGGAAGTGAGGCCCCTGGAGGTGGAAAGTGCAAACCAGAACAGGTCGCTGAGCCCCAGCTCTGCAGCTGATGAGACGGGATGAACACGTGGTCTCATGGGGGAATCCAGGGGAGTCACTGGTGGGGAGGCGTGAAACAAGCTCCCTGATTCACCTCCCAGGGGCCCACTCCTGCCTCTCCTGCAGTTCCAAGCCATGAGGTCAACCCCTCAGGAACCAAGGGGGAATCCAGCCCAGGGCCTCTTTTGGAAAAGACAAAGACATGCCAGGTTGTGGGTCATTAAAGCCATGGTTTCCCTCAGCTGCTAGCAATGACTGCAGGGCAAAGACTCACAGGCTCAGGTGGGATTTTAAGCAGAAGCTTCCTAACTCTCCCAGTGAGAGGAATGTGTCCAATTCACACAGTCTCCAGCACAAATGACCAACGGTTCTGTTATCATAAAACGATTCTGCTTGCCATAAATATTTACAATGTGTTGTGCACATTTTACAAAAGGTCGTGTTTGCCAACCCCCTGTCTTGTCTTAGTCCACATTCTGTTGCTATGACTGAATGCTGCAGTTTGGGTAATTTATACAGAATTGAGGTACCTTCACACTCTGGAGGCCGAGACATCTGAGAGGGAGATGCCAGCATCTTGGGAGGGCCTTCCTGCTGTGCCATGGCCTGGCAGGAGCCATGAGATGTGCCCTTCCTCACTTCCAGAGCCACCAGCCCCTTCGGGGGGGCCCCACCTTGATGACCTCATGGAGTCCCAGTTCCCTCTCAAAGGCCCCACCTCCAAATATCATTAACATGTGACTTAGGGGTTAAATTTCTAACACAAAATTCAGGGAACACAGTGAAATCAAAGCACATCCCCAGGCAGCTGCTACAAAAGTCAGAGCATCCTGGGCCCAGCTGGGCAGAGAGTCCAGCACTTGGAGCTCCAGGTTGTGGATGGGAATAAGAAAACAGTCCTCACACACAAAAGAAAGCTCATTCCAAGAATCAAAAGACAAAAAAATTGCAACAATCACAGAAAATATAATGCAGAATAAGGGTGTTGATATAAGACCTTACATACATGCTGTGTTACTGCTGTCAATAATGTAATCAATTTTCCTTTTACAACTAAAACATCACGGCATATACAAACCGATTCTAACTATACTCTTGGTTCATTTTCTGTTGCTTATAACAGAATATTTGAAGCTGGGTAATTTATTTAAAAAGGAATTTGTTTCTTACACCTACGGAGGCTGAGGAGTCCAAGGTTGGGGTCTGCATGTATTGAGGAACTGTGTGCTGATGGAGGCTTTGCCAAGTCAGAGGCGGCGCGGGAATTGCATGGTCACGGGCTGAATGCTAAGTGCTCACTCAGGTCTCTCTTCCTCCTCCTGGAAAGCCACCAGTCCCTCTTCCATGGCAACCCATTAGTCCATGAGTCCATGTGTGGCAGGACAAGCCACAGACAAAACCCCTCAGACACCGAGTTAAAGAAGGAAGGGTTTTATTTGGCTGGGAGCTTTGGCAAGACTCACGTCTCCAACAACCGAGCTCCCTGAGTGAGCAATTCCTGTCCCTTTTAGGGGCTTACAACACTAAGGGAGGCCGCATGAGAGGGTCATGATCAGTTGAGCAAGGAGAGGGTACAGGACTGGGGGCTGCATGCACTGGTAATCAGAACAGAACAGAACAGAACAGAACAGGACAGGGATTTTCACAATGCTTTTCCATACAATGTCTGGAATCTATAGATAACATAACCGATTAGGTCAGGGGTCGATCTTTAACCAGGCCCAGGGCGCAGCGCCGGGCTGTCTGTGTGTGGATTTCATTTCTGCCTTTTAGTTTTTACTTCTTTCTTTGGAGGCAGAAACTAGGCATAAGACAATATGGGGGGTGGTCTCCTCCCTTACATGGATGGAGGAATCCATTCATGAGCTTCCAGGATGCAGTCACCTCTTAAAGTCCTCCCTCAATGCTGCCATGCTGGGGATTAAGTTTCCACGAGATCTTTGGAGTGGACAGACATTCAAACCATGGCCACGCTACAGTGAAAATTTAAAACCAGCAGACCATCCATCTGCATTCGTTTTCTATGGTTGCTGTGACAAATCACCACACACTGTGATTTGCAGCAACACAAATCTATCATCTTTCTGCTCAGTAGGTTGGAAGCCTGATGCAGCTCCTGGGGGCTAAAGTCCAGCACTGTGAAGCTGCGTTCCCTTCTGGGCTCTGGGCAGAAGCTGCTTCTCAGGGTTTCCAGCTTCCCAAGGCGTTCACCATCCTGGGCTCCCGCCTCTCCTCCAGCTCCAGCAGCCCCTGAGCGCCCCTACGCTCCCCGTGTGGCTGCAGGGTCCTGTGGCTGCGCTGGGTCCATGTGGACAACCCAGTGTGGTCTCCCCTACATCAAGCATGTTGAGGAGCAACCTCCACTCCCTCCATCCGCAGCCTCAGCTCCTCTGCACAAACCCACACAAACACAGCTGCCAACCATCCAGAGAAGGGCATGTGTGGGGTGGCAATGATCTGCCTGCCCCATTGTCTTTGAGGTTATTTTAGGGGTTGGAACAATAAATCACAAATAATATGAATCTATGTACTGATTTCGCTACCTCTGTGTACTGTCTGCATCACTCTGGGTTTTCTGGCTAAACAAAGCCACTGTGAACATCACAACAGTCATGGGGTTTTCGTAGAAGGAATATGGGTTCAGGGGGCGTGGGAGAAGCGGGTGAGGGGGTGGCTGAGGCTCCGAGATTTGCTCCCAAGGATCACCCATGTGGGAGCTCTGGGAGCCTCTGAGGAACCCACCACTGGCCTCAAGGCATGAGGCAGACCAGAAGGTCCCGGATGCCCAGTTGGCTGTGGCCCCGCCTGGCGCCCTCCCTCCATGTCCCCGCAAGCCCCTTCCCTGAGCAAGGGCAGCAGAGAGTCCCTGGAGAGCAGCTCCTGGTGCCCCCTGTGCCGTGACTTCCCCGCGCCGTGACTCCCCCGTGCCGTGACTCCCCCCGTGCCGTGACTCCCCCCGTGCCGTGACCCCCCCCGTGCCGTGACCCCCCCCGTGCCGTGACTCCCCCCGTGCCGTGACCCCCCCCGTGCCGTGACTCCCCCCGTGCCGTGACCCCCCCGTGCCGTGACCCCCCCTGTGCCGTGACTCCCCCTGTGCCGTGACTCCCCCCGGGCCGTGACCCCCCCGGGCCGTGACCCCCCCGGGCCGTGACTCCCCCTGTGCCGTGACTCCCCCCGTGCCGTGACCCCCCCCGTGCCGTGACTCCCCCCGTGCCGTGACTCCCCCGTGCCGTGACCCCCCCGTGCCGTGACTCCCCCCGTGCCGTGACTCCCCCCGTGCCGTGACTCCCCCCGTGCCGTGACTCCCCCCGGGCCGTGACCCCCCCGGGCCGTGACTCCCCCTGTGCCGTGACTCCCCCCGTGCCGTGATTCCCCCCGTGCCGTGACTCCCCCCGTGCCGTGACTCCCCCGTGCCGTGACCCCCCCGTGCCGTGACTCCCCCCGTGCCGTGACCCCCCCGGGCCGTGACTCCCCCTGTGCCGTGACTCCCCCCGTGCCGTGATTCCCCCCGTGCCGTGACTCCCCCCGTACCGTGACTCCCCCCGTGCCGTGACTCCCCCGTGCCGTGACCCCCCCGTGCCGTGACTCCCCCCGTGCCGTGACTCCCCCCGTGCCGTGACCCCCCCTGTGCCGTGACTCCCCCTGTGCCGTGACTCCCCCCGGGCCGTGACCCCCCCGGGCCGTGACTCCCCCTGTGCCGTGACTCCCCCCGTGCCGTGATTCCCCCCGTGCCGTGACTCCCCCCGTGCCGTGACTCCCCCGTGCCGTGACCCCCCCGTGCCGTGACTCCCCCCGTGCCGTGACTCCCCCCGTGCCGTGACTCCCCCCGTGCCGTGACTCCCCCCGTACCGTGACTCCCCCCGTGCCGTGACTCCCCCTGTGCCGTGATTCCCCCTGTGCCGTGACCCCCCCCCCGTGCCGTGACTCCCCCCCGTGCCGTGACTCCCCCCGTGCCGTGACTCCCCCTGTGCCATGATTCCAGTCCACAGCCAAAACCCAGAGCGCTCAGAAAACACCTAACCACAGCCTGTGGGGGCCCCTGTGTGAAGGACACCATAGCTGACATACTCTCACCATCACAGGACAAGCTCCCTGGGCCCCAGCCTGGGTGGCCAGGGCTCCGGAACTCCACCAAACCCCAGCAGGGTCACCCGACCTGGGCCCCCCAGACCTCCTATTCTCAGGACATCAACCCCAGAGCACCCCCGGCTGTAAATGCTTTCTGCCCCTTAGGGAAGTGAATCCTCCCGGCCTCCGCACTGGGCCCAGGACTGCTTTTCTCAAGGACCTGGGAGCCGTCCCCCAAATTCTTATTGTGAACCCAAAATATCGAAGACAGGTCTCAACGAATTTGGAAAGGTTACTTTGCCAAGTTAAGGACAGGCCCGTGACAGCCTCGGGAGGTCCTGAGGACGTGTGCCCAAGGTGGCCGGGCACAGCTCAGTTTTACACGTTAGGGAGACGTGAGGCATCGACCCATATGTGTAAGAGGAACATTGGTTCGGTCCGGACAACTCCACAAGGGGAGGGGGACATTCCGCAAGGGATTTCCTAGTGGGCAAATTGTGAGAGGTATGTAGGGTTTTTTTAAATCTTTGCAGCTATTTTATTTAGAAATAAAATGGGAAGCAGGTTTGCCTGACGCAGTTTCCAGCTTGACTTACCTTTGCTGAGTGATTTTGGGGTCCGGAAACGTATGTTCCGTCCATCATGAAGGGCCCCAGCCTATCCCATCACAGTGAGGGGTGGGGCATGACCTGGAGCCGCAGTTGGCAACGGGAGTGGCTTTAGCACCCCGACCACCCTAACATCTTGCACTGTCTGGGGGCTCCCCGGGCTCAGCAACACCCACCTCTGTGGCTGGGAGCTGGGCTCAGCCACATCCCTGCAACTTCTCCGGGACACCGCCATCCAGCTACGCCAAGGCCTGACGGCGGCTCCATGTTTCCTGCCAATGGCGGTGCTATTAATTTGTGAGTAAAAATGCGTCATCGTACGTGTCTAAAACTTGATGGGGAGATTCTAGTCACATAAATTCTATTATTTGGAAGAAATATTATATAATTAAAGATGGACTATTCACTTTTAAAACTTCCTCGGAGAAATCAGTGATCAGAATTCCACAGTTGAATAATTAAAGCTGAAGACTAATATTGGAATGATGGATTTGTACTGAGACATAAAACCATATATCCACCAGATTCAAATACCCAAAAAGAATACACTTAAGAACTATTTTACAGTTGATAGATCCATATATTTTGCAAATTGAATGGCTGTAGAAATTTTTATGCAAATATAAATTGCAAAGTTGAAGAAGTTCATTTCTAGGGGAAGTCAGGAACTTTCTGAGGAAACTGCTTCAGACACCTTCCACGGCTATGACTCTATAATGTGAAAATAATGGCCGTTGATGGAAAATCCGTGCCTTTAATGACAGGCAATTTTATGTCTGTGCTGCCTTTTGCAAAGGTGGTCCTTTTCTCTTTAGAGTTCTTTAGGTTCTTTTTTTTTTTTTTTTTTTTTTTTGAGACACAGTCTCGCTCTGTCGCCCAGGCTGGAGCGCAGTGGCGTGATCTCAGCAAGCTCCGCCTCCCGGGTTCACGCCATTCTCCTGCCTCAGCCTCCCGAGTAGCTGGGAATACAGGTGCCGGCCACAACGCCTCGCTAATTTTTTTTGTGTGTGTTTTTTTTAGTAGAGACGGGGTTTCACCGTGTTAGCCAGGATGGTCTCGATCTCCTGACCTCGTGATCCGCCTGCCTCGGCTTCCCAAAGTGCTGGGATTACAGGCGTGAGCCACTGCGCCCGGCCTAGAGTTCTTTAGTTTCTTTAGATTTCTTTATGTTCTTATAGAGTAAGCAGAATTGTATACCAAATCCAATAACAGATAACAATTTTTTTAAATGCCTTCAAATTAGGTTTCATAGCAGTTTGAGGAAAAAATAATTTCTCTTTAAAACTGAACAGACATAGAAAAAAGAAAATTAAGCCTCTTGTTTCCCTGCCTGAAAGTGTGGGTCAAATTCTTCTGTTTATCTGTCCACGCTCCCCACAGAGTTCAGTTAACTGACATTTTAAGTATACACTTGTAAAATAGGGTGTAATTTTTGTGAGGAGCAGGCTTTTACATCCGTGGTAGTTTCTCCTGCTGTGGATGGTGAGGAGCCCCCTGCACACCTCAAAGGGCCTGAGTCAATGCAAAGACCGGCCCTCGCTTCCTTCCTCCAGGAAAGAGAAAATCATCGCCTTTGCAAAAGACAACAGAGACAGAAAATTGCCTGTCATTAAATCCACGGTTTTCCCATCAACGGCCATTATTTTCACATTATGTAATTATAGGCTTGGAAGGGATCTGAAGAAGTCTCCTCAGAAGGTCCCTGATTGTCCAAAGAAATGAACTTCAATTTAACAACTCTGCCCCCGTCGATTGTCATTATAAGAACCTATTTACATCCCTATTCACATGCAAATTTAACAATCCAATAGCATCTTTCTCTTGCAGATACAGAAAGCTCACATTTGCCATCACTCCCCTTTACGAATCGCTTCACCCTCTGACCAGATCCCCTCACAGTCACTTTCTAGAACTCATTCTGGTGCCAGCTATCTTTATGGACAGAAAACTACATTTTGAAATCAAATCAAGTGTGTTCTATTTTCCATCCAAATAAATCTGGAGCACTTTCTGCCTCTTTGGATGCTCTCTTAAAACTACCTTTTAGCTATGCCATAGCACACAAATTCAAAATGCCTTCAAATGTTGAATCATCTTTTATTGTGTTTTTGTGTTGTTAAGTTGATGAATCCTTACGAACGTAAAATAAAAAGGCAATGGATACAGTTGAAGGAGAGTTTGGGTTCTTTGTGAGGAGTGAAGGTTCTGAGTTATCTGACATCTCCCTTTGACGCTTTGCACGAGTACTTTCCTACGCGTAATAAATATAGACGAACCCACGGCAAACTTTGCCAGACTCTGCCATCCTGAAGACGTAGTCCCAAAGAGGAAACCACACTCCCTCTCGGGCTTTCACCCAGGCTTGGCCCACAAACCTTACAGACGGCCACAAAAAACACACGCACATGCACACACATATACAGACATACACACACGCACAATTCCCTTGCACACACGCACACACAGGTATATACACACAGGTATATACACACATGCACACACAGGTATATACACACACGTACACACAGGTGTATATACACATGCACACACAGGTATATATACACACACAGGTATATACACACACGCACACATAGGTATACACACACACACAGGTATATACAAACACACAGGTATATACACACATGCCCACACAGGTATATACACACATGCACACACAGGTATATACACACATGCACACACAGGTATATACACACACATACACACAGATATATATACACGTACACACAGGTATATACACACATGCCCACACAGGTATATACACACATGCACACACAGGTACAGACATGCACAAACACACACATGTACACACATACACTCAAATGCACTACACCACTGCACACATGCACACACGGGCATATATACAATGCACACACATACACACATGCACACAAAGGCACAGACATGCATAAACACTTCCATACACATGTACACATATGCACACACATAAACATGTGCACTACACCCCTGCACACATGCACACACATATACAGACATGCACACAAGCACACACAGGTAAATACACATGCACACACATACACACATTCACTGCATCCCTACACCCCTGCACACACAGGTATATATACACAGGCATACACATGTACAGACATGCACACAGGCATCATATGTACAGACATGCACAAGCACTCCCACACACATGTACACACATGCACACACATACACACATACACTACACCCCTGCACACATGCACACAGAGATATATACACCTGGGAAGGGGCTGGGGGACAGACTCTGTCCAGCAGGGGTGTGTGGGCTCCTGGAGCAAGCCCTGGAGTTGGGCCCAGGCCGTCTGAGCTCACACTCTGAGTTGACCCCACAGGACTGAGAGCAGCCTGGACCCTGCCTTCTCTGGCCCTAAAGACAGAAGTGTTTCTACCATGAGATCATTGTGAGGTACAAATAAAATGGTGAATGTTCTTTAATTCCCATAGAGCATTTTGGTTCCTAAGAACAAGAGCTAGCCGTCACCGTTGATCACTGTGTGCTGTTTGCGGGGTCTTGCTTTTCACACCAGCATCCTCAGGAGATAGGTACCATGTCTCCCCGCTTATTGGATAGAAAACTGAGGCATGCGAAAGAAACGTCACTGTTCAAAGATCTATGATTAATAAAGCGGCAAATCAATCCTTAAATCCATGTGGATGTGCAATGCCAATGCCCATGTTCTTATTCTTAGCATAACCTAAAAAATGAGAGCTTATAATAAAGCACATACAATTTTAAACTTAGATGGCAGCTGAGTGTCTTTGGAAAACATATAAGTAATTACTGGAAGCAGATCACATCAATATAGAAATTACGATGTTAAAATTCTCCAGAGAATCCCCTTGACACCAAGGCTGGCACCTGTCCTGTTGAGGCTCTTGGAACACATCAGTGGTTACATTTTTGTTACGACTTTCACTTTATGGTTACAGATGCACACGAAAGAACTGTTTTCGTTCCTTGAGACCATGAGATTAGCCTTGTCATTCTAACGTTATATCCCCATTATGATGCCATTCTAAACTAGATCTGGAAATTATTTCTTCATTATTTACAGAGACAGATTTCCCCACCTATTTGAAACTGCAACCGAAACTTCTCAGTGCCTTCAGCAATTTCTATCTCGGTACTTGGTGAACAGGGGGAGGTTAAGACACCTTTTCTGCTCCTACTCATTTATTCAAAAGCCAGTATTCACAGTTGATTTATGGGATCATGGGCAGCTCTTGGTCAATGTAACAGGGAACAGTCCAAAGGTGAACTGAACCCATGAAATCTGAGAGCCCATCAGAAAAGACTCACTGGACAAATAAGTAAGTAAAACACAAAAATATTGCCAACCTGAACCCAACATGATGAAAGGCAGGAGAGTAACCCTGGGAGCTGCCACCCACAAGGAAGCGTCTCCTTCTCCATCCACTCCCAACCATCCTGCATCAGCCACAATCATACTGACAAACTCACATGACCTGAGAACTGTCACTGTGTGGTTCATCAGCATCAAATAGTTCTTCTTGAGGGATCCATTCAAAGTCCTGGGCCTCCCTGACACCCACGCCCCAAGCCGGTTCTCATCAGAGGCAGAACCACACCCAGGTGAGGCCTGAACACCCGACCCGTGATGTGTTGCACCTTCCAAGCCAGCAAATCCCACTCAAGGTGCAAACGTCCTCCCTTCCTCCATGAACCATTTATGAACTCCAAATTGAGCCACGTATCTCCTCCCTATGGGCTCTTATTTAAGCATTCACTGCTGTTTATTATACTTTTTTCAGGATTTTACAGAATTTAAAAACAAAACAAAACATGGACTTAAGTAGAACCGGTGCTGATGAAGCAACTTTAATACCCATGACGCCAGTGACTGTGAACTAAGCCTCTGGAGTTTCAGGGCTCACAGACATTTCAACCTGAGTAAATTCAGACCTAGCCACACCCTCCACCCACGCCTGTGCCCCAGGCCAGAGCTCACATCCCAGTGACCCGCAGGTCCCTCTGCTGTAATCAGAAAGTCCCCATAGCTCCCTTTAACTTTGTTTTAAAGCACCAGTGACTGGCATGTCCATCAGCTATAATCTAAAAGTCTCCATAGCTCCCTTTAACTTTGTTTTAAAGCACCAGTGACTGGCATGTCCATCAGCTATAATCTAAAAGTCTCCATAGCTCCCTTTAACTTTGTTTTAAAGCACCAGTGACTGGCATGTCCATCAGCTATAATCTAAAAGTCTCCATAGCTCCCTTTAACTTTGTTTTAAAGCATTTTTGTCCATTCCAGCAGCAGACCCTCCTAACTCTTCTTCCCAGATGCATCACAAATACATCCTTACTGTGCCACTGCCCCAATCCAAGCTCAGGAGACCCATCTCCTCCCTGGACTGCGACACTCTCTTTCTCTCTGTCCTCCCTATTTCCACGATTAGCCCCTGCAACCCAAAGCAACAGCAATGATTTTCAAGCACAGATCAATTCATGATTCATCCACGCAATCTCCAGAGAAAGCTCCAATTTCCTCTGTTATCTGTGGCTGGGTTGAGGTCAAGCCTGGCTCCTGCCTCCACTTCCCTATCTCAGCCCCGCCCTGGCCTCACTGCCTCCACCAGCGCCCACATGATCTGAGCTCAAGCCTGGCTCCTGCCTCCACTTCTCCCATCTCAGCCCCACCCTGGCCTCACTGCCTCCTCCAGTGCCCACATGATCTGAGCTCAAGCCTGGCTCCTACCTCCACTTCTCCCATCTCAGCCCCACCCTGGCCTCACTGCCTCCTCCAGCGCCCACATGATCTGAGCTTGTCCATGCTTCCAGCTCATTGTACCCCTGTGTTTTGGAGTATCTGTGGCTTCTCAGCTTTTCTGAGTTAAACATGTGGCTTTGCAGAGACCTGACTGCCCTATCCAAAAGGACCCATGTTCTCACCCACTCCAGTTCTTTTCTTCTGCATAAGATTTACTCCAATTTTAAAAAACTTTATCTTCATTGTTACTTTCTGTTTTGTTCTATCTCTTCTGACAGGCTGCATATTCAATGAGAGTACAGTGTTTACTTTTGTAAACAGAGTTCCTGGCCCAGAACAGGTTAACAGATATTCATCAAAAGAAAGCAAGAGCCAGGCCTCACTCACTAAGCTAAAAGGAAATGTATAAAACAAACCAGAATAAAGTGGAAGGAATCACTCTACCCAATTTCAAAACATTATATTGCTGCAGCAGAAATCAAAATTCTGCAGTACTTGTGGCAGGATGGACACATAGGTCAATTGGACATCTATAGGTGAAAAAAAAAAGAAAGAAAAAAAAGAAAAGGAAAGAAAAGAAAAAGGAGAGAAAGAAGATCAACCTAAACCCCACACCTAATATATCAACTGTAAATGGATCAAGACTTAAATTTAAATCTGAAAACCATACAGCCTTTTAAAAACAACACAGGAGAGAATCTCTGGGATCTGGGTCCTGGCAGAGTTCTTAGACCTGACACCAGAAGCAGGATTCCTAAGATAAGAAATTAATGAACTGGATCTCCTCAAAATTAAACATTTTGCTCTGCAAAAGCCCATATAAAGAGGATTAAAAGACAGGATACAGACTGGGGGAAAATATATTTGCAAAGAACAAAAAAGGAGCAGAACTTTAACATAGAAAGAATTCTCACAACTCAGCAGTTTAGAAAAATGCAATCAGAAACTGGGAAAAAAAGCATTAACAGACATTTCACTGAGGAGGATACACAGATGCCAAGGAGGGTGTGGAAAGATGCCCCAATCCTCAGCCTGTAGGAGAATACAGATCAAACGGGCAATAAGCTGTGGCCACACATCTATCAGAGTGGCTAAAATTAAAAACATAAAATAGTGACAACATAGAACGCTGGTGAGGATGCAGAGACACTGGAGCACTCAGCAGGTCGGGGGAGGTGAAGTTGCAGAACCACGCTGGAAAGCATGAAATAATGATACAGCCCAGCTAGTGCATTTGGGAGCATTTGTTCTGAAGAAATGAAGACTCAAATTTCCAAAAAAGCCTGTAGAATCTCTGGGAAAATGTCCTAAGGGGCAGAAAATGTACAATGTCTTTATCTTTGTATCATCAATACAGAGACCAATGCCTTGAAGTGGTGTCTATGTAAATGCTTGCTACGTGAAAGACTCATTTACAAATAACAAGGAACAAGGGTGAAAGCCCTGAGGACCTGGATGTGCCGAGTGCTTCTGGTTTAATTCTCACAGCACCCTGGAAAGGTACTTACAGTCAAGTTCATGATAAAAATGAGGCCATTGGGGTAAAATAAAGCACCTTGCCTAATGCGACATAGTGACCATCTGCTCTGGAGTGAGCAGCTGGTCAGTGCAGCACTAACGCACCATCTCTTCCCAGTCCAGCACTCAGCCTCCACACCAGAAGGTCCTCAGAAATGAGGAAGGCAAATAGAAAGCAAGTGGTTCACTGCTAAGGAAAGTAAGTTATAAACAATATCAAACAAAGCGCTCAGACATGCGTAATTCTGGCACAAGGCTTAGGGTAAGGTGTGATGTTTCCCCATTGGGTTCGAAGAAACAGCACTCACTGGTTCCTCACTGACATCCTTCATTCTGATAATGCAGATTCCCTTCCTTGTGCTGCTGACTGCTCAATTTAGGAAGATCTCTTCCTTGATTTAGGAAGCTGTCAGTGCACACAAAGCAATCTTGTGTACTACTATGAATATGCCCAAAAGAACAGTGTGAGAAATAATAGGATCCTAATTATATGTTCTTTGGTAGATGGTGACACATAAATACAAAATCAGTCCCCATTTCCACCTGCCTATAGAATATATCCCTTCACTGATAACTGTTCTTCAGCAGTACCTAGGTTATTTAAGTACGAATATACTGCTACATATTGTTGATGATTTCTTATTGTTTTTGTTGCTTGTGCTTTGGGCATCATGTCTAAGACAGTAAGATATTATCCAATATCTCTGTTTTTTTTTTCTAAGCCTTTTATGGTTTTACCTCTTATTTCATGTCTTTGATCCATTTTGAGTTGTTTTGGTAGAAGGTGTGAGATACAGGTCTACTGTCATTCTTCTGCGTCTGGATAACTGGGTGTTCCAGCAGTATCTGTTGAAGAGACTGTTCACTGTCAGGGCCGTGCTGGCAACAAAAACAAACAATCAAATACAAATTTATCAAAACTAAAACCTTTTTGGTTTTTGCATCAAAGGACACCATTAGTAAAGTGAAAAGACAACCCACAGAATGGGAGAAAATGTTTGCAGATTGTGTATTTGAAGAGGGTCTAGTGTTCAAAATATATAAAAAGACTCCTGCAACTCAAAAATAAAAAGACAACCCAATTAACCAATGGGCCAAGGACTTGAATAGACATTTCTCTGAAGAAGATATACAAACAGTCAACAAGAACATGAAAATATGTTCAATGTTAAGGAAATACCAATCAAAACCACAGTGAGACACCATTTTACAACCACCAGGGTGGCAATAATAGTAATTATAATTATAATAATAAAAGTGAGGCCAGCTGCAATGGCTCCCGGCCCAGCCGCAGTGGCTCACACCTGTGATCCCAGCACTTTGGGAGGCCAAGGCAGGCGGATCACTTGAGGTCAGATACAACAGCAGCCTGGCCAACATGGCAAAACTCTGTCTCTACTAAACATACAAAATAAATAAATAAATAAATAAATAAATAATAAAAATTAGCTGGGCATGGTGGCAGGCACCTGTAATCCCAGCTACTCAAGATGCTGAGGCAGGAGAATTGCTTGAATCCAGGAGGCAGAGGTTGAAGTGAGCTGAGATCGCACCACTGCACTCCAGCCTGGACGACAGAGTGAGACTCCACCTTAAAAAAACTAATAAATAAAGCTGGACGCAGTGGCTCACACCTGTAATCCCAGCACTTTGGGAGGCTGAGTGGGGTGGATCATGAGGTCAGGAGATCGAGGCCATCCTGGCTAACATGCTGAAACCCCATCTCTACCAAAAATACAAAAAAATTAGCCAGGCGTGGTGGTGGGCACCTGTAGTCCCAGCTACTTGGGAGGCTGAGGCAGGAGAATGGCATGAACCTGGGAGGCGGAGCTTGCAGTGAGCCAAGATCGCGCCACTGCACTCTAGCCTGGGTGACAGAGTGAGACTCCATCTCAAAAATCATAATAATAATAAATAAAATAATAATAATAATAATAATAATAATAATAATAAAACTGTTGATGAGAAACAGGAGCCCTCGTACCTCACTGGCTGGAATGCAAAGTGACTCAGAGACTGGTAAACAGTGACGTGGTTCCTCAAAAAGTTAAACACAGAATTCCCATGTGACACAGTAATCCCACTTCTAGGTATATATCTAAGAGAAATGAAAACATATCTGCACAGAAAAATGTACCCAAATTATAGCCACGTTATTTATAATATCCAAATGGTAAAAGAACCCACACATTCATTAGTGGATGCATGAATGAATAATTAAGATACATATGTACAGAGGAATACTGTTCAGTTATAAAAAAGATTTAAATAGTATACCTGCCACAGAGTAAATGAACATCAGAAACATGGCAAGTGAAAGAGATCAGACACATCTCATTTGATGCTTTGCATATCTGCAGAGACAGAAAGAAGATAGTAGGTGCCGAGCCTGGAGGAGGCAAATGGAGTCACGGGTCCAGGGTGTGCTGGGCTGATGAAAACTCGTGAAACTCGAGGGAGATGGTGGCTGTAGGACACTGGACACTGTAAAGTGGATAATTGTGTCTTTTATGAACTCAATTTCAATTAAAAAAAACAAAAGAAGTGGCAAATGGTGAAAAGAATTTTCTGTGAGAAAAAGAAGTTGATGAATGTTATAAAGGCTCTGGTGTTTTTAAAAATAAGAATGGTAGAATGAATCAGTGCTTTCAATTATGTAAATGTGTACATGATTTAAAAGTAAACATTTAAAGATTAACCATTAACAGAGACAGACGTGGATGGAGACACAGGACACAGGTTTGGGGGAGAAGACCCTTCTTCCGGCGTGGTGGACTGTGCAAGGCTCTGATGTGTGGACACCAGAAGCTCCGTGGCTGGCTTCTCAGCCTCCACGTTCTCTTGTAGAGCAGCAGCATCTGTGAATTTTCACAAAGTGGAGCTCCTGAAAGAGACCGGGCAAATGGGAACTAAGGAGGAAAAAACGAAAGGCGGACACACTCAGTGACCTCTGGGGCAGGTGAGCGGTGGCCTCACCTGACACCCGCCCGCGGGGATGCACCCAGCATGAGGTAGGGAGCTCGGCGTCGTAAGCTCTGACTCTCAGATCAGTGGGCACTAGAACTACGAACGCTTATTCATTAGGAATAAAAGTGTCCCAAGCGGGACTTTCTCAGCTGAGAGAAATGCTCCGTGTCTTGATGGGAATGTGAGTTTGTCGGCGGCCGCGTTGCCAAAGTCACTGAGTCACGCACAGAAGCACTGAGCATCTCACTGCGTGTAAATTCTGTCTCCACAACTGAGCAAGGGCTGAACACTAGTCACCTGTTTTGTGCAGGGGAGTGAGTTAGCAATTCTGAAGCCATCTTGTTTAACACAGGGGAAGTATCTTGAGGGGAGTGGTCTGTCTCTGACTGCTGGGGAGGACGTGGACATGCGTGGACTACGTTACATCGGAGAAGTTTCAGCCTCCTAAACGCCTATCATCTGGCTCTGCCCACTGAGAGGGCCCAAGAGCATCGAGCTCGCCAAGGGTCCGGAGCTTGGTTTCCAAATCTCATTCTCCACTGACGAGAACCAGGGTCCCGGAGAAAGAGCCGAGTCCAAGACCGAGGCGGGGGAGCCTTGATGCCTTAGAGAGTGAGAAAGTCTTCAGAGAACGCTGGTGCGCGTTCAGAGACACTTAAACAGCTCAAAGAGGCTCCCATCAGCCAGAGCTGGGACCATTTTACAGCCAAACTGAGTGACCGTAGTAAAGTATTGTGATAATTAACACGATAAAAATCCATGAGTTTAGCCTGGTGTGGTGGCACCGTGGAGGCCAGAAGATCCCTTGAGCCCAGGAGTTTGAGGCCAGCCTGGGCATCCAGCCAGACCTGTCGCTACAAAAAGGAAAAACAAAAAAGACTCTATAAGTCTATACTGATATAATTGAAACAAATAAATAAGTGGTGTTAGTAAGTGACTGATTAAATAAATAAATGAAAAGGAAAAGTTTTCACTCACAGCAGAATGACAGCAAATAAATATAGAAGGAACGGGTGGTGAGTTTAGAAAATCATGAGTGAAAAGAAACAGGACAAAAAGTATCTTCCCACGAGTTACTCACTTATTAGTTACAAATGGAAATGTTATAACTTTGGTGGAGAAAACTGGCCAACAGCCCCTTAACCACGTGATCAAAGTCAGCATCAGCATGGAGGCAGGACCGCCTCGCCTGCACCGGGGTATTAACAGGAAGCCTGGAGAGGCCACTGGGGCTTCAGCGTGCTGCTGCTGCACAGACAACACCTGCATGGGACGTGGAGGAGGCATCAGCAAACCCAGATTGAGGGGGCTGGAAGAAATCACTGGGCTGAACTCGGAGTGTGTCAAGGTAGGAGAGATAAAGACCTCCCGAGGAGCTGCTCCAGGTGAGAGAGGGCGGCAGGTGCGACCACATAGCAGACGGCAGGTACAACCACACGTGCAGCAGGTGACCCTGCCCCGGGTCTTCTTCCAGGACTCTGAAAAGAGAAGCTGTCAAGGGTATTGTTGTGTTTTAATAAATTGGACACTAGATAATACAGTACTTAATTCAGTATATAGATAATGGATTTGATCATAGTATTGCATTACAATTAAATTTCCCAATACTGATAACTGTGCTCAGGCTGTCAGGAAATACACAATGAAGTATCTAAAAATTAGAGAACCACTATGTCCACAACTTACTATCAAATGGATCAGAAAAAGATAGATAGATAGATAGATAGATAGATAGATAGATAGATAGATGATTAGATAGATTAGATAGATAGATAATGTGATGGGGCAAAATGTACCAGTTGATGTGTCTGGGTAACACATTGTCTACAGTTGTAAAAATTATTCTTATAACATTTCCATAAGTTTGATATATCAAAATTTCAAAAATACAAATAATTTCATCCTCCAAAAATGGCAACAATAAATGAAGGAATGAATAAATCGAACTTGAGTAAAAGTTTACTTTTATTTATGAAAAGACATATGAGAGTGAGAAAGCAAGGCGATGTCTGTGTGCATGTGTGTTACAAAAGAGTTGTCCACGTAGCTCATAAATATATAAGCAGCTTTGCACCACCCATGGACATAGAAATTGGTGCAACCACTTTGGAAAAGTGTTTGGTGATATCTACAATGGAGAAACACACACACATACACACATACACACACATGCACTTGTGAGTTAGTAGTTCCACTACTCCCAATATAAATGACTGCTATGCCCACCAAAATACAGACACAAAAATGTTTATAGCAATTTTATTGATAAGAGCTAAAAAACTAGAAAGAATCTAACTGTTCAGCTGTAGTTAAATGGATAAATATGTTGCATAATGGAATATTATGTTGCAACAGAAAATATAACAAACTGATTACACTGCAAAACTATGAATCTCACTGCTATAATGTTGCTTGACAGAAGCCAGAAGCAAGATAATACATATGATAACATAAGATATGTATTCATATGAAATTCAAAATAGAAGTGAAATGAATCTTCAGAACAGGTTGTGGTGATGTTTGCTCCCAGGGCTGCTGGCTGGGAGGGAGCAGGGATCAGCCTTTGTGGTAGATGTGTTTAGTATCTATACCCAGGTAGTGTGCACACAGTTGTGTATATGGGGAAAATCCACTGAGCTTCATGTTTGAAATTTGTGGTCATTGCTTTATGTAAATGATACTTCAATATATAGAAAACTAAAATTAAAGATAAGGCATCCTTAATGTAATGCCATAGAATGGTGACACATAGAACAACTAGGGCATGATAACTATGTTTCATTAATTTTTCATATTTCTCTCATCATAATACATAATGATTTCATGGCATTTCATTTTATGCATATGCCATAACATTTTTGATAATTGCCTGTTCTTGAATATTTAGTTTATTTCTAATATTTCATTTCCAATAGTTTCTCTAAATAAACACTTGATCAATTGTCGCCTCTGTTACAAAATCTCACCGTACATGGTTTTTTTTTTTTTTTTTTTTGAGGCAAGGTCTCACTCTGTCAGCTAGGCTGGAGTGCAGTGGTGTGATCACAACTCACTGTAGCCTCGACCTCCTGGGTTCAAGCGATCCTCCCGCCTCAGCCTCCTGAGAAGCTGGGATGTCAGGAGCACGCCGCCATGCCTGGCTATTTTTTTCTTATTTTTGTAGAAACAGAGTCTCATTATGTTGCTTAGGTTGGCATGCTTATTCTTTTGGTAAAATGCCTGGTTGTTAAATTGCTGAGCACATGGTAGGAACCATGCTAAAGTTGTTCTAATGCATTCAAAATGTCTTCTATCAAAATTGTGTACTAATTTATGTTCCAGCATGACAGCCCCTGAAGCATTCTGATTATGGAGACTCTGTTCCTCTCCCCACCACACAAGCTCTTTTCATCTTCCACTTTTCAGTTTCCAGTATCACATGTGGGTCACTTACTTGGCCCACCCACATAGGTATTAATAATGTATTTATGGCCCCAACTTTTCCTAAAGGGCTCATATTTAATGTCCAACCACGTGGATGACGTTCACCAGCTGACACCGGAGGGGGTTGATGTTGACGCCTCTTATTTCTCTTCCTCCTCCTCATCCTCTTCCTTGTCTTGCCCCTTCGTGTTGCTATGGCAAAATAATATTCAAGGCAGTGTGACCTTGTGAAGTAACCAATATAATAAATCGGGCTGAAAAATCCAATCTAATTTATAGATGACCAATCAATGCACACATACTTTTCAAGCAAACATTTATAACTCTCTTCAATGAGAAAAGTTTTTTTGGCAAAAAAACCTTTGGCAAAAATTTAATAATGTTCATATTCACTTCATTTTCCTGAAGAAATAAAGGTCATAAGCATTCCCACAATATATCCCTGAGCCTACTGCTGGTAATAAATCAGTATTCTGGTAAGTCTCCAAACTTCTAAACCATAGAATAGACCAAGATTTAGGATTGAAAATAAGTTTTTCCATTGCATTTTGAAAAAAATAATTCACACGTGCAAGGATGGCATAGAAGGCCTTTGTGACAGAGCCACTGTTTAATCCCCAGCCTCATCTCCATGACCAGGGCCTGCTGCCCCTCCACCACCCAACACACCCACCCCAGCAGCCACTTCAGTGTCCTGGTGTCTTCTTGGGATGGTCTGCCCCTTCCACCCTCTATCCCACACCTGTCGCCTCTTCATTTGTAGAAGGAGTTATTTCAGGCCCCACCTAGAATAACCTTCTTCAGGAACCCCTTCCCACCCCAAGGCCTCCCCTCCTCCTCCCCTCATCCCCAGGGCTCACTGACCTCTGTGCAGCTGTCCCATCCCTGTCATCGTGGCTGTACTGTGGGGGCCCAGCCACGAAGTCAGCCTCACTGGCCCCACGGACCCTGCCGCTTCAGAGACCCTCACACGGAGGAGATTTGTCTCTAAAAAGACGTGGAGAGCTCCCTCCTGAAACTGCTTTTGAGCTGCCTCTAAGGAGCAATGTGACCTTGATCAAAGGGCTGCCTTGGCCTCTAGAAAGGAGGAGTGTGGAACTGAGGAGGCCTAAATCCCCTTCCCCGTGTCATGGTTTCCAAGGAGGACGAACAAGCTCCCCCCACACCCTTAACCCTGCTGCGTGTCCCCCACGCTGTACCTCGGTGTCACCACGTTTGAAAGACAGCGTAGATCTGCCTGCAATCACACAGGCTTCTGCTGACGCTGGCCTAAAAGTGATCACAGCGGCAGTCCCGACCCGATCCGCCGGCCCCAGCTTTCACAGCTTCAGCACTTGACGGCTTCACGAGGGATCCCATTAAGCTGTTGCTGCATGATAGATACCCAATATATTTTTACCAAATGAGTCAATTTGAATAATAATCTAGACTTGAGGTTAAATGAAAGCACAGAAAGGGTCAAGAATTATTAAAAGAACAGTTATCAAATGTTATAGAAATTCACCATTCAAGGAACGGGGGAGGTGGGAGAAAAGGTGCAGAATCCTTGTAAGTCTTTTTAGGACTGAAAGTCGAGAAAGCTAAAGTGAGGTGGTCATGCATCCATCTAGTGGCCAGGCTCAGTAACAGGAAAATTCCCCTCAGTCCCTACAGCAAGGTGATTCTCAGGGAAATCATTGGGTTCCTGAATCCCACGAATAATCAGTGATGGCTAGGTTATTTTTCTAATTATTGATTATTACAATAGTAACAAAAATTAGTTAATAGAGAATAAATCTAAGTAAGTTGAAAAGATATAAACAAATGATTAAAGGAAAATTATGCATTCCTTAATCGTGTTTTGAAATAAAAGCTAAAATAAAATACACCATGATCATTGTTCCCTATGGATTAATAGTTTATAATATATTTTACTCGGCTCACAAATGTGCCAAGCAAGACCGAGGAAGGCCAGACACTTTGCCTGAAGCCACACAGGAGCTTAAGGAACTCACGCAGGGTCAAGTAAAAAAGCAATGGAGCTGGGATCCAAAGCCAGAATTAGGCAACTTACACCACCAACTCGGGGGTTTGATGTAATAAGAGACGAGGTTAAGTTGAGTTTATTTATTATGCTTCACATGCTTCCAGCTGCATCTGAAAGGTGAGGGTGCATGGGATGGAAGAGGATCTAGCGGGTGGACGTGATCACAGCAGCTGCATCTGGAAGGCGAGGGTGCATGGGATGGAAGCAGATCTGGTGGGTGGAGGTGAGGACTACTGCAGCTGCATCTGGAAGGTGAGGGTGCATGAGATGGAAGATCTGGTGAGTGGACATGAGCATCCTGGGTATACTGAGTAAACTCAGCCAAGGATGCACTGCAGGAGGTGAGGAAGCTGACTGTGGTTTGGACGTGGTTTGCCATCTCCACCAAGTTCCATGTGAAACGTGATCCTCAATGTGTTAGTGTTTGGAGGTGGGGCCTGGTGGGAGGTGTTTACATCCTGGCAGGAGGTGTTTATGTCCTGGGACTGAATCCTTCTTTGTGAGGTATTGAGTGTGGCTTCACTCTCAGAGACTGGACTGGCTCCCACTGGAACTGTTGTTACAAGGTGCAGATTCTCCTTCTGCTTGGTCCTCTCCACATCTGTTCACTTCTCCTCTGACCTTCTCCATCATGTTATGACCCAGCTCAGAAACCCTCACAGGGAGCCAAGGCCAGGCCCTTGAACTTCTCAACCTGCAGAACAGTGAGCTAAATAAACATTTTTTCTTATAAATTACCCAGTCTCAGGTAATTCTCTTATAGTCACACAACAGGGAGATGGAACACGCCTGACGGGCCTGCCTCTGTGCCAGAGCAAGGTTTGGGCAGCTCGGGCCACCTGCACAGCCATGCAACCAGGGTCCCTTGAGCATGCAGGCAGGCCCTGAGGATGAAGTGTTGACAGAGACCAGCGACTTCTGTCTTTGGCCTTGAACAATTTCTCACCCTGGGTCCTCATTTCTTCTCTACAAATTCCCCTGGTACTGTGTTCACTTACTGCCCTGACCATGCTCCTCCAACCATTAAACCGCTACCCAGCTGGTTTCCCCTAAGCAATCTGGGGTTTATTCTCTGCTTTGCAGAATCCTTGATGTCCAGCGATGCTTCCGGTTCTCCTTCTTCTGGGCACCTGTTAAAACTGCACTCTTCTGCCCCCTTGAGGTTGTGCCGGGGCATTTGACTTGCCTTAGCCAGTGAAAAGTGAACTCTGCCATCGCTGGGAAGAAACCAGCAAGAGCCGAGTTCTTTGTCTCATCAGAGACACCAGACACGTTCTAGACCTTTGCAGTCCAGTATAGGAGACACCAGCCACATGTGGCTATTTAAATTTAAATTCATTAAAATGAAATAGAATTAAACATTCAGTTTCCCGGTTGCATTTGTCACAGGTCAAACGCTCAGAGCCATATGTGGCTCGAGGCTGCCATGTTGCACAGTGCAAATCCACAGAGCGTTTCATCCAATGGTATTGCCCTTGAAGGTGGGCATTCCACAGCCCGCGGCCCTGACGAGGGAAATGCACAGAGCCTCCTCCTGACCCGCAGCGCACATGTGGTAAGAAACAGAGCACACTTATTGTTAAAGAAACTAATATTTTGGAGTTTTTGTGTCAGTAGGACAATCTATTCTATCCTGTGTGTTGCAAGTTTCTCCCAAATTGCTAAAAAATAAAAGAGTAGCTCAAAGCCATACAAAAAAAAAGATAAAGAACATTGGCAAAGTAATCACATAGGTAAATATAAAAGCCAGCATCCACTGGGTATGGTGGCTCATGCCTGTAATCCCAGCACTTTGGGAGTCTGAGGTAGGTGGATCACAAGGTCAAGAGTTCAGCCTGGCCAAGATGGTGAAACCTGGTCTCTACTAAAAATACAAAAAATTAGCCAGGCGCGGTGGCAGGAGCCTGTAATCCCAGCTACTCAGGAGGCTGAGGCAGGAGAATCGCTTGAACTCAGAGGGCGGAGGTTGCAGTGAGCTGAGATCGCACCACTGCACTCCAGCCTGGGCGACAGAGTGAGACTCCGTCTCAAAAAAAAAAAAAAAAAAAGCCGGCATCATTGTATTTTTGTTTGTAACTCCCTTTTTCCTTTCCTACATAACTTGAAAGGCATAGGTGAGAGTTTTAGAGACTGGAGAAGCAGCTGTACATTCTGGACCCTCAGTGATACAGGTGACCAGAGTGTGGAGATGAACTAGACGTGGCTCCATCGCAACCCAAAGCCACGTGATGCTTTGTAAAAATGTTTCTCTGGAATTAAGTTTCAAAATATAAAGCAAGAATTGTCCAGAGCCGGCACCATTTACACATGTACCTCTTTCCACCATGATCTTGTCTGTCCAGCTATTACTAAAACCAGGGAGGGGATAAAACAATAACTGTAATTGCTGTTAACTTGGTGCACGCCACACAAGGGCATCCTTTGTGACAGCAACATCAGGCTCTAGAGCTGTGTAGGAGCAGAGTCTGTATGTTCCAGAAGCTATGCTGGATCAATTCAAAATAGATCGCTGTAAGATTAGAATGTTACTTGTAATGTCAAAGGTAAGCATAAAGAAAATAACTAAAAAGTGTATACAGACGAGAAATTAGTCAAGGATCAAAGGAGTAGAGTACGTCAATCAAATACAAAATAAGGCTGTATAAGGGGAATCGTGAACAACAAAGACTTGAAAACAAATAGAAAAATGGCAGAAGATCCTTCTTGTAGTTAATTACTTTAAACATAGAAGCATCAAACTCACTGGCTAAGGTATAAACTTGGCAAAATTTTTAAAATGACCTAGTAATCACAAGATTTGCTTTAGAGCCAAAGGAATAGGTAGGGTGAGGGGGATGGCAGAGAAGTCGTCCTGCAGGAAGATATGGAGAAGGAGCTGGGGTGCCGCACCAGGACCAGAAAAACAGACTTTAAGTCAAAAAGGGTCATAAGAGATGAAGAATAATTGATAAAAGAGTTTATTGATCTAGAAGATAGAAAAATTACAAGCAAATATACATCAAACAGAAAAACCCCACACTATATGAAGAAAACATTGACAGAATGGAAAGGAGAGTTCATAAAAATGTCAATATTCACTTCAGTAGTGACAAGAACAATATTCAGAGGAGTGATAATGACCTAGATGACGCCCGCAGAAAACCCCACCCACCAACAGCTGAACCGACATTCATCTCAAGCGCACACGGAACATTCTCCAGCATAGAAGAGATGTTAATCTGTGAAACAAGCCTCGACAAATGTAAAAAGACTGAATTCATACAAAGCCTTGTCTCTGATCACCAATAGAATGAAGAAATCAAAAAATTAAGCAACACACTCCTCAGCAACTAATTTGTAAAGGAAAAAAAATTGCAAAGGAAATTAGAAAATACTTTGGGATAAATACAAACAAAACCAAGGTTTACCAAAACTTATGATCTGAAAAGAAAGCAACCTTCAAAGGGAGATTTATAGGTAAAAAGGCCTGAAGTAAAAAAAAAAAATAAAAATAAAAGATCTCAATTGATAGCCTAACCTTACTAGAAAAAGAAGAGCAAACTAAACCCAAAGCTAGCAGAGGTGCGGAGATGCTGAAGGTTAAAATGCTGATCATCATAGTAGATGAGAGGAAAAAAAATAGAATCAACAAAACCAAAGATTACATTTTTTTGAATAAACAAAATTATCAAACCCTTAGCTCATTGACTAAAAAAGGAGAGATGCTGTAAATAGCCAAATACAGAAATAAAAGTGGGTACATTACTACCACCCTTTCAGATGTTGAAAGGATCATAAGAGAATGCTGGAAACAGTTGTATGCCAACAAATTAGGTGTCCTGGGGAAATGGAAAGAGTTCTGGGGACAGAAATTACCAAGCCCAACTCAAGAAGAAATACAAATCTGAACAGACCTATAAGGAGTAAAGAAATCGATTCAGTCTTCAAAAATTCCTCAATAAACAAAAGGCCAGGACCAGATGGTTTTATTGGCTAGTTCTAGAAAACATTGAAATAATTAATACCAATCCTCAAACAAAGTAATCTCCTTCCAAAATACACGCAAGGAGAGAACACTTCCTAACCCATCTTGTGAAGCCATCATTACCCCAACACCAAAGCCAGACAAGACACAACAGGAAAAGAAAACTGCCAACCAGTGTCTCTTATGAATGTAAACACTCGGAAACTCTACAACAAAGGCAGCAACCCAAGTTCAACAACATGTTAAAGGGATTTTACACCCTGCACAAGTGCGACAGATGCCAGAAATGCAAGTGTGGTTCAGCCTCAGAAAATCGATGAATGTAACACATTACATTAAGAAAAGAAGGAAAAAATTATCTTGATGCAGAAAAAACATTTGACAAAATTCAATATTATAAAAACACTCAGCTAACCACGGGGAAGGAGGTCTCTCTTCCTTGGCCCAAAAATGTCCTTTTGGGGCTGTGAAAGTATAGATACAACCACCTGGGACACAAGCTGATAGTTGCTGAAGCTGGAGTTAAACACACAGGAGTTCACTATGCTTCTGTCTACTCCCATGTTCTTGAAATTTTCTGTCATAAATGCTTACATCATCACTTGTAAAAGGTACATTACTTTGACTACTTTCATCAGAATAACAGGTCTTTATATTCTCAGTATACCTAAATCATCACAGGACAAATTTGCCTTCCATTCTATGTCATGTCATTTAGCAAAATGTACATTAAGTGCCAGTCTTTGGGCTAATGCATAAGCAATGTGTGAGAACACTGTCTTAGTGAATTTGAGCTTCTCTAAGAAAATTCCATAAACGTGGTGGCCTCTAATAACAGAAACCTATTCTCCCAGTTCTGGAGGCTGGAGGTTCGAGATCGAGATGGTGGTGGATCTGCTGTCAGGTGAGGGCTGCTTTCCAGTTCCCGGACGGTGCCTTTTTCCTGTGTCCTCACACAGCAGAAGGGACAGGGGAGCTCTCTGGGTCCCTTTCATAAGGGCACTAATCTTATCATGATGATTCATGAGGCTCCACCAGCAAAACCTCATCACCTCCTAAAGCTCCCACCTCCTAATACCATCACTTTGGCCATTAGGTTTCCAACTGTGGATTTGGGGGACACGTTCAGTCTATGGCAGGTACACATGGAGATGATTCTTGAATCTGAGCTTCAATCTATTAGGGTAGAAAAAAAGCAATGAAAATATGATATAAAATATACTTCATACACACACACAAACTTTCATACCCAGTAAGACAGCTAATATTTAAAAATGTACAGACAAAACATATAATGACAAGCGTTTGTTGGGTTGTGGAGGAATCAGAACAATTAAGCATTCATGGTAGAAATATAATACTGTGCAGTCACCAAGAGAACTGTGTAAAGAGGAATATAATATAGTCCAGTCACTGTAGAGAGTTGTATGGAGAGGAATATAACATAGTTGGTCACTGCTGGGAACTGTATGGAGGGGAATATAATATAGTGTGTTCACTGTAGGGAACTCTGTGGAGAGGAATATAATATAGTGTGGTCACTATAGGAAACTGTATGGAGAGGAATATAATATAGTTGGTCACTGTAGAGAACTGTATGGAGAGGAGTATAATATAGTTGGTCACTGTAGGGAATTGTATGGAGAGGAATATAATATAGTTAGTCACTGTGGAGAACTGTATGGAGAGAAATATAATATAGTTGGTCACTGTAAGGAACTGTATAGGGAGGAATATAATATAGTTGGTCACTGTGGAGAACTGTATGGAGAGGAATATAATATAATGTGGTCACTGTAGGAAACTGTATGGAGAGGAATATAATATAGTTGGTCACGGTAGGAAACTGTATGGAGAGGAATATAATATAGTTGGTCACTGTAGAGAACTGTGTGAAGACTCAAAAAACTAAACAGAATTACCATATGATCAGCAATTCCACTTTTGGGTATATTCCAACAAATAGCAATGGAAACCAAAGGCTGGGATTCAGATAGGAGGGATCCGTGCACCACTGCTTCTGGCAGCACCACGCAGAGTAGTGGAAATGTGGCATCAACCCAGGAGCCATCGCTGGATGAACGGGTAAACACGGTGTGGGGCGCACAGATGGTGAAATGTTATCCAGCCTTAAAAAGCACGGAAATGCTGGCACATGCTTCCACATGGATTCAACCCAAAAACATCGAAAACATTATGCCAAGTCACAAAAAGACAAACGCTGCAGGATTTCACTTCTGCGAGGAATCTACAGCAGTGAAGTTTCTAGAGACTGAGGGTAAAGCGAGGGCTTCCGGGCTGGGGGGTGGGCAGGGGGCGCTGTCGTTTAACTCGTTTAATGGGTGCGGAGTTTCCGGGGAAGAAGAAGGTGGAAGGTTCTGGAGATGGAAGAGGTGTCCGCGGTACCACAGCGTGAATGTGGTTATTGTCACTGAACGGTGCACTTCAAAATTGTTAAAATGGCAAGTGTTGTGTGTATTTTACACGACAGTGTGTATAAAAATACAGCGTGGAATCTGCTGATGGTAAAGGAATGCCCAGGGCTGCACGGGAAGGAGGAACATGAAGACGCCTCAGAACAAACAGTGCCACTGAGATAACACAGCAGGAGGGCCAGCGCCGTCTGTTAGAAAGACCGAGTCAGGAAGGGAGGAAAGAGGGATTTCCATCCAGAGCCACGACACACAGCCCCGTATCTCTCCAGCGGGGCTCAGCCACGGGCGGGGCGAGGCCAGAGGTGCTGTCTCCATTCCAGGCTTTGCTCAGGGGACATGGCCCTGTCTTGCTCTGTGGGTTCCCTGCACCGTCTCCCCTCAAATCCCCCAGCCCGTGGCTCATCACCTCAACTTGGCTTTCGGCACCGTGCCAGGCGCTGCTTATGCTGTGGTCGTTCCCACCCGTGATTTGCAGTTAGCAAACGCTGACTGGCCTCTCCCCATCACCCTGGAGGAGGCTTGGAGATTCCTGCCTGCCCGGGAAACCAGGAGCAGCTCTCAGGCAGGACTCGGAGCTCAGTCCGGGTTTTTCCTTTGCGGCCTGGTTTGCGTGTGAGACGCGTGTGTGCACCCACTCAGGGCTCACAGTGTGCACCCACCCACTCAGGGCTAATGCAGGCTCTGCGTGGGGGACCCAGACGAGGAAGCTCTTCCCCGGAGGACTCCCATTGTTCCTACAAGATAACAGAAGCCCCTAAGCTGCAAAAGTGAGATTCAAGGCCAGGTCAGAATGAGTTTAAATGATGTCCTTTCCACCACTAGTTTTCAAGAACTGAGCATTCTGTGATCCATGAATGAACAGCTTGTAATACAGGCACGTAAATATTTGGGCCTGTTGAAGGGACCCGCACCTTAAGCGTATGTATCTATGCATACACATATCTTTAACGGGATGATTAATGCTCTAGTTATCAGGCATGAAATAGCCTTAGATTTTGTGTTTTCATCAGCATTTTAGAAACTTTATGTTGTATTTATCATTAGAAATCATGATGCCAAACTATCCTTATGAAATGAACTATCCTTTTGAAATCTAATTACTATTTGTCAAATTGCTTCAGCAACACTGAAGATGTAATTATTAGAATCACATATTGGAAAAAATATGTGATTGCAAAGAGATAGGACAAAGGGTTGCTGAGGTAGCTGAAGGCAGAAAGGTCACTGCTGTTTTCTCAAGTCTTGCCCATAGACTGAAAATGTTGGAAAAGAACACATTTCATTCTGGCTAGTATCAGCCGACATCCTGATGTCAGGAGAAATACGCTTTTAAGTTTGATGCTATTTAGCTTTTCAGCAGACAAACTCCTTCAAAAGCATTCGAAGGTTCAGCACACGTACTGAATTTTAGATACCTCTCAAAACTGTCTGAAAAATAAATCTGTTTTTCTATGATAAGATTCAGCTGGTGATTTGTTAAACAATGTTTCAGGGGCTGAATTTCTGCCACATTAAACATGATGTTTCCCTTGTTATCTAAAATGTCTTTAAGAAATTCCACTATCAGTTTATAAATTTCTCAGCTAGGCCATTGAATGAATCAGAGAAATTAAATGATCCTTCACTCTGTTGAGAAAAGAAAACCTTTGGGTACGATTGAGTTCAGAAAGTATCTGTCTCCTCAAATTTTCTTCTAAATATGTTTTGAAAAAGTAAAAATGTAGCATGAAAGAGCTAATGTAAAAATAAAGATAAATAAAATGTAAGAAAATTTATATTTTCTGCATGGAAAAATAACTGATTTTAATTGACAGTGAAGATGGAAGAACAAGATGAAAATTATCCCGGTAGTGAATTAGAAATTAGTAGATAGGAGCTGTGCATTCTAGAACACGGCCAAGTGATCAGGAGACCAGGTCTGGACAGGAGGCTTCCACAGCAATGGGAGTGACTTTCAGGGGTGCATTTCGGCGGAGCGGAGCAAGCAGAAGTCACTGCAGTGACCCCAGGAGAGGGAGGGGAGAAGATTACATCCGTGGGGTGAAGCCTGCAGAACCCAACTTTCTAAATGAGGGAAGTACATTCTGCCGTTGTCATGATGGGAAAAATCCATTAACTCATGATTTATTATCTACTTATTTATTTACTTAGTTATTCAGCAACTGTGCTGAATACTTGCTATGTCCCAGGGATACAATATTGGCCAAGTCATTAAGTCCAACAATAACAGCATTTACAGTCCAGTAAAGAGAGAAACAAAAAAATGAACAAGTGTATAAATACAGTAACTGCATGCTGGGAAGTGCTGAGGTTTGCACACTGTGGTGGACAGTGGCCCTGGCACGAGAGGGGCTCACGGAGACTCACCCAAGTCTGTGGGTCGAGGGTGGGGACCAAGAGCTGAGTGGCCGTGGGACCACCAGGTGCATACGCCAGCTCTGGGCTGCAGAGCAGAGGTCTGGTTGAAGATAGAAATCTGTGCACAAAGGTGGTAATTGAAGAGAAGGGCCTGGATGAGGTTACCAGAGAAGAAAGTTCAGAAGGGAAAAGGTACTAGAGGGAGTGCTGAGAAGTTCCAGTTCTGACCAGGTGAGCCCTGTGCGCTGGGTAAGCAAACAGAGGGCCTGGAAGGCAAGAGAAGGCCTGGGAAGTAAATACCACAAAACCAAGAGTGGGAAGGAGGAGGCTTCCTCGAAAGGCCGAGTGCCCCTGCACGGTGGATTCAGCTGAGTGTCACAACTGCATGATGACCATGGAGGCCTCAAAACCTTGGAGATTCGGGAGTGAAGTGATAGAGGCAGAAGCAAGGAAGCCAGGAAATTCCCCAAACAGATTTATATTTCACTCCTCACCCCCTCCCGTTGTCACCCACAGACCTTCAGGTGGGCCTCCCACATGCTCACTGCGGTCACTGCGCTCTCTTGGGTTGGTTCTCACTCTGTATCAAGCCAGGTGGAATCCTTGCTTGGTTTCAGGGAAATACAGCTCTTTTCTGTGTTTATTCTCTCAACCTCAAACCACAGGGAATAATTACTGCAATTTCACTTTAATGCCACCTCATACCAAAAGCTTTCTCTATGTGTATGACTATTGGTTGGGTATCCATCTAGCAGTAGAAACTCTAGGTGATATGTGTATGTTGGGATTCAAGAGAGAATGGCAGAGTTTCACGGAGAAATGACTCAGCTGACGCTCTCAGCGTCAAAGCAGCAGGCTTTGATAGTGCAAGTTGCTCACACCCTCACCTGCACTTCCTGTGGTCAATATTAACAGAGCATTTCTGGTGGAATGTAATTTTGTTTCATTTTGGTTCAATTGTCATTCTCCTAATGGTCAATGAGATTGAACAACTTTTCATTTATTCATTGGTTATTTGGAGACATCCTTTGGTGAGTTGTCTGTTCATGCTTTTTGCCCTTTTATTGACAATCTTTCTTTATTAATTTATAAATATTACTGTTATTATCACTACAATGATTCCCTTGATAGTCATGGATATTGCAGATGTTTTCTTTTCGTCGGTGACTTTTTAAACAAACAACCTTAGTGGTGTCTTTGATCAATACAAGTTCCTTTTTCTTTATAGCCAAAGCTGTTTAATCCAATTTAAGATTTTTCCCTCCTACTCTAATAACATAAGAGAGTATCTTTCATTATCTTCTGGTAGCGTGATAGTTTTACATCTCACATTTAGATCTACAGTCCATCTAGATTTTATTTCACTGTGTACTTCCATTTGATCCAGCAGCACTCACCCAAAAGCCTTTCCTTTTTCATTGCACAGTGCCAGCTCTGTATTATTTATTTATGTATGTATTTTTCCATAGGTTCTTGGGGTACATGTGGTATTTGGTTATGTAAGTAAGTTCTTTAGTGATGGTTTGTGAGATTTTGGTGCACCCATCACCCGAGCAGTATACACTGCACTCTATTTGTAGTCTTTTATCCCTCATCCCCTTCCCATTCTTCCCCCAAAGTCTCCAAAGTTCATTGTATCATTCTTATACGTTTGAGTCCTCATAGCTTAGTTCCCACATATCAGTGAGAACATATGATGTTTAGTTTTCCATCCTTGAGTTACTTCACTTACAATAATAGTCTTTGATCTCATCCAGATTGCTGCAGATCCCATTAATTCTTTCCTTTTTATGGCTAAATAGTATTCCATTATATATATATATACCACAATTTCTTTATCCACTCATTGATGGATGGGCATTTGGGTTGGTCCCATGATTTTGCAATTGCAAATTGTGCTGCTATAAAATGTGTTTGCAAGTATCTTTTTGGTATAATGACTTCTTTTCCTCTGGGTAGATACCCAGTAATGGGATTGCTGGATCAAATGGTAGTTCTACTTTTAGTTCTTTAAGGAATCTCCACACTGTTTTCCACAGCGGCTGTACTGTTTTACATTCCCACCAGCAGTGTGGAGGTGTTTCCTAATCACCACATCCATGCCAACATCTGTGTGTTTTAATTTTTTGATTATGTCCATTCTTGCAGGAGTAAGGTGGTATCGCATTGTGGTTTTGATTTGCATTTCCCTGATCGTTAGTGATGTTGAGCATTTTTTCATGGGTTTGTTGGCCATTTGTACATCTTCTTTTGAGAACTGTCTATTCATGTCCTTAGCCCACTTTTTTATTTTTCAAAATTTCAGAAACGACTTATTTATGTATTTATTTTTATTTGACTTTAAGTTCTGGGATACATGTGCAGAACGTGCACATTTGTTAGATAGGTATACATGTGCCATGGTGGTTTGCTGCACCTATCAACCTGTCATCTAGGCTTTAAGCCCTGCATGCATTAGGTATTTGTCCTAATGCTCTCCCTCCTCTTGCCTCCCACCCTCCAACAGACCCTGGTGTGTGATGTTCTCCTCCCTGTGTCCATGTGTTCTCACTGTTCAACTCACACTTATGAGTGAGAACATGCAGTGTTTGGTTTTCTGTTCCTGTGTTAGTTTGCTGAGGATAATGGCTTCTAGCTTCACTCATGTCCCTGCAAAAGACATGAATTCATCCTTTTTAATGGCTGCATAGTATTCCCTGGTGTATATGTGTCACATTTTCTTTATCCAGTCTATCAATGATAGACATTTGGGTTAGTTCCAAGTCTTTGCTATTGTGAATAGTGCTGCAATAAACATACGTGTGCATGTGTCTTTATATTAGAATGATTTATAATCCTTTGGGTATATACCCAGTAATGGGATTGCTGGGTCAAATGGTATTTCTGGTTCTAGATCCTTGAGGAATCGCCACACTGTCTTCCACAGTGGTTGAACTAATTTACACTCCCACCAACAGTGTAAAAGCATTCCTATTTCTCCACAGTCTTGACAGCATCTGTTGATTCCTATCTTTTTAATGATCATAATGATCGCCATTCTAACTGGTGTGAGATGATATCTCATTGTGGTTTTGATTTGGATTTCTCTAATAGCCCCCCCGCCTTTTTTTTTTTTTTTTTTTTTTGAGACAGAGTCTTGCTCTGTCACCCAGGCTTCTGGAGTGCAGTGGTGCCATCTCAGCTCACTGCAACCTCCACCTCCTGGGTTCAAGCGATTCCCCTGTCTCAGCCTCCCGAGTAGCTGGGACTACAGGTGCACACCACTGCGCCTGGCTAATTTTTGTAGGGAAAAGAAAGAGAGATCAGACTGTCACTGTGTCTATGTAGAAAGGAAAGACATAAGAGACTCCATTTTGAAAAAGACCTGTACTTTAAACAGTTGCTTTGCTGAGATGTTAATTTGTAGCTTTCCCCAGCCACTTTGACCCAGCCACTTTGACCCAGCAACTTTGACCCAACCTGGAGCTCACAAAAACATGTGTTGTATAAAATCAAGGTTTAAGGGACCTAGGGCTGTGTAGGACGTGCCTTGTTAACAAAATACTTACAAGCAGTATACTTGCTAAAGGTCATTGCCATTCTCTAGTCTCAATAAGCCAGGGGCACAATGCACTGTGGAAAGCCGCAGGGACCTCTGTCCTTGAAAGCGGGGTATTGTCCAAGGTTTCTCCCCATGTGATAGTCTGAAATATGGCTTCGTGGGATGAGAAAGACCTGACTGTCCCCCAGCCTGACACCCGTAAAGGGTCTGTGCTGAGGTGGATTAATAAAAGAGGAAAGCCTCTTGCAGTTGTGATGGAGGAAGGCCACTGTCTCCTGCCTGCGCCTGGGAACCGAATGTCTCGGTGTAAAACTCGATTGTACATTTGTTCAACTCTGAGATAGGAGAAAAGCTGCCCTGTGGCGGGAGGCGAGACATGTTTACAGTAATACTGCCTTGTTATTCTTTACTCCCCTGAGATGTTTGGGTGGAGAGAAACATAAATCTGGCCTAAGTGCACGTCCAGGCATAGTACTTTCCCTTGAACTTAATCATGATATAGATTCTTTTGCTCACATGTAATTTGTTGACCTTCTCCTTATTATCACCCTGCTCTCCTACTACATTCCTTTTTGCTGAAATAATGAAAATAATAATCAATAAAAACTAAGGGAACTCAGAGGCCGGTGCCGGTGCAGGTCCTTGGTGTACCTAGTGCCGGTCTCCTGGGCCCACTATTGTTTCTTTATACTTTGTCTCTGTGTCTTATTTCTTTTCTCAGTCTCTCGTCCCACCAGACTAGAAATACCCACAGGTGTGGAGGGGCAGGCCACCCCTTCAATTTTTTTTGTATTTTTAGTAGAGACGGGGTTTCACTATGTTGGCCAGGCTGGTCTCAAACTTCTGACCTCAAATGATCCACCTGCCTCTGCCTCCCAAAGTGCTAGGATTACAGGCATGAGCCACTGCGCCCAGCCAATAGCCCACTTTTAGATGGAATTGTTTGTTTTTTTCTTACTGATTTGAGTTCGTTGTAGATTATGGATATTAGTCCTTTGTCAGATGTATAGATTGTGAAGATTTTCTTCCACTCTGTGGGCTGTCTATTGACTCTGCTGACTCTTCCTTTTGCTGTGCAAAAGCTCTTTAGTAGTGAAATCCCAAGTATTTATCTTTATTTTTATTGCATTTACTTTTGGGTTCTTGATCATGAAATCCTTGCCTAAGCCAATGTCTAGAAGGATTTTTCCAATATTCTAGAATTTTTATAGTTTCAGTCTTATATTTAGTTTCAGGTCTTTATATTTCCCCACTTTATGTTTTTGTTTTCTTTGTCAAAGATCAGTTGACTGTAAGTATCTGGGTTTATTTCTAGGTTCTCTATTCTGTTCCATTGGTCTATGTGCCTATTTTTATACCAGTACCATGCTGTTTCGGAGACTATGGCCTTATAGTATAGTTTGAAATCAGGTAGTGTGACGCCTCCAGATTTGTTCTTTTTGCTTAGTATTGCTTTGGCTATGTGGGCTCTTTTTGGTACCAAATGAATTTTAAAATTGTTTTTTCTAATTCTGTGAAGAATGATGTTGGTATTTTGGTGGGGATTGCATTGAATTTGTAGATTGCTTTTGGCAGTGTGGTCAAAGACCTCTACCAGGAAAACTACAAAACACTGCTGAAAGAAATCATAGATGACACAAACAAATTGAAACACATCCCATTCTCATGGATGGATAGAATAAATATTGTGAAAATGGCCAGCTTTGTTTTAGATGAAGTTTCCCAGTGTGCTTTCTTTTCTCCTGACTCTTCATCGATCTGTTTTTAATCCCTTTCACTAGTGCCACACTGTCTTAAGAACTTAGTTTTCCAATAAAACTTGATATTGGGCAATGTATGTTCTTATCTTTGCTCTTCCTCAAAATTTTTTGCTATTCTTGTTTCTTTCTGTTTCTACATAAATCTTATATTAGCATGTCTGTCATCAACACACACATAAAAATAGCCAACTGGAATATAGGGAGAATTTTTACTCTCACAATAATGCTTCCTCCAATCTGAGAAAATAGTATATTTTTTTCATTTGTTTAGGTTGTCACCCACTTTTCTCAATAACCTTTTTATAATTTTGGTATAGAGGTCTTACACATATTTAGATAGATTGTTTTCTAGATATTTGATAACTTTGGATACTATGGTAAATAGCATGATTAAATTTTTTTATATTAAGTGCTAGAAAATAAAATGGTTTTTGTATAGTGACATTGTATTCAGCAAGCCTAACTTAACCTGTTAAATTTGATAATTTATAAAAAATTACTTTTATAACCATGTGTTATCTGTAAATGAAGACACATGTATTTCTTTACTTAAAACATTTTACCATGTATTTACATGACTTATTTCACTGTCAAGAAACTCCTATAAAATGTTGACTAAAATTGTTAATAATAAATATCTTTTTCTTATTCCTGATCTGAAGATAGAAGCTTTTAATATATTAATAATATTGGATCTAAGATTTGTTTTTGGCTCTGGTGATACCATTTATCAGAGAAAGAAGGTAATTTTTATAGCAAATTTTTGTAAGGTATTTAAAAATAATTAATAAATATTGAATTTTATCAAATGTTTTTGTCATTTACCTAGATAATTTTTACTTTATTTTCTTAATATATAAAAATACATTAATATAAACTCAGTTTTTATATTTATCTATTTTATATATCAAGGACCCCATTTTACTTATATTTGTTTGTCATATTTGAATCCACATTTAAGACATAAATTGTCCAGTAATCCATATTGTCAGATTTGTGAATAAAGGTAATACTGGTATCATAAAACCCATTACAATGAATTCTATATTTTTCATTTTACCATGAAGAATTGACATAGTCTTGGGTTATTATTATTATTATTATTATACTTTAAGTTCTGGGATACATGTGCAGAACGTGCAGGTTTGTTACATAGGTATACACGTCATAGTGGTTTGCTGCACCCATCAACCTGTCATCTACATTAGGTATTTCTCCTAATGCTATCCCTCCCCTAGCCCCTTACTCCCTGATAGGCCCTGGTATGTGATGTTCCCCTCCCTGTGCCCATGTGTTCTCATGTTCTCATTGTTCAACTCCCACTTACGAGTGAAACCATGTGGTGTCTGGATTTCTGTTTCTGTGTTAGTTTGCTGAGAATGATGGTTTCCAGCTTCATCCATGTCCCTACAAAGGACATGAACTCATTCTTTTTTATGGCTGCATAGTATTCCATGGTATATATGTGTCATTTTTTCTTTATCCAGAAATACCATTTGACCCAGCAATCCCCTTACTGAGTATATACCCAAAGGTTTATAAATCATTCTACTGTAAAGACACATTCACATGTATGCTTATTGCAGCACTTTTCACAATAGCAGAGATTTGGAACCAACCCAAGTGCCTGTCAGTGATAGTCTTGGTTATTTATTTAGTAAAAGTTTGGAAGAATTTATCAATGAAGCCATCTGACACATGAGTCTATATTGCACTAAGGTTTTAATAACAGCTTCTGTGTCTTTAAGAGCTAGATATCTATTCAAATTTTCTATTTATTCTTGTATAATTTTGATGTGTGGTGCCTATCTAGGAAATTGTTTTATTCAAATTTAAATATATTGACATAAATTTATTCATTGTTTCCTCTTATGGTAGTTTCTATTTTGCTTGCTGGTAACCACTTTATATTCCTCATATTGGCAATTGAGGAATACAATGGAAAGAAGTGCATATTTTATACTTTATTTAAGAAGAAGTCTCTAGGGAAGCCCCAAGACAATATGGGACAAAAACAAAAGCACAAGAGAAATATGAAGCATCTGGTGTATATAGTTAGAAAAAAAATAAACACAACTCAAATCCTAGCCAGATTAACAAAGAATCACACAGTAAAGACATTTTTGCCTCAGTTTCTATTATCTGATAATTATATCTGGCTTTTGACAAGATAAAATACTATGTGATAAGCTAGAAAGTAAGAAAAAATAGTCTAAAGAGACAAACATGAAAATGAACTCAGATATTGCATGGATTTTAGAAGTATTAGATAGAGTATTTAAAGTATTTAAAGTATTTTAAAGAGTATTTAAAGTATTTAAAGTATTTAAAGGCTCTCATAGAAAAAGAAGGCAATACTCAAAATTGGATGGACAATGTAATCAAAGAGATAAAAATACTAAGAAAGAATAAAAAGGAAAGGCTACAAATCGAAACACTCTAATAGGAAATAATGAATGTTGTTGATGGGCTCATCAGTGGAATGGATTCTGCCAAGAGTCAGTGACTTAAAAATATGTCAATAGGAACTTCACAATAAAAATGACTGAAAATTTTAAAACAATAGGAATTCGAGAACTGTAGAAAAATTTCAAAAGTTATACGTAACATATGCACAGGGGATGGAAAAAGATGCACAGGGGATGGATTCATACTAATACTAATCAGAATAATACTGGTCTAGAGAAATTAGCTTAGGACAAAGGTGACTTCAGAACAAGAAAAAATATTCAGAGATAGATCGGGGCAGGACGGGGCATTACATGATAGATGGTTCAATTATTCAATAAAGCATAACAATAGTAAACATGGACATACCTAACAACAGAGCATCAAGTTATGTGAATCAATACTCAATAGGACTGAAAAGATAGAGAGACGAATCTACTACTACAGCTGGAGAATTCAACACCTCCCCTTCACTAACGAAGAGATACGACAGGCAGAAAATCAGTAAGGACATAGTTGAACAGAACCTGAACAGAACCATCAACTTGCTCTAATTGCTGTTTATAAAATACTCCATGCAGCAATAGTAGAATACACATTCTCCAACTCATGGAACATTAACCAAGATGGACCACATGCTCGACTGTAAAACACACCTTAAAAATGTCAGAGAACACAGCATATGTTCCCAGATCACACTGTAATTGACTGCAAATCAATAGCAGAACAATAGATGGAAAGAAAAAACCCGAATATTTAAAGGTTAAACAGTACACACTTAAATACACGAGTCAAAGAACTTTCAAGAGAAATTTTAAAATATTTTGAGCTAGATAAAAATGAAAATACAACTTATCAAAATTTGAGGGATGTAGTGAAAGCAGTACTTAATGGAAATTTATGGCATTAAATGCACATCATAAAAAAGTAAAGATATAAAATTAATAATCTAAGCTTCCGCCTTAGGAAGAAGAAAAGAAGAGCAATTTAAGGCCAGAATGATCATCTGGACATGGATTAGGAGTGGAGAAACCAGTGTGCATTCATGTGGTCCTCAACATAAGTTCCATAAAGAAATATTTATAGAAATATGTATGTACATGTGTAGATTCCTGCTCTGTCACTCACTAGGGCTAAAAGCAATGACAACCCAATATCAAAGATAACATGAAATACCCAGATCTTTGCTTCAATTGCTAATCTCCAGTAAAAGGAACCAGGGCTCCCCAGAGAAACTGTGGATTCTAGGAGTAGAACAGGAAATAGACAAGGTAAGCTGGGGGCACCTTGTAGTGCTAGGAAATTAATAACTGCTGAAAAAATAAAAATGAACAGCCACATTGCCAGGGCACGTCAGGGCCACAGGAGCCAATGGAAAGATCTGGCCTGCAACTGAAACTGGAAAGATTAAACAATAATGATAACAAAAAGCAGCATTGGCTCATAATCCAATTATAAAATAAATACCTATGAGTTTATCGTGATATGAACTAATGGGTAAATATTTAACAGACATATCTCTCTTGCAGAGGATTCCAAATAAAGTTGCAGACTCCATGTTCTTAGGGGAAGAGAGCGTAACTCCCGCTGCTTAAGTGAAGCCCATGCATAGTGACTTTGCTCCAGTGAGTCTGGAAAGCGGGACAAGGGAGTAACTTTCCTGTGGAGAAACCTGGCAGAGGCCACGACCGCCAGGTGAGGCGGGTGATTTAGTGATGAGTCATTGACAGAAGGCTCCTTGGCAGGGTGTAATAAAAATAGCACTTTACTTCTATGGTCTTCTTCCCCAAATTCCATAATCCCAATCAGATCATCAGAAAAACCCCAACTGAGAGAAATTCTACAGCATGCCTGACCATTACTCTTCAAAACTATCCCAGTCATCGAAAACAAGGAAAATCTGAGAAACTGCCAGCAGAGGGGGGTCCAGGGAGATGTGACAGCTGCATGCACAGCGGCGTCCCGGATGGGGTCCTGGAACAGAAAGATAACATCAGGTTAGCAACTAAGGAATCCCAAATAGGCTATGGACATTAGTCAATGATTACTATTACGCAAACATATGATCATTATGTCAAGATAGGGAACAAATTTCCCATCTTGTCAAATAATTTATTGAGCATATTTATCAATTGTTAAGTCTGTCTGATAGCCTTGTTTGATTTCTGATCTCCTGATGTTTGATTTTGATTGAGATTAAATGTCCTGATTGTGGGGAGTCAGTGAAGTCTCTGTGTGTGCTTGGTGACATCTGAGTGAATGTCACATGATTGTGTAAATGATAGCAGAGATAATGGGGGGCTCCGGATGATACAGTCTTTCCCCAAAGCGGAGCCATTTGACGCTGGCTGGTGGCCCAGCTAGAGGCAGATGACGCCTGCTCACCTAGGGACTGAGGTCACCCAGCTGTGTCTCAGCCTCTCTTTGAGGGCACCCTTCTTCTCACTAACCCGTGCTTCTGGGGGTCACATGTGGAGCTCCAGCTTCAGCCCCTTGAGATTAAAATCAGTTTCTGTTCCTCTTCTCTCCAGGGCCAGCCTCCACTACATGCCTGGCCACACCAGCCATCAGGGATTTGGTCTTTATGGGGAAAGACAGGAAGAGTATTTTAAGACATTTAAAGTAGAAAATGTTTTTGGCCTTGGGGAAAATATTAAGGCTCTGAGAAAGAAAAATAGCCTTAGATTCCTGATGACACTGACTTCCCAAAAATGGCAAATGTTGTGTGGAGAAGGAGAGAGATCTTCCCTGTGAGCTGGCAGGACAGTCATGGGGGCGATGCCTTGGATGCAGTGTGAGAAGTTGGTAAATTCTGTGGCACACACCAGTGATTTGAACAACAGTTTATGGCTCTCTACCCTCTCTCTTAATTTTTTCTTTACAGTTTTATTCCCTCTGGTTCATAGTACCCTTTTTTCTAAAACTAATGTGATTTTTGAAACAACGGATGTGATAAACCAAGATTAAATTATGTTCCCAAATTTTAAAAAAGTTTGAGGAGAAAGTAGTTTCATAATCAATGTTTGATAAGCACAATTATTTTTTAACATGTAAGACGATACCAACTTAAATCTAGACAGTACATTAAAGTTTAAAAGTTCAGTTTGTAGGGGTGTATCAATAGTTAAATTAATAATTTAAAAGTCTTTTTATTTCTGGCATAATATTCTATTTTTATTTTCACTTGTAAAGCATACTGTAATTTTGTATGCAGAATGTAAGGTGCCAATACCTTTGTTGAGTTTTGAAAATATTTATTAAGGAATATCAACATATAAAATTATCTTCTAAATAAGCTTTATGTTGATCAATAATTTCTGGATCAAATTAACTTTAAGCAAATGAGAAATATGTACAGCTGTCACAGTGTAATAAATTAAAAAATGATCATTTCATCAATTTGAGTCAACTAGCTATTTTCTGCAAAGTTTATAATGTACAGAAGGTGGAAGATGCATGTCTGATACATTTCCTGGGAATAAATGTATCATCTCTGAAGCTATTATGGCTCTAATAAGGAACTCCTCATGCTTGCTTTGGAAATCCCACTTAAGATGAAGATAGTTTTTTCTTTCCTCCAGTGTGATCAGCAGTGCTGGTAATTACCAGGCTTCTCATGCCTGTTTCTAACAGACCAACACTTTTCTAGGAAGCGCTAAGCAACTTGAATCTCACTCCTGGAACACAAGCCCCAGCCACATGGATAACAAACATTTATCCTGTTTATATGGGAAGTCATAGGAACACATGGTTTCCTAACCTGGACATCAAGGTCTTTGGAGGAATCTTGTAGCCTGTTCCTGGCAGCTTTCTCTCCCCTTCTTCCTAGGCCACCAGAGCTGGCATGGAGCCCAGTGGGAAGGTGGCATTTCTGCTCAGCAAGCAACTAAGAGAAGCCTGCCCTTGGCAACAGAAAGTTCTAACGAGGACCCAGGTTTTTAGACAGCTAGAGTCTCCGTGTTTCTTCTGATTGTGGTAGGAAATAAAGCCAGGAAAAATAAGTCTTTATAAAAACAGCATGGGTGTTTTTGTGATAGATTTCCAACGGGTAAAAAAGGGAACTACGTTAGAAATGTGAGCCTGGCAAGAGGGAAAAGCTGGCATTAAGGACCTGCCGAAATTCTAAATTAACTTTCTTTTCTATGCCAGAGTAAATTTAAAATAGATATATAAAAGTCTGTTTCATTTATATTCTTTAGTGAAAGGCAAATATACAAGCAAAATAAAATTTAAAATACTACTATTGAATGAACAATTTGAATACCACTATGAAGTAAGGCATAATAGATTATTGAAGAAAAGGAAGCCTGGACCCTCCTGTAAAGTAAACGGAGGAGGCTGCAGAGAGAAGGATGTCTCACCGAACTGCAGGAGAAAAGCATAGCCCTCCAGCAGGAAATGGAAGATGGTGATTTCAGGATATTTGTCAGCTAAAGCTTTCACAAAACAGCTTTATGCAGCCTTTTGAATAAATGCTCTGCGTGGTTGTGTGGAGGAGATATTATTAGAGGGCCTGAACTCTTAAAATAATGAAATTGAGCTTACTGTAAATTTGTAGAGGTAAAGGAAATAAAAATATGCTTCTATAAGTTATATGGGAAAGAGAACTTCAAAATCAAGAGAGAGAAGTTTTAACTTCCTTAGGTTTATTTGTTTAGGTTCTCTTGTGGAGGTCGGTATTATTACACACTACGTTAAACATCTTGCACAGAAAAACAAAGTCAGCATATTCTCTGTCAGCCAATGGAAGAGAGTGGAGTAAACCAGTAATTCCTTAACACACATGCTTTAAAACAGCAAACTATTAGACACAATGTGGAGTATGTTTATGGTCTGTTACATTTTATGAAATGGTTTTGTTTATTTTTAAAATACTTGTCATGTTAGCAATCTCCTGATAAGATGGTACATTTAAAAGCCCAGAACAAAACACACATGGAATAATCATCTTCTCTAGGAGCAGGATAGAAATAAACCCAGGCTTTCTGGTTTATTTCTATCCTTTCATTAATGAAATCATTACAATTTTGTTAGGTCTAATTCAAAGACCAAGAAGGCATTTGGACGGAAAATAAAGGGAGCAAGTTTTGTGTCTTTTTAATGTGTTTTCTACAGCCAGGACCAAGCCCTTGAAAGCAAACTTCGACAAAGAAGTGTAATTTCATAATAAAAGAAAGAACCCTGTAAATACCTAATTCCAGACTTTCCTTTGTCATAAAGTCAGTGATCTTCATGCACCCAATCTCACATACAAATTCCCATTTCTTACGTATAACCCCTTTCTATTTACTGATGAGGTCATCTCCTGATGTGGTTAAAAATATGTGACTCTGTAACTATGATTTTTCTCATAATGAAAGTGAGATGCAGGACAAGTCAGCTATTATTATGGGATATATACAGATGTGCTGGGATGGAGTCCTCCACAAGAAATCACGGGGGCAGAGCACGCTCTTAAATCTCGGAGCTTCTTACCTGAGAATGTTGATTCCGAGTCGCTACAGTGGCTTCCAGGAGTTGTCGACTTTTAAAAAATTGGGTTCCACTATTCCAAATCCTGGTCTCCTTCTTTGTTGAGAGAGAAGGAAGGCGGATGGCAAGCATGACGTGCGGGCTTCTGTAGGGGCTCTTGCTGTGGGGTAACCCTTGATAAAATAAAAACTTCAGCCAAATTAAATTTAAAAGTCTTTGAGCAATGAATGAATTGCGAATCAGTCTGCCTTCTGAGTCAGAGTAGGTTCAGAGGCTCCAGCACAACCATTTGGTTGGAAGAAGATTTATGGACATTGAAGGGACATTGGATTGGTTATGGCTCAGCATTTGCCTTATTTGAACACAGTTTGAACAGTTGGCTATGTTTGATTGGCCGAAACTCAGTGACTGGCACAAGTGTAGGCTACGGTCTACTTACACCTCTCCTTGTTATGGTTCATGATGTGCAGAAAAACCTTTAGGCCGAACTTAAAATATGTAAGGAGGCAGCTTTAGGCTAAACTTGATTTAGCACCCTCAAGATACCCGAGTCTCTTGCAGATTTGAGTCAGGATGGCTTCAGCCTAAGGAAGAGCTTGCTGGGCTCCTGGTAAGTGTGGGAGGCTGGAGGAGCCGCTGCCTGGGGTAAGTGTGGGAGGTGGGAGGAGCCACTGCCTACAGGGCACAGTGTGTAGGTGTCCAGCTGAATCTTCTCAGATACTGTTATGGGATTGCGGGGGTGTCGTTTTTCTGGCTGGAAACCTCTGTGGCTGGTGGGGCCTTTGCCTGAGTTTTGCTCTGGCCTGCTGAGCTCTTTTCGCCCACCCGGCCTGGCAGGCTGCACTTGGCTCACACTACCAGCCTCGGTAGTTGAGAGGGCAATATTGCACACCTGTGACTCCGGGTGGTATTTTCCCGCCAGCCGGTGCCGCAGGCCCCAGAGGCCGTGGTGTCAGGAGGGTCATGGCACAGGGGCTGTGTGGGGAGGTTCTGAACCATGGAACGTGGGCAGAAGTGGTGTAGACAGTGTTAGGCCAGGCCCTTTCCACTTTCTGTACCATCTCCCAGCCCTCTTCCTCCTATAGAGACAGCCGTGAGAACCTCGGGAGGCCAGGCAGACCCAGACTGGATGTGTCATGAGCCAGAAAAGGCATGACGCCACTGAGACCCCGGTCTTTCTCTGTTTCCACAGCCAATATAAATTACCCTCAGCAAGACGACACCAGGGAGAAATGCTCCCACCAGGCACAGAAATGGTTCCGGGGGCTAGAGATTGAGATGGTCCCCAGCCACTGTGCAGTTCTAAGCACTTCAGGGCCCACAGAACAAAGGGGCTAATAGGGGGCCCAGGTGACCATGAGAGAATGGAGTTGCTGCTGCCCGAGGGAAGAGAGGACTGTCTCCCATGCCCAGAGGCCCCGTGGGAGTGGTCCTAGCATGCCTGTCCAGGATAAAAGCCAATAGAGGCCCACACAAGCCCCAGGCAGGAGGGACCCCCAAGGGAGCAGCCGCTGAGGATGGAGAGTCCGAGAGCTGCGGGGCTGATGGGGAGCCCAGGGGAAGCGTGGAGCAGCGTGTGAATTCCAGCTGGGGCCCCGGCGCGGGTGCAGGCATGGCCCTGCGCCGCCTGATCTGCGTCCTGATCTTGGAACTGAGCTGGAGAGAGATGCGGGGCGTGGAAAAGGCCAGGGCAGCCGTCCTCTCCCGACTGGCTTCTGAGTGCGGCTGAGACCGCTGACACTGGTGTCTGGCGTTGCTCCTGAAATTCTGACTTTGGAAATCCACCGCACGCCTTTGTGCTTAGAGCAGCGAGCCTGCTTCTGGGTCAGCCTCTGAGCCAGTGTGCTTTACTGTAAGCGTTAGAAACATGACTTCTAACATTACAGGTAAATGGATGCCTTTTCATAAGTTGTATATTTATAACTGTAAATTTGTAACCTATATGACTTTAACATCTATATTTTTGATAATTTAGTTTTTTTTTTTTTTTAAGTGCATGAGCATCTCATTTCACAATGACCTTTGCCCAAAGTAGTCTTGGGTGGACATTTACAGTCAATATAAACACAGTTTCATAGACATTTACGTCAACTTGAGTTATAAATTATTTGAGAAAAATACACTATATAAAAATTAAAGCCAATTTCAAATCTTTAAAATCAAGATATGAAAACTTCCAAATAAATGCCAGAATGCATAATGAAGTAAGTTTGAAATGCTTTATTTAGAGTTTATTAGTCACTAAATCTAAAAAGAGGATAGAAAGTACTCACATTTGGTAAGTAAAACATATTTAATTGAATCAATAAGTAAGATGGTAAATTAGAACCTAAATGTTTTATTTGATTTTGGTGAATATGAAGTATACTGTATCCATTTTTAGATAATTTTTAGTCACATTTTCAAAGTTCTGAGAAAACTGTGAAACATGAGGCAACGCTTTCCTGGGTATCTGCTTCGGCACAGGAGAGTTTATGATTTTTTTTATTTCAAGTTAAAGGAGGAATGATATATTTCAGTGAAGAATCCCAGCTCAACGGGGCTCTTCTGAGAACTGCAGAAAACAGCTCTGGACTCCTCCCTCGGAGCACCCGCCCAGCTTCCCTCTCCTGGCGCAAAACCTTGATGCAAGCGGCGTGTGCCACAGTCCCAGGGTCCTCTGGCTCGTTTGTAAATCTGTCAGCTGAGGTAGTTTTTTGTTAGTTTGTTTGTAAATATGTTAAAAATAGATCCTACAAACAGAAAAACAGGACTTCAACTGACTTCTACGTTACCGTTAAATTTCTTTTCCAAATGCCTTTATCTCCTTTTCATTCTTTTTTATGCTATGAGTTATTTGTTCTCTGAAACAAGGCACATTGCTGTTTACCTTCGTATTCGAGTCTTGATATATTTTTCTAAATAATCTAACCTTATGCTTTTCTCCTATGATAGTTCAAGTTCTATTGCCCAAACTATTTTTCTTTTCATAGCTAAATCATTTGTTGTGAAATTTCTCACTCTTGGACTCAGGCCTTCCTCATCTTGCTTAACATTTTTTGTCTACTGTCATGAGTAAACATGAAATGTGAAAAAGGTTTTAATATTTTTATTCAGAGATCGCTTCCTCAGACAAAACCGTCTGCGTGCTAGTCATTTTGATAAGCGAGTGTCATCGGCTTTTTCTTCTTTAAATTTACATTGAATAAAATCTCCAGGCTACCAACAAGTTCAGAACAAGTGCTGAACGTGGGGGACAGCGCGGCCACAGACACCCAGTGAGGGTGAGTCTTGTCTGGCAGAGAAGGGCGAGGCTGGGACGTGGCAGCCGGACTCAGCTTGACCACAAATCTCTGCCCAGTGAAGGCCGCCATGCCACTGAATCCTGGGAAGAAAGCAACACAAACGCCTAAACTGGAAGGAGTAAAGGTGCCCTGCAAGGTAGGTCAAGGCTTCAACGGGTAAATCTAGGTGGAAATGGATCCCAACCATAGCACGGACCTCACAGGGCAGCATGTGGGGTTCAGCCCAGCCTCCACCGATGGGCAGGGACATGGGGCTCCGGCAGCCCCGGGGCAGAGGAGAAATGCAGCCAGCCCAGGGCCACGTGCTGGCTGAGCCTGAGAGCACCACGGGGACAGCCTCAGCCAGGCACTGCAGCTTCCGGCAGAGAAGCCCACCGGCACAGGTGGTAAAAATAAAGACTGAAGAACCAGAAAGAGAAAGTATTAACAAAAATGCCAGTGATCAACAAAGTGGAAAAATTGAATTTGTGTTCAAAGTAATGATATTAAAAGGCATTTGAAAAATGCAACTGTCAAAAATAAGTTTATAAAATAAAGGACATAATAGAAAACTCATTATAGTAATAGATTTAAAACACTTTATTTTGCTTTCATGGAAATTGGGGGTGATGGGGTTAATGAAAAAATTTAAAAATAAGTATTTTGTCATTCATTTAAGAATGCTAATAAATATTTTACTGTTTAGTAAATAAATATTTACTAAAATAAGAGACAGTGGCTCTTATTTTAGATGTAAATAGTATACAGTAGAATAAATATAAAATGCTAGTTAAAAGGGAAAAAATGAGCAAAGAAAATACTTCTAATGTAAAAGCTAAAAGTGGAAACTTTTGTCTTCACGCTTGTTAATTAAAAAGAGAGCTAGAGAACAAACATTACATATTACATCTTGGAATGTTTTACTCCCACTAAGAAAAGAAAAATACTATCGGGTCAATTCCAAAAATACTCTGAGTAATTTTTTTTTTTTTTTAACAGAGTCTTGCTCTGTCGCCCAGGCTGGAGTGCAATGGCACAACCTCAGCTCACTGCAACATCTACCTCCTGGGTTCAAGCGATTCTACTGCCCCAGCCTCCTGAGTAGCTAGGATTATAGGCACGCACCACCACACCCAGCTAATTTTTGTATTTTTAGTAGAGACGGGGTTTCACCATGTTTGCCAGGCTGCTCTTGAACTCCTAACCTTGTGATCTGCCCACCTCGGCATCTGCCCACCTTGGCCTCCCAAAGTGCAGGATTACAGGTGTGAGTCACCGTGCATGGCCAACTCTGTGTATTTTTAATAGAACAAGTGCTATATACATATTGATACTCAAAACTTCAGCATAAAATAAAGGGGCAAGATATACGTGGAAATTGCAAAAAAGCTAAAGGAGAAAGGTGTGGGGATGCGTTCATTTCCTGTGGCTGCTGCCAAATTACCAAAAACTTAGTGGCTGAAAACAACCCAGACGGCCCCACAGTGCTGCCTGTCAGAAGGCTGAAGGGCTGCACTGGCTGAAATCCACAGGCCACAGGCTTGGTCTCTCTGTGGTCTCCCCGTGGTCCATTTGTGTTCTCTCTGTGGTCTCTCTGAGGTGTCTCTGAGGTCGGCCGGTGGTCTCTCTGAGGTCTCTCTGTAGTCTCTTCAGCATCTCTCTATGGTCTCCTCATAGTCTGTCTGTGGTTTCCTTGTGGACTCCCTGTGGTCTCTCCAAGGTTTCTCTGTGGTCTCTCTGAGGTCTCTGCAGTCTCTCCAAAGTCTCTCTATTATCTCCTCATGGTCTCTCTGAGGTCTCTCCGTGGTCACCCTGTGGACTCCCTGTGGTCTCTCTCTGATTGCTCTGAGGTGTCTCTGTGGTCTCTCCAAGGCATCTCTATGATCTCTCTGAGGTCTCTGTGGTCTTTCCAAAGTCTCTCTGAGGTTTCTCTGAGGTCTCCCCATGGTCAGAAAATTCAAACCACAAATATTGAAGATAAATATCAAATAGTGCTCAATGATGATTATAACCTTGTTTATATATTTCTACTGCCTACATTCATGATTCCTGTGCTAAGGTCTGAATGTTTGTCCCCTCCAAAACTCACATTGAGTCTTAATTGGCATTCCATCAGTATTTAGAGGGAGACTTTTAAGAGGTCGTTAGGCCACAGGAGCCCTGCCCTCATGGTGGGATTAATGGAGTGGTTCTCTCCTTCTCTGTGCGTTCTGCCATATGATGGCACAGCAAGGAGGCCCTTGCAAGATGCCAACACCTTGATATTGAGCTTCCAGCTTCCAGAACTGTGAGCCAATACATTTCTGTTTATTATAAGCTACCCAGTCTCAGGTATTCTACTATATCAGCACAAAATAGATCATGACATCCTATGTCTTAAAATGTAATTTAGGTTTTCCAAATTTCTGAAAATCTTTAAATATTTTTGCTTCATGTGCTCAGTTTTCCATATTTGCTGAGTTTTTATAGGAATATTTCTCCTGAATGTGGTTACTGCCATAAATCATTCTTTGTCTAACTCACTAAATTAGTGGATCCCTCCCAGGACCTCTATTTTGATTTGCTGTGTCCTACAGAGTTAGAAAGTCCCAAGGCCAGCATGTGTGTGTTCCTAGCCAGGGATTCACCTATTTATGGAAAGTAAGCTGTATTTCTTCCCAAGCCAATATAGTTTTGCTTGTCATTATATCATTTAACTAAATTAAATACTAATATTCATAATTCCTGAGTTAGGACTAAATTGAATACTTTGGAAAGATTTGTAAATATTGGAGTCCATTTTGATGAAAGGAAAAGCAAAAATAAATAAATAAATAAATAACTTAGAAATAGCCTATACTAAGATAATTTTTCAAGTGTCATTAAAGTTATGTTCACTTTGAATTGGAAATCTCTGAGAAACATTTTAGGTGAAGTTTAAGTAGCAAAGACTATTCCTACCTCTAGTCATCAACTGATATCAAAGAACGGGAATAGCACCTTTATTTAAATATTGGCCAATTAATAATTATTTGTATGGTATACATTTCTAATGTTCATGATATTGATATATCATTATTATTCTTTTCTGTAAGTGACTTATTGAACTCTGTTTCTAAACATTTTTTGGTACTTTGGAGAGAAGGGAGTATTAATAGGAAGGATTTGTTTAATCCCTTCATCTGTATAACAAACAAAGATGACACTGGATTATGACTTCTTCTGGCCTCTAACATGGGCATTTCATCAACTGCCATGATTTTGCCAAGTGACTATTTGGAAATAATGCCATCTTTATTAGTCTGTTTTCACACTGCCATAGAGAACTACCAGAGGCTGGGTAATTTATAAAGAGGTTTAATTGACCCACAGTTCCACATGGCTGGGGAGATCTCAGAAAACACAATCATGGCAAAAGGTGAAGGGAAGCAAGGCATGTCTTACATGGTGGCAGGAGCAGCAGAGGAAGTGCCGCACTCTTAAACCATTGGATCTCATGAGAATTCTCTCACTATTATGAGAACAGCATGGGGGAAATCCACCCCCATGATCCAATCACCTCCCACCAGGTCTATCTCCTGACACATGAGGATTACAATTCCACATGAAATTTGGATGGGGACACAGAGCCAAATCATATCATTCCAACCCTGCCCCCTCTCAAATCACATGTCCTCACATTGCAAAATCAACCATGCTTTCCCAACAGTCCCCCAAAATCTTAACTAATTCCATCATGAACTCAGAATTCCAAGTCCAAAGTCTCATCTGAAGCCAGGCAATTCCTTTCTGACTATGAACCTATAAAATCAAAAACAAGTTAGTTACTTTCAAGATACAATGGGGGTACAGGCAAAGTAAAGGCTTCCATTCCAAATGGGATAAATTGGCCAAAATGAAGGGGCTACAGGCCCCCATGCAAGTCCAAAATCCAGCAGGGCTGTCATTAAATCTTAAAGCTGCAAAATAGTCTCGTTTGGTTCCATGTCTCACATTGAGGGCATGCTGACACAAGAGGTGGGCTTCCAAGGCCTTGAGTAGCTCCACCTCATGTTTTGCAGGGTTCAGCCCCCACAGCTGCTCTCAAGGACTGGCACTGAGTGCCTGCAGTGTTTACAGGTGCACTGTCAGTGCACTCTCATGCTGCTATAAAGAACTGCTCAAGACTGGGTAATTTATAAAAAAAACAAAACAAAACAGCTTTAATTGACAGTGCAAGCTGTCAGTGGATCTGCCATTCTGGGATCTGGAGGATGGTGGCCACCATACCTATGGTGGCCCTCTTCTCACAGTGCCACTGGGCAGGGACTCTGTGTGGGGGCTCCAAACGCACATTTCCCTTCTGCACTGACCTAGCAAAGCTTCTCCATGAGGGCCCCACCCCTGCAGAAAACCTTCTGCCTGGACATCCAGGTGTTTCCATTCATCCTCTGAAATCTAGCAGTAGGTTCCTAAACCTCAATTCTTGCCTTCTGCACACCGGCAGGCCCTACAGCATGTGGAAGATGCCAAGGCTTGGGCTTGCACCCTCTGAAGCCATGTCCCAAGTTGTACCTTGGCCCCTTTTAGTCATGGCTGGAGCTGGAGTGGCTGGGATACTGGGCACCATGTCCTGAGGCTGCACAGAGCATCTGTGCCCTGCACTTGGCCCACAAAAACACTTTTTCCTCCCAGGTCTCTGGGCCTGTGATGGGAGGGCCTGCTGTAAAGGTCTCCAACAGGTCCTGGAGACATTTTCCCCACTGTTTTGACTGTTAACTTTTGGTTCCTCATTACATATGCAAATTTCTGAACGTGGCAGCTTGAAATTCTCCCCAGAAAATGGGTTTTTCTTTTCTACCACATAGTGTCAGGCTGCAAATTTTTCAAATGCTCTGCTTCCCTTTTAAACATAAGTTCCAATTTTAGATGTTCTCTTGTCTCTAATGTATATGACTATATGCATTAGAAACATCCAGGTCACATCTTGAACACTTTGCTGTTTAGAAATCTCTTCTGCCAGATACCCTAAATCATCTCCCTCAAGTTCAAAGTTCCACAGATCTCTAGGGCAGGGGCAAAATGTCACCAGTCTCTTTGCTAAAGCATAGCAAGAGTGACCTTTACTCCAGTTCCATGTAAGTTCCTTTTCTCCATCTGAGATCACCTCAGCCTGGACTTCATTGTCCATATCACTATCAGCATTTTGGTCAAAACCATCTTCAACAAGTTTCTGGGAAGTTCCAAACTTTCCCACATCTATCTGTCTTTTTCTGAGCCCTCCAAACCTCTGCCTGTAACCCAGTTCCAACGCTGCTTCAATGTTTTCAGGTATCTATAACAGTACCCCACTTCTGGTACGAATTTTCTGTATTAGTTTTTTTTTTCACTCTTTTATATAAAAAACTACCTGAGACTGGGTAATTTATAAAGAAAAGAGGTTTAATTGACTCATAGTTCTGCATGGCTAGGGAGACCTCAGGAAACTTACAATCATGGTGGAAGGTGAAGAGGAAGCAAGGTATGTCTTACTTACATGGCAGCAGGAGAAAGAGAGAGAGTGAGGTGGGAAGTGCCACACTTTTAAGCCATCAGAATTCATGAGAGCTCACGAGACCACCATGGAGGAAATCCTCCCCCATGATCACATCGCTTCCCACCAGGCTCCTCCCCTGACATGTGGGGATTACAATTTGACATGAGATTTGGGTGAGAACACAAAGCCAAACCATATCACCATCCAAAAAATAAAGGAAGCAGCACTGTGTTTTCCATTTACATTACATCAACATGTGCAGAAAATATTTGTAAATAAACAGTGTTGGTCTCATGAACTAAAAAGAAAAGAGATAAAAAGAGGACCCCCTGAGGACAGCAAGATAAACACCTTCATCTTTAGAGGAGGCAACAACATTCGAGTCCTAATGGTTGGTCTTTATTAGGCATGTGCCATGTGCCTGGCACAGAGCTGGGCATTTAAGGCATTTCATCCCAAATCCTTAAAACCACACATTAGAAAAGTATTATTGTCCTTATTCTCACAAAGGCAAGCTGAGGCTTTGATAATCAAAAAACAGTATTCTAAGGTCATTCCAAGTGAGAACTCATATTCACATAAAATCTTCCCTGATCTAAGGTCCATTTTCTTTTTGATATTCCACAAGCTTATAAAATTTGAGAGAAGAAAATGGAAAGAGAACCAAGTTCTGTCTGTGCTCAGTGGTACCCTTGGTGGTGTTGTGGGCCAACTTGTGTCCCCAAATTTATATGTCAGGTCCAAACCCCGCATCTCAGAAGGCTGCAGTGATTGGAGACGAGGCCTTTGAAAGGAAAGTGAGTTAAATGAGCATATAAGGGTGGGCCTCGATCCTACCTGACTGGAGTCCTTATAAGAAGAGAAGATCAGGACAAAGACACACACAGGAGGATGACCCTGTGTGCACATGGGGAGATGTGTCTGCAAGCCAAAGGGAAAGGCCTCAGAAAGAACCAACCTGTCAATGTCTTAATAATGTTAGACTTTTGGCCTCCAGAACTGTAAAGAAATAAGTTTCTGCTGTTCAAGCTGCCCAGGCTGTAGTGTCTCATTATGGTGGCCCAGGAAGTCATACAGTAGTGCAGAAAGTCAGAGAACCACAGCAATTCCTAAGGAAGGACCACTTCACGTGAAGATTGGCATAAACTTCCCTGAATACCAACATCATTACAAGACACATCAGCCTAAACTTATCAACATATGTCAAGATGTGAATTTGCACCAATGAGAAATGTACACTGGGCAGGCTAAATCCTGCCAGCTTCATTCTCTATGAGTGTGTAAATTTCTGAAGATTAATTTTTATGTCAGAGAAACTGCCCTAACAATCAATGAACTCCAAAGACCAATCTGCATATTAAAGCCTCAGGAATAATCCCCTGATTTTGGCTTCTCATCTCAAGCAGGCGTTTCATACTTGTACCATCCATCCTGGGGACTTTTGTCTCTCTGTGATGCCAGGAGAATAGCAGGTACACCTAAGTGAACACAAGGTAAACCATACCCAGCAGGGTAGCCTGGGTCTTTTAATTCAGTAAGAATGAGCTATGATTGCTTTAAGTGGAACTGGAAATTTCATTGCCATTTAACAACTGCATTTAAAATTACACTTGAGTGAGCTAGAGTGCATTACAAACAAGTAGGATGGTAAACCCCAGTAATCACTGTCCAGTGTCTGGGACACCCACAAGTCTTCCCTACCTGCCCTGAATTGTTAGAGAAAATAAAAGTGGCTGCCTTGAAGGTAGCCAGAGGCCCCAAGGTTATAGGAGAGCAGAGATTTGCCCCTGCTGGCTCTCTGAGAGGGTTGCCATAGAGACAGAAGGAAAGATGAGTCCAGCCTGTATAAGTTGGGCACAGCCAGTCAGGCATAGAACAGACATGGGCAGGAAGCTGCAAACCTTGCCTTCGTGTCCCTAGTGTGAGCCATTTTCAGTGATCAGAAAAGTTGCTTTGGAGTCCTTGATGTTTCCAACCCATTGTATTAGTCCATTCTCATGCTGCTATAGAGAACTGCTCAAGACTGGGTAATTTATAAAGAAAAGAGCTTTAATTGACTCACAGTTCCTCAGGGATGGGGAGGCCACAGGAAACTTACAATCATGGCAGAAGGGGAAGCAAACACATCCTTCTTCACGTGGCGGCAGCAAGGAGAAGTGCCCAGCAAAAGGGGGAAAAGCCCCTTATAAAACCATCAGATCTCATGAGAACTCACTCACTATTAGCAAAACAGCATGAGGGTAACTGCCCCCATGAATAAACTACCACCCATGGGGTCCCTCCCATGACACATGGGGATTATGGGAGCTACAATTCAAGATGAGATTTGGGTGGGGACACAGGCAAACTGTATCACTCATTAAGGAGGGTTAGAATAAAAATGCTATGACAAACATCTTGGAATTTCTGTAGGCATGAATTCAGAGGTTGAAAGGCCATATTTGGGCAAAACCCTCAGATACTGCCTCCTCAGTGTGTTACTTTTGGAGAGAAATGATTATTTCCTAATAATCTCCTACTATACAAAAGAATTTTCTAATTAGAGGAAAAGGGAGGGATAGCATTTTTCTTGGGTAGGGAGGGAGAGGGAAGAATGCATCTGAGTGCTGGTGCAAATCACACAAGCTTTGGAATTGGCCAAGTCAGACACCAAACTATGCTTCCAGCGCTCACGAGCTATGTCCTTTCAGACAAAGGATGCTACTTCTGAGCCTCAGTTTCCTCACGGCAATGTGAGTAGAGTAACACCTCTCCTACAGGGCAGCATAGAAGCATTTAGGGAATGTGTCCATCTCTGGATTTCTGCTTCCCATGGTGGCCAAGTGAGCCCGTCTAATGTCACTCTCCTGCAGGGAATATCTAGACAATGAGCAAATATAAAAAGTGAGTGGAGATGAAAAGCATGGATTATGGGAGGGGAGTGTGATGTGTGGAAGAAACAAAGGGAAAGAGGGCTTTTATGGTTTTTAGCTTAGGGTGAGTCTGACGCCATGCCATGCGGAGTTGCCAAAACACCAACAGGAAACCCTTGGTCTTTCCCTCCTGAAGAAATTGGGAATATGCCTGCTAAAAATTGAGAAGGAAGGAGAGAATCAGAGATGGAGAACCCCAAATTCTGTGTATAACTTCCATCCAGAACTCCAGTTGACATCCGAACGCTGAATGTGTGAGGCAAACTCCACGAAACACAAGAAGGATAAAAGAACCAAATTAAGAATTCAGCTGCTGTTCAACAGGCAGTTTGCAGTCTGTCAAACCAACTTAATGGTCTCATCACACACACGCGTGCGCGTGCATGCACACACACACACACACACACACACACACACAGCTGGAAAAAATAACAGAGCCCAGACTCTCCACGACATGATATTTGCAATGCCCAACAAGTCATGCTAAATTATCCACAATTGCAGAACCGGGGAAGTGTGGCCACCGCTCTAGCAAACAGACACACTCAGAATCAGAACAATCCCCTTGCTGTGCTCAGAGGTGGAGCTTCCTGCTGTATCCCTGCTCAGTGACGGGAATCAGGGCCTGCACCCACCACCAGGATGAATCCTGCCTTGCCGCGATTTTACAGCTGCAGCGAAGGACAGTTCTGCAATCATGGGAAGTCTAATGTTCAGTCCTCATCTAATAAAGAGAAGAAAAAGAATGAGAGAGAAAAAATGAAGAAATAATGCTAAAAATTAACAATATAAATTCACAGAATCAAGAAATTTATCAAACACAAGCAACATGAATACAAAGAAAACTAATTCTAGGCACATCGTGGTCAAACTGCTGAAACCAAGATAAACAGAATATTCTGAAAACAGAAAAATGACATGTTATCTATGGGAAAATGAGGATTAGAAACATCACTGCTTTTCTACAAGAAACTATGGCAGACAGAAGGCTGTGGAATATCTCTCATGTGGTCAAAGAAAAGAAAGAAAAGCAGTATTCAACAATTCACAGAAAAAATATCCTTTAAAATGAAGACAAAACAAGAGCATTTTTCAGATGAAGTCGATTCATCCCCGACAGATCTGAACTGCATGGGATGCTTATGGCAATTCTTTAGTCTGAGAGGAAATGATACCACCTGAAAATGCTCAGAAAGGAATGAGAGCTTTGGAAATGGTAAATTAAGCATTGCTGTCAAATGCTTTATTGTAAACCGCATTGTACAAACTGACAGAGGCATCAGATTTCACATCAGGGTCAAACTGGTGCAGCCCAGAGACACAAAGGGAGGAACCAGGAACCCGCACAGAAGCTGCCCGGGGTCGTAGACCCAGCCCGTGAGGTTGGTGTCCTGCAGGATGTTGCTGAGCTTGGCAAGTTCAATGGGGATAAATGGAGAACACAGTGGTGGAGATAAGGGCACTTCTGTGGCCTGATTCGCATCCAAGACATCGAAACTGAGGGCGCCCAGAGTCCAGCTCTCAGGGATCTCAGTTATTGGCCATGATGTCTTCAGGAATGAAACCTCTGGGCTCACACCATTCTTTGGGTGTGCTACAGTGTTTAAACCTTTCCTGAGATGCACCCTGCCGTCCCCTAGGGTCCGACCCTCCTGGGCTTTCTGGCACTGTCTGAGCTGTCACCAGGCCAGGGGTCTGCACCTGGCACCCCGGCTGGCATGGGGCTATGGAGGCCAGGTCCAGGGGGTCCTGCCCATGTCAGCCTGGCTGTGGCTCTTCCTAGACAGACGCCCCTCCCAAGGCTGCCTCTGGGTCACAGGGCACAGACCTGGTCTTGGTACCTCTCCTTTCCTCCATAACTCCTCATTGCTCCCACAGCAACAGGTAACTCTCCCCTGTGGTCTCTCCATCTAAACAATCAGCTGCCTGCTGGGACCTGAGCAATGCAAAGAACAAGAAAGCTATCAAGTACTGGCTTTAATTTGTAGAAAACATTACAGCTCACAAACTTATTTTACCCATTAATAAAGCTCTTGAAAACCAATTGTATGTGGATTAAATAGCTATTTTAGAAATAAACAAAATTGGGCCAGGCGTGGTGGCTCACGCCTGTAATCCCAGCACTTTGGGAGGCCAAGGCAGGCGGATCATCTGATGTCAGGAGTTCGAGACCAGCCTGGCCAACATGGTGAAACCCCGTGTCTACTAAAAATACAAAATTAGCCTGGCATGGTGGCACACGCCGGTGATCCCAGCTACTCGGAAGGCTGAGGCAGGGAGAATCGCTTGAACCCAGGAGGCAGAGGTTGCAGTGAGCCGAGACCCTGCCACTGCACTCCAGCCTAGGCAACAAGAGCAAAACGCAAAAAAAAAAAAAAAAAAAAAAAAAAAAGGAAAGGGAAGAGAAGAGAAGGGTGGCGAGGGAAGGGGAAGGGAGGGGAGGGGCTTCATCCAGTCTTTTCTGGAAGCACAAAATTCCAGGTAAATGGAATAGAGTCCATGTCAGCATTCACATACCAACAGAGAGAGCAGGCCATGTTCTACTGGCCACATTAAAATAGCAAAGAGAAAGAGATTAATTTTATTGATATATTTTATTTGGTCCAGTATGTCCAAAATATAATTTCAACATGTAAGCAAAATAATACAATTGTTGATAATGTATTTTACATTTTGGTACAAAGTCTTTGAAAGATGGTGTATGTTTGAAATTAAAGCACATCTCAGACTGGCGACATTGCACAAGCTTCACGTCTAAATGTCCGGCAGCCTAGCGTTGTTCAGAACGGCAGGGCGGGAGGAATGTGGAAGATGAATGTCCTGGGACTGAAAGTGAAGCTGCTGAGGGCCAGAGTTTTAACAATTTTGGAAACTTGGGTGCCAGGGCGCACAATATATGAAAGATCTGGGAGGGCGGCTGAGGGGAAGATGAAGAGAAAAAATCCCAGTGACCGTAGATAGGCTGTGGTTAATATTAATAGCAAAAAGAGTTTGACCCCAAATTACAGAAGTTACAAGAAAACAGACACCACAAAAGAAAGGCAGGCACCAGACAGGACTGACGATGAAACTAACCCATGGAAATTAATAAGAGTGATGTTTCACATAGTAACGAAATATCATCAGGGAGATACACAGTAACAGGCTGAACTGAAGAGGACAGATCTATTCCCTGTAACTGAAAGGTCCTGTTGAAAATAGCTGAACAAACACAGGGGAGTGAGAATGGACACAGATGAAAACCATCACACCAGCTGGGTGCGGTGGCTCATGCCTGTAATCCCAGCACTTTGGGAGGCCCAGGCGGGTAAATCACTTGAGGTCAGGAGTTCAAAACTAGCCTGGCCAACATGGTGAAACCCCGTCTCTACTAAAAATACAAAAAAAATTAGCCAGGTGAGGTGGCGAACACCTGTAATCCCAGCTACTCGGGAGGCTGAGGCAGGAGAATAGCTTGAACCCAGGAGGCGGAGGTTGCAGTGAGCCGAGGTCCCACCATTGTGCTCCAGCCTGGGCGACAGAGCGAGACATCGTCTTAAAAAAAAAAAAAAAAAACCAGGAAAGCCAAGCCCGAGATTTCCCAAACTCAGCAACAACAGTCGTGATGTTTTGAGAGGAAGGTTGAGAAACACAAAAGAGAGGAAGATGCACTATCTACCTAACGGGATGTTCCTGGAGTTGAATACAGGAAGAATAGAGAAAAATATCAATGAAAGAAATGTTTTCCCATAAGAAGAAACCATGACCTTCTACACTGAAATGAGAGAATGCATGTTAAGTAGCATAAGCAGAAATGACCACACTGTGGAAAGATTTTAAGAAAGATCTGGGAGGGGTTAAAGCTATTAAAAAAAAAAAAAAGTCCACCACTAGAACTATTTTTAGAAACATTAAACTAGTTCAAGAGCTAACATATGCAATTAAAGTATATACACTTAATAATTCATGATGTTAAAATAACAGAATGTTTAATTTGAAAATGTCAAAGTTGGGGTATAGATGTTAAAATAAAGGGAAAAAATTCGCTGGAAGAAAATTAACTTTATATTTTTGTATCTGTCGTTGAACAACGAAGTGAAGCGTAAGAACATCTGGTAAATCTCCAAAGTGAAGACAGATAACCCTAAGCTGACCCAGACTAAGAGTGCACTGCCCTTAGGGTCGCGAGAGCAGACACCTTCCCAAGTCCTGCAGGGTCCGAGGAGTGGGCAATGTCCCCGGCTCCTGCAGGGTCTCGGGGCGGACACCGTCCTCATTGATGCTCTGACCCTTCTAGGGAGTCCCAGGTGGGACAGGGCTGGCGTGGCGGTACAGCGCCCTGAGCCTTTGAAACAAACCTCCTAAATTCCACCCGCCTCCGCCTGCTCCTCTGTTAACGAACTAAAGACGCCCTCGGCCTCCTGGCGGAGCGAGCACAAGTCCCACAGCAGCGTAGTAAGTTTTCCGTATTACAGCGACCACCAGGAAATATCGCGATATCTGGACCTAGCAATGCCATGAAATTACCGCGAGAGGAAGCAAGCGCAAGTTTCGTGAGAAGGGCAGATCTCACGAGAGAGGATTTGGCGCCCTCCTCTGTGGATTCTGGCCAGGCCGGGTTCGGCGGTTGCTGTGAGAGCGGGCTTCCCAACACCATGCCGTCCGCCTTCTCTGTCAGCTCTTTCCCCGTCAGCATCCCAGCCGTGCTCACGGTAACTCGCGGCCCGCGTAACCACCAGTTCGGGGGAGGACGGCGGAGAGGCGTAGGGTAGGCCCCACAGAGCACCCGGCCTGTGGCCAAGAAGGCCCCGGCCGTGGGCGGGGCCTTGTGGCGGAGCGCGCGCGCTGGGCAGGGTCCTGAGACCTGTGGGAGTGGCTCGGGGCCGGCGTCGGGGGCGCGCGCTGTGGGCGGGGTCCTGGGCCCTGTGGGAGGGGGCCGGGGCCGGGCGTCGGGGCGCGAGCGCTAGGCGGGGTCCTGGGCCGTTGGGCGGGGAGGGGCGGGGCCGGGCGGGGCCTTGTGGAGGAGCGTGCGCAGTGAGCTGGCTCCGGCGCTCTGTGGCCCGGGCTTGGGCTGGGCTGGCGTCCTGCACCGTGCGGGCGTGGCTGAGTTGTGTGGGCGGAGCGCGAGGGGTAGGGCTTTGTTCGTGTGGGAGGTGCACGCCGGCCAGTCCAGCGTCTTGCGGGCGGGGCTTGGGCCATGTGGGCGGATTCTGGCAGTGCGGCGGGGCGTGCGTGGTGGAGCCTGATCGTGTGGGGTGGCACGGAGGAACGCTGCCCAGTGTGGGCGGGGCGTGCGCCGTGCCGGGTTCGTCTGACAGATCCCAGGGGAGCCCACGCCCCACGTGGCCGCCAAGGGGTGACATGGGCACTCGATGGGGTCTGGGCAGAAAGCCGTGCTCCCCTCACCTCCGTGCCTCTGGTCTTCTGGTGGGTGCATTGATGGGAGTAGATGCGCTTGTGTCCTTATGTCATGGCGCGGCTCTGGAGAAGCCGCTGCGGTCCCCAGCAGAGAGTAGTGACACAGGAGTTCTGGAGGGCTGTGCCGGGCTGCAGCTTGGAGGGCAGGGCGGGGCTGCAGCTTGGAGGGCAGGGCGGGGCTGCAGCTTGGAGGGCAGGGCTTGTCTTCTGCAGGAGGGCGCTCAAGGAGGGGATGGGGAGGGTTGAGGACTGCTGGGATTGGCATCTGAGCATCAGGTGGGGACTGAGCAGCAGTGGATCTGAGCCTGGCTACTTCAGGTCCCTGAGCCAGACACTGTCCCCAGGTACAGCAGGGTCCCGGGGAGTCCAGGAGGCGGCGGAGTGCGGCACTGTCTGGAGAGTTCAGTGTATTGCAGAGAGGTTGGAGAAAATCAAGTCTTGCACGTGGCGATGGCTCAAGATTCCCTGAGGTCTTCAGTGCTGACTAAGGAGTCTGAAATGATGATTCATGTTTTACCTTTGGGGCTGAGCCAAGTGCATCTCTTTGAGCAATCGTCTTAATTTCCTTGTCGTCACCAATTATCATAACCAATTATCATCGTAAAGGATGGTAATTCCTTTAATTATACCCACCTTAAAAACATGATTCTGTTCCACAAACGAAAGGAGCACATCAGAGATGCCTTCAGTTCTGTGTGCTTGAACTTTGAATTCCATGAATTATAGTTGCACTGAGGGGAGAATCCTGTTTCCATCCTCCTGGTTCCTTCTCCCTTTCCTGTCCCCATGTTTCTCTGAGGCCTGGCAATGCTCTCTGGATACTTGGTGAGTAGCCCAGGAGGACTCAGGAGTGAGAGGCCCCTGCCTCCTGCGCTGGGAGAAGGCTGTGGGTGGGCCGTGAACCCGGCCTTGAGTGGCAGGACAGTGAGTGTCTGCTGGTGTGTTCCTACAGCAGACGGACTGGACTGAGCCCTGGCTCATGGGGCTGGCCACCTTCCACGCGCTCTGCGTGCTCCTCACCTGCTTGTCCTCCCGAAGCTACAGACTACAGATCGGGCACTTTCTGTGTCTAGGTGAGTAAAACAACACAAACTCCACAACTCAGATCACTGTGTGAAATGAAACTGTGTATGTTCTGTCTGTGTCTTCGAAATATATACATATTTTTACAAGACCTCCCAACCCTCTGTCATGTGCCTGCTCCCAGGGCACTCCCGTTTTTCACTCTTGGAAGCTATAAAGAAAACTACTTTTTGGATGTTAGAGTTGAGAGGAATCTGTTGAGTTCCTGTTGCCTACCAGGGAGGTGCTGAGCACCAGCTGCACACAGGAGAGTTGGGTTTCCGGAAGTGCTGTCTTTTACACAAGATGCGTCCTTGGTGGCAGCTGTGCTCATGCACTGCTTTGAATGGGAGGAAGATTGCAAACTGGGAAAGAAAAGTTCTGTGCATAAAATAAGGCATTGCCCAACTTGGTTTCAAGGATAAGGGCTACAGAACTTAGAGAAGTTAGGGAGTTGCACAGGATGACTGAGAAAGATTATTCAGAAAAGCTGAAATCATGGCACAGGGTGTGAAGAGTGAGTAAAATGTTAATAAGAAAAGAGAGGGAGCAGGTGACGGCCCTGGGAGGGCAGCAGCCCGACATGCAGAGACTGAGATAGATGGAAGGTGTGGATCAGAGGCAGAGAAACTGCAAGCCCTCCAGGACCTAAGCACTTCTGATGCTGAGCGTTACGAACACGTGTGGGTAGAAGAGGCGAGGAGGGCCTGGAGGCCTGGCTCAGGCTACTCTTGACTCTCAACATTGGGGAGACACTGAAGATTTTGCTTGGTAGTTAAAAATAACTAATTTCAGATAAGTTTAGTTAGCTGGCTGTGTGCAAAGCGGGAAATCTGAAGAAGAGATGATCTTAGAAAGACTGGAGAAGTGATGAGGGTTTGCATCACAGTGGGGGCCTATGCAAGTGAGGCGCTCAGAGCAAGCTCTGTATTGAGGGTGCCCTGAGGAGTGCTGGAGTGGACCAGGCAGACAGGGCTCCTTTGCCTCCCACAGCTTCCTGGGGGACACCAGCACCAGTGATTCATCACAGACCTGTGTTATCAACAGTGACAAGTGTTGCAATGGAAAAGCCAAAAACACAGTGAAACAGGAGGAGCGGCCTGATTTAAATCACACAGTCCCCTGGGAACCCAGGGGCAAAAGGTGCATAGGCAGGAGCCAGGCAGTGAGATGCTGGCAGAGGGCAGGAGCAAGTGCCCCACGCAGAGGCCCTGAGGCAGGCATCTCAAAGAAAGGTGATGGCTTCACCAGCTGAGCTCCTGGATCTGAATAGCTTTGTCAGCTGGAGAACTGCACAAAGGGTTTGATGTTTTCTAGGATAAGGGGAAGGATGACTGCTTTCACACCGGGGTAATACTAGACACTGTGCTGCCTGCCATTACATTTCCTGTGATTCATTTCTCAAACCAGCCAAGAGTTGGATTTTATTTGCCCATTTTTATAAATGAAACATGCAGAGGTTCTCTAACTCCCTCAGCTATACAGCTTATAACCAGCACCATCAAGATTCAAGATTCAGACTCTGCTCCAGGGTGCATTTCAGGAATAGCTGAGGAGGAGCACCTGGTGACACCCTCCCTGCCCGCCTTCCTCCCGTGCCTACCACCCTCCCCACCTTCCCCCTGTAACGTCAGCCCTCCACACCTTCCTCCCCGCACCCATGCCCACCACCTCCTGTGTTAGCCTACCCTTCTCACCTGCCTGGCTGTCCTGCTTCTCCTGGCCCTCCTCCTTCCCCTCCTTCCTCTCCTTCCCCCCCATCCTCCCCCTCCTCCTCCTCCTCCTCCCTCCCCTCCCCTCTGGTTCTTTCCCTGTGCATTCTTTTCCTCTGCTTTATTGAGTCCATTCCTGAAGGGAGGAAGTGGAGGGACTGCTCACCGTAGCCCCTAGTTTAATCTGCTTTCTGATGTGTATCAAGAAGAATGAAAGGATTTTTAGTTTGATTTACCTTGGAAGTTGAAGCATCACATTTTTCTTAATTTGCCGAATCATATTTTATTTGATTTTATGGTACCATGGGTCACTGTCTCATGGGTTTGAGTACCAGCATTACCCACGAATTAGCTGAAGACCCTGGGCCAGTCCCTAAAGTCTGTGTGCTCCTGGGAGCATGGAGGCCTTGCCCTGCCCCCACCAGCTGCTGCCCTCCCTCCCGTGCCTTTGCCTCCAGCACCCCAAAGCTGTTCGCTCCCCTCCTATGGTCATCTCAGTGGCAGTGTCCCAAGGTCAGCCCGGGAAGTGTGAGCGTGAAAAGCCCTTGGTTGTCAGCTCTGGGTCTCGTGGCTCTCAGCTCCTGCTGCCGTGTTCTGTGGGGCTGAACTGTGGCTGCTGTCCCTGGGGAAATGTGTGAGGTCCAGCCATGCCTGGGTGAAGCCTGGGGCCTCGGGCGGCTCCTGCAGTAGCTCTGCAGGTGCTGACCTGAGCACGGGCTCTGAGTGAGACCATAGAGCATTGGAGAACTGAAGCACTGTTGGCCTTGATTTTCTTTCTGCTAAATGGGTGAGTCCTACGACTTGACAATGTTAGGATGTTTACCTGATGTTATGTTTAAAATTAAAGTGACATTTCTATTCAGTATTCTGCTGTAAAGAATGTATAACTTTATAACGAGTAATAACGGGCCATCTAAATTCTAATATGACTTGTACCTTTTTTCAGTCATCTTAGTCTACTGTGCTGAATACATCAATGAGGCGGCTGCGATGAACTGGAGGTGAGCCCACCCCCGGGCCTGTGACCAGGTCCCTGCAGGGGTGTCCCTGGGAATGGCCCCACAGCCGGTGGGACTCGCGGAGGAGACAGTGAATCCTAACGTGGCAGCTGTGCACAGCCCGTGCCCGTGCATCCAGGGTTGGTGGGCTCCAGGGTGACTCCGTAAATGCTTTACCAGCGCCACAGTGGCCCTTTCTGAGCGTGGCACTGTGGGACAGTGCTGGCTGAGGCCTCTGATGGCAGAGCCAGAGAAGTGGCCATGGGAATTTGAGCTGCAGAATAGAAACAGCAGCATTTTAGAGAACGTGGTCCGCGCTGGCCTCAGCCATGCCCTCCCCCTTGGACTGCAGGGTGGCTGCTCCATGGGGAGTCTGGACCTGAGTAGGGGGCTTCTGGGTGGTCTGGGGCACCTGCCTGCCTCATCCCCAGCCCCACATCCTGATGTCGGGGGGCACCGCTGGCAGCCCTGGCCCTGCGTCCTCTGCCCCCTCCTCTACCCCTGGCTTCATCCCAGGGGACTCGGAACCCAGCACCTGCCCAGGTTGAACCACACAGCCTCTGTCAAGTGAGACCCACGGACTGTTTTTGAGTGGCCTGTGAGCTAAAAATGGCTTTTACGTTTTAAAATATAAAACAGAAAAAAAGTAAAACTGCCAGACCCTGAGCAGGAAGGAGCTGAGACTGTGGCCTTGTGGCCCATAAGCCCTGAACACTGATCTTGGGCCCTCACCGAAAGGGGTTGTTGAGCACTCCCTGAAATCCTTTGCTTAGACCCCGCCTGGTTTCCCGAACCCTCCCCTGACTCGGCCTCCTCCTGCCTTGCTCCTCCCTGCTCAGCCTTTCCCTCCACGACAGCGTCCCTGCAGCACTGTCTCTGCCCTCCCTCCTCCCTGCCCTCTCTTTAGCCATAAGCGGCTCACTGGGGACCCTGCCTCTCCTCCCGGATGCAGGGCCTTCACATGGTTCAGTCCCAGGAGGACCCTGCCTCTCCTCCCGGATGCAGGGCCTTCACATGGTTCAGTCCCAGGAGGACCCTGCCTCTCCTCCCGGATGCAGGGCCTTCACATGGTTCAGTCCCAGGAGGACCCTGCCTCTCCTCCCGGATGCAGGGCCTTCACATGGTTCAGTCCCAGGAGGACCCTGCCTCTCCTCCCGGATGCAGGGCCTTCACATGGTTCAGTCCCAGGAGGACCCTGCCTCTCCTCCCGGATGCAGGGCCTTCACATGGTTCAGTCCCAGGAGGACCCTGCCTCTCCTCCCGGATGCAGGGCCTTCACATGGTTCAGTCCCAGGAGGACCCTGCCTCTCCTCCCGGATGCAGGGCCTTCACATGGTTCAGTCCCAGGAGGACCCTGCCTCTCCTCCCGGATGCAGGGCCTTCACATGGTTCAGTCCCAGGAGGACCCTGCCTCTCCTCCCGGATGCAGGGCCTTCACATGGTTCAGTCCCAGGAGGGGTGTTCAGTCCCTGGTGACCCTGACCTTGTCCAGAGGCTGGCACAGGGTCATCCTCCCCGAAGCCCTCCCACACCCAGCTCCAGGGTGCAGCACCTTTCTGGCCCCTCCCTTCCCTCTGGCCGCAGCCTCCTGTCTTCATGCTTCTCCGAGATCTCCTGGTTTCAAAAGCGCTGGGTTTCTTGCCTGTCCCACCTGTTGGACTGGGCACCAGGACGTCTAACAAACATCTCAAAATTCACACTTCAGTCCGACTGCTCTGCTCCCCCCTCTTCGTAGGGGCGGCTTCTCCCTCCAGCTTCTTAGACCAGAGACGTAACAGGGCATTGTTCAGGAAGCTCCGTCCCTCCACCTTTAAGATCAGCCACGAGCCCAGTGTGTTCCATGCCCTTCACCCCACCCTCGCCGACCCGCTGCTGACATGCAGCGGTCCCTAAGCCGTCCCCCGACTGCCCAGCCTCTTGGGCATCCTGGGGAAGCGTGGGCCTCAGAGCCAAGCACTGCCCCTCAGAACGTTCCAGAGTGTCCCCAGCTCCCCCAGAGTAAACGCGGAGTCCTGCAGTGATGCCCTGCGGCCTCCTGCCAGCTCTGTCCCAGCCGTTCATGGCTGTGCCTACGACTCCACGAGGCCCCCTCACCCCCGACAGGCTTCACATTTCTCTGTAGCAGCACTCGCCACATGCTTGGACTGGCTGCCTCTTACTTCTGGGCCTCCCATGGTATAGAGTGTAAGCGCCAGCAAGGCGGGAGCCCCATGCTCATGAGGTGTTGACCCACTGCCCACCATTACTAGCTGTGAGCGCCAGCAAGGCAGGAGCCCCATGCTCACAAGGCGCTGACCCACTGCCCACCATTACTAGCTTTGTTGATGGCATTTCCTGTGCTGGCTGCTGAGAGAATCATCAACACCCACGTGCAGATCCTCTGCCCTCCCTGGCGCTGTACCTTTGTGCAGGTGGAGATCTTCCGCCTTCCTCAGTCTCTTCTGCTAAAGAGGCACTGGCACTGACAGCAAGAGGACCTGCTATGAGAACCAAAGGGATGGAAGGGCCCGGCACCACTCCTTCCCAGTGCAGCTGTGGAGCAGACGCAGCTGCTGTCCCTTTGTCATTTACGGGGAGGGGATTATTGACGTTGTTACTCTGTAGGTTTTAAGGATTTCAAGTCATCAGTGTCTTCCAGCTAAGGTCAGATGTGCTGCTGATGACCCAGAGGGCTTGCAGGGTGACGTCTCTCTGCTGGGGGAGGCCTCGGGGTCTTTCCTGTGCTGCTGGGTGGTGTCTCCCTGTCCTGTGACCCAGTGTGTTTTCTTCATAATGAGCATTCATTGCATTTGGGACAGTACAGTGGAGATTACCGCTGCTCCCAAGGGTGGGCCCAGTGAGGGTGTTGCTCCCACCTCAGTCCACATCAGCTCTCTCCAAAGTCTTATCTAAATAGACGGTGTCACTAGAACTTTTTGGTTGTATTGCCTAGTAATTTTTTGTTTTTGTTTTTTAAACAGATTATTTTCGAAATACCAGTATTTCGACTCCAGGGGGATGTTCATTTCTATAGTATTTTCAGCCCCACTGCTGGTGAATGCCATGATCATTGTGGTACGTAGATGACACTTTCAGTTGTCTTTCTTCATGTGTATGTTTTTCAAATCTAAACATGTCTCAAACAATTGTGTTTAGGTTATGTGGGTATGGAAGACTTTGAATGTGATGACTGACCTGAAGAATGCACAAGAGAGAAGAAAGGAAAAGAAAAGGAGAAGGAAAGAAGACTGAGGGGCAGCAGCTGCTTGGAGTTTGCGTCCTTCCCGTCCACCCAGTGCAGCTCCCAGTGCTGCAGTGTGCGTGGCGTGGGCATCCTTCCAGCTGACTCATGGTTTGAAAAACCGTTGTTTTATTTAAATATCCACAGTGGTAGGGCACACACTGAAGTTGGCTTTTCAGCCAGCACTGAATGTATCCATCAGGACATGCGTCTTCAGGTGCCTGATCTTTGTAGTCAGGCTGTGGGAACGGTCTCTGCAGAGCTTCATAACTGGGAATTTGATTTGAAGAAGTCCATGTCATATGTGTAACTAGTACTAATTATAAATATAAAATACACAATATAAAATATGAAACTCAATAATAAACAGTGCCACCTGTACATGGGCACCATGCCCTCCTCCTCGTGCTGTGTTTTCTAGTGCATGCCACAGTTCGCAGTAGAGGGTGTTTTCACCTTCCAAGACATGGGGCAAAGTTTGGAGACACCTGGTTGTCACTGGAGGGGGTGGTGCTCCTGGCTTCTCCTGTGGAGCCCGGGGTGATGCATAAAATCCTGTGTGCCTGGGTCAGCCGCATCACAGACAATGACTTGACATGAAATGTCAGCTGTGCTGGGGCAGAGAGACCTTGGAAGGAAGCTCTTGGAAAATACGTTGTATCTCAGTTTGATGAACCAATTCACAAGAGGCTAGGCCCTCTCTAGCAAAGTTATGGGCTGCTTTACTGAAAACAGAATGGAAGCCCTGAAGTCAACACTCCATGGAGAAGCGTGTCTTTCCTAATGTCCTGGTGTTCTGTTGATTTAGGTGCTTGGGAACACAATGCTCCCAGTTCTGTTAGGACAGGCATACTGTTACTTTGCAATATCCACTTTATAAAATAGCTCCTGCCCAGTGGCTCTTGGTTCCTGTCAAATGTGGACCTGTAGTTTAAGAATGACAGGTGGTTAGAGACCCAGATATTTAAAAATAGGTGTTCAATAAGGGAATACTGATTGTGCATTGTATCTGGATAGCATGCCTAATTGTGCATTTCTGAAAGTTACCAATTCAAAATGTAATTGGAACAGTTATCTTTGATTAGACAAGCCTGGGAAGAGAATGTTGAGGTGCAGAGCTCACCAGCCAAGTTCATGCCCCTCTCGGGCCTTTGTGGCTGAGAAGTGGGACAGAAAGATGATTAAGGTAATGTGTCCTCCCTGTAGCATTGTCCAGGGCCGTTGTGTAGATATTTGACTTCACTGACAGAAAAGAAACCAGGGAGTTTGTAGAGACTGTGCATTTTTAGTATAACATTTTCACCATCTGATATGGTTTGGCTTTGTGTCCCCACCCAAATTGCATCTCAAATTGTAATCCCCATGTGTCAAGGGAGGGACCTGATGGGAGGTGATGGGATCATGGGGGTGGTTTCCCCTATGTTGTTATCATAATAGAGAGGGAGTTCTCACAAGATCTGCTGGTTTTAAAGACAGCAGTTTCCCCTGCTGTCACTGTCTCTCTCCTGCTGCCTTGTGAAGAAGGTGCTTGTTTCTCCCTCTGCCATGATTGTAAGTTTCCCGAGGCCTCCCCGGCCATGTGGAACTGAGTCAATTAAACTTCTTGTTTATAAAGTAATCCAGGTCTCAGGTAGTATCTTTATAGCAGTGTGAGAACAGACTAATTAAACATCTATATGTTATTTGGACTTAATATGGGGCCGTGTGATTGAATCTCAGTTTGCCTGTGATAAAGTAGTGTAACAGTATTGCTAGCTTTGCATGAATTTGATGCTGATGACATGTCAGTGTGAAACCATGACGTGTGGTCTTTGATTTTCATTCTGCATGTGTGTGTCTGTGTTTTGGAACAGTTATATTTTGGTTTTGTAAAAACAACCTTCACTTTATTTTTAACTGTGTAGTAAGTTTATATTCAATGCCTTAAAGTGCATTGTTAACAATTGTCTTGATATGTTGTCCTCATTTTAGGGAAAGTCATAGAAGCCAAAATGATCAGCAGTTGAGTAATTTACGAAAGCACAGGTGCAATCCCACTTTAAAGCACTGGGGGTTGCACAGAGCACACTGGTTTCAGGCTCCATAAATGTGGATGACTCACTGGAGAGCTTCATCTGTTTAAGTAGAACAAATGTTTTTACTCTACTGATAAAGTACAGGAAAGGAGGTTTGGGATCAAAATTATTTTTCACATTCCAAACCTGTGACACCTTACGTTTATCGATTGCTATGCAATAAAATACATCTTTAATAATATGTAGTATTTTTTTTTGTTTTTTTCAAAAAAATGGTATTTGTTTTGCACCTTACTGTAACTGGAAACAGGAGCACCTGGAACTTAGCTCCACCTTTGGCTGGCAGGTCCCTTTGCTGCAGCATCTGGTGCTGAGTTTTAACAAACAAATGCAATTGTGTCCTTGCCAGTAGAAGAAAGTCTACTTGCACAGATAATGTATATCAAATCAGAAAGCAATATGCAACCTGAATGGCTAGCTTCTGTGAGAAGTAAAGTGGCAAGGAAATGTTAACATGTTCTTGCCCTTTACAAAATAATAAATGTTAAAAAAAAAAAAAAAGGGCTGGGGGTGGAATTCAGGGTAAGGAGCTTCAGTGGCGCGAAGTTGAGTGGGATGCTTAAAGACAGACGAGAATTGCCGTCAGAGATATACCGGTCAGGCCCAAGCATCTTTTCCCTGGAAAAGAACTTCAGGCTTCCTTGTCTGGATTTCAGTGGAGCACCCTTCTTCTTTCACCAAGTTAACCAGAACATGTTTTCAGTGCAGCCTTCCCCTCTTTACTGAAGCCCCTCTTGCTGGTCGACTACACCAGCAAGTCGGTCCTGGGGAGGACGGGGCTGGGCTCCACATGCAGAGTTCTCGGAGGCAGGAAGGGAGCGAGCCAGGGCAGAGAAGAGCACCCAGGGGGTGGCGCTGCCCAGTCCCAGGATGGTGCGAAGATGTCTCCAAGCCCTGGTTGCTGCACAGGGAAGGCAGGATGGGGCGGCGAGGCCCACGCAGGCTGTGGGTGCCATGCGTTGGTGGCAGCTTGTTCCGAGTGGGGCTGGAACAGTTGACAGCAAGCATCCTCATCGGCCTGGTAAGCTTTCTAGCTCCTCTTCCTCCGATGTTCCAGTTTCACAGCGGCCTGTACAGTTAGATCTTTCCTCGCTTTGGGGGAAGGTGTAGCTATTATAGTCTCCGAATCATGCTGTCATTAGAAATTGCACAAGACCTATGCCAGGGGAGGCGCTGACTGGCACAGGCCCTGAAAGGAACCTGAGGACAGAGAAGGAGCTCCCTGCAGCCTTCAGGCAGCCAAGCAGAGGCCTAAGTCCAAGCATGTGGCCATAGGGTCTGCTCTGTAAGCCTCAGGGCTACTGCCTTCTGCTCCAGTCCTGGGCCAAAACACCCTTCAGCAGCTCCTGCTCCATCTGAGCGAGCTGGATGTCAGCCTCCATGGGCCCTGTTGTGCATGGGGTTGATGCTTCATCTGAGTGAGCTGGGCATCTGCCTCCATGGGTCCTGTTGTGTGTAGGGTTGATGCTCCATCTCAGTGAGCTGAGCATCTGCATCTCGGGGTTCTGTTGTACATGGGGTTAATACTCCATCCGAGTGAGCTGGGCATCCGCATCTCTGGGTTTTGTGTGCGTGGGGTTAACACTCCATCTGAGTGAGCTGGGTGACTGCCTCCATGAGTCCTGTTGTGTGTGGGGTTGATGCTCCATCTGAGTGAGTGGGGCATCTGCATCTCTGTGTCCTGTTGTGTGTGGGGTTGATGCTGCATCTGAGTGAGTGGGGCATCTGCATCTCTGGGTCCTGTTGTGTGTGGGGTTGATGCTCCATCTGAGTGAGTGGGGCATCTGCATCTCTGGGTCCTGTTGTATGTAGGGTTGATTCTCTATCTGAGTGAGTGGGGCATCTGCATCTCTGGGTTCTGTTGTATGTGGGGTTGTTGCTCTGAGTGAGTGGTGCATCTGCATCTCTGGGTTCTATTTTATGTGGGGTTGATTCTCTGAGTGAGTGGGGCATCTGCATCTCTGGGTTCTAGTTTATGTGGGGTTGATTCTCTGTCTGAGTGAGTGGGGTGTTTGCATCTCTGGGTCCTGTTGTATGTGGAGTTGATTCTCTATCTGAGTGAGTGGAGCATCTGCATCTCTGGGTCCTGTTGTATGTGGGGTTGATTATCTGAGTGAATGGGGCATCTGCATCTCTGGGTTCTAGTTTATGTGGGGTTGATTCTCTATCTGAGTGAGTGGTGCATCTGCATCTCTGGGTTCTATTTTATGTGGGGTTGATTCTCTATCTGAGTGAGTGGGGTGTCTGCATCTCTGGATCCTGTTGTATATGGGGTTGATTCTCTATCGGAGTGAGTGGGGCATCTGCATCTCTGGGTTCTGTTGTATGTGGGAGTGATGCTCCATCTGAGCTGGGCGTCTGCATCTCTGGGTTTATGGATCCCTAAGCCCAACTCACTCACAGCTTGGCCCTCCATGTGCTGGTCTTTCCTCTGCCTTACCCATGTTTGGTTATTTCTTATATAACATTGGATATCTTTGGAACAGGAGAAAATTGTTAAGTGTCAATTTGCTGCCCCTTTTTTCTGTAAGTCTATCTTCTATAAAGTAATGTAGTCCCTATTATCATGATGCTATTTCACTATATAACATTATTTTCAATGCCTGCATAGTAAACACATTGTAGGGGTATAGGCTGAATTTACGTAACCAGTTACTGATATTAGAGATGCAGAGTTTTTCTAATTGTTTTACTGACAACAGCAACACAGAAATCTCCAACCTCACATGCCTACATTTCCACTATTGACTTGGAATAAATTCTTACAAGTGAAATTTAGTCAACATATATAACTTTTATGTGACAGTTGGTAAATGTTGCTAAATCAATTTTCAGAAAGCATATGCCAATATTGGTTGTACATATTTCCTGAAATCCTTGTCTGCACTAAGTAGCAACGTAAAAAAAGAAACTTTTCTGAGTAATAGGTGAAAGTTTTATCTCACTGTTTTAACTTGTACTTCTGTGGTTACCTGTGAGGTTTAACGCTTTTCAAATGATTGTTGGTGTTTTGCATTTTTTTAGTGAATAATCTGTTCGTATTCTTCTTTGTTTTGCAATATGGGCTTTAAAAAACCTATTTCTAATTTTATGTGTTAAAATTGGTAACACATATAGGGCAGAAATATGTGTTACTAGTCTGTAGTTTGGCTTTGGCTTGTGTTGAAAAGGTTTTAGAAAGTCAAACAGTTTTTTGCTTTATGTATCATCAGGAACTGTGAAGAGCTGAGGTTCCACCTCCTCCCAAGCTGACAAGTGACCCTCGGAGAAGAACCGTGAAAACCTCACAACAGTGAAGTTAGTTTAAACAAGTTACAACGACAAACACATTGTGCCATCCTTATGATTTCACCTGTTACTTAGTTCACACTGATGGGTGGCTGGTGTTTAAATGCTTTCCAAGTTCATTTCATTTATTATACAAATGCCTGTGAAATACCCAGGCAGCATCATTGCTTCCTTCTCTAGCCTCCAAACCGAATATCCTTTTGCTCAAGCATCCAGGTAAAAAAAGGGGGACCTTAGGAATTGTGAATTTGAAGCCAGAAGCCATGGTTTACCTAGGAATGGATTTACTTGCCAAGAACTGTGACACCTTTATAAATAAAGTTACTCATGTTGGCTTTTTTGCTCTTTAAATTCTTCTCTGTAAGTTACTGATGTGACAAATCAAATAATAAATTTCAGACAGCTTATATATTGACAATACAAGAAAGTCCATCCAAGAGTCTCTCAAAGCATACCTGGCACATATTAGAAGCATGTAAGTTCTGAAAAGTACTGAGTGGACATTTGTGGGGCCTTGACTTCCCTGCCACTGTCCTTTGTAACCGATGACCTCAGGTTGGGCTGGGATGGGTTTGTGTCTCCCACCAACCCTAGGCCGCACACGGGGCTCTTGGGTGAGTGAGAGGCTTCCCCGCTGCAATCACAGTCCTGAGCAGAACAACAGACCGGAAGCAGCGCGGAGCCTGGGAGTGGAGGTGCAGCCTGGGTGGATGCGGGTTTCCCGGCTGCTTCAAGGGCACACAGCGCTTTCTCATTTCTTACCCTCCCAAGTCTTCACCATTGTCCTGGCAGGTTTATGACCCCCATCCTACAGGGCGTCACCTTTATGTCGACAGCACATTGAAATACGTATGCAATTAGTGGATTTTCCAGGGTAACAGCTGCAAGCTGTTGTGGAATTCTGCACATTAATACGTGGTCATTGTAAAAATGTGTTCATGAGAACTCTTGAGAGGTACTGACATGTCTGACGATAGATTCCGAGTGAAAACACTTCCTGTGATGACCACAGAACATGATCAATTTTATAAGAGCCTTGGTTCTCACTGGACATGGTGATGATGGCCTCGAATTTCAGTTTCCCTTCAGGAAAGGTATATAGGCATACTCGACATAGTTATTTATAAGATCACTGTAAGGATCAAAAGATATGTGTTAGATTCCCTAAACTGCACGTCTGTTAACGGCTTTGGTGGGGCTGGCGATGCGGTGGTGCTGATCTGATCCCCAGAATGATGTGGAGCATACAGAATGCGTCCTGTGCTGCTCACTCCAGGACCAGAATAGAGAAAAGGAAATGTGACATGTAGCTGCTGCGTGAAAGAGATGCCCGGCCCGACGTGGGGCCAGAGTCGTGGATCCTGCACAGGTTGGTCTCCTGAGCTGTGAAAGGGGAACGTCAGGATCTGGGGCCGCATACCTCCTTGGCTCTGCAGAGCTTTTCCAGTTCGTTCCCCGTTCTGTCTGAGAAAGACATCTTTTCCACTAACCCTCCAGAGGGCACCACAGCACCATGCCAGAGGCCCCTGTTTGGCTGCTTGGGGAAAATTTCTGTCACTTATTCAGAAAGAGAAGTCTAATATTTTTGATTGAGGAACGTCACCCGGAGCTGAAGGGAATGAGCCGGGAAGCACAGGGCTTCGGTTTCCTGTGTTCATTTGAATGAGGTTAACCACATCCCAAATCAGTTGTAAAGTCAGTTTTTACTGTCCAGAAACAGACCTAAATACATACACAGGTGAACACACAGAGTCACATGTGCACACATGTGAACACAGAGACACGTGCACACGTGAACACACAGAGACATGCGCACATGTCACAACGCAACGTACACAGTGCAGGTTTACATATACACTCTCACTTGTGCATGTAAGCTCACACTCATGCACATACCCACACGATACATGCAGCAGTGTACTCTCACGTGTGCACACGTGCACACATGTAGGCGCCTGGAGACATCACTGATTTCATTTTTCCGTTACATTAGAAAACACCCATGCTGCACCTGCACCCACACAGATGATGATGTGAATGAATAAGTGCATTTACATGGTCTAGTTTCAGGAATGCTTTTTTTTTTTTTTTTTGAGACGGAGTCTCACTCTGTCGCCCTGGCTGGAGTGCAGTGGCATGATCTCGGCTCACTACAACCTCCACCTCCTGGGTTTCAGCGATTCTACTGCCTCAGCCTACCGGGTAACTGGGATTACAGGCACCTGCCATCACGCCCAGCTAATTTTTTAGTATTTTTAATAGAGTCTGGGTTTCACCATATGGGCCAGGCTGGTCTCGAACTCCTGACCTCAGGTGATCCACCCATCTCGGCCTCCCAAAGTGCTGGGATTACAAGCGTGAGCCCCCGTGCCCGGCCCACGAATGCTTTTTAAAGAAGACCTATCCAGTGAAGTAACATGATGAGAATGGAGGGACTGAGAGGCTGCTCTGTGGGGGCTGTGCTATGATAGGGATGAGCCTCACAAGATGCTGCAGGCCCGAGGAGCTCACCACTTCTGCCTGCTGGACACTGGGAGGCTCAGACACACGAAGAGAAAGGATGAAGGGCCCCACCCTGGCCCTTGACGCGCTGCTGGCCTCAGGAACTACTTTTAAGTAGAGAGTAGAAGTTGGAAGCTGAAGTGATACGCCCTCCTTCGCTTGACCTTATCTGTGGTCTCAGAAGACTCGGGCGGCTGGAAACGTCCACGGGAAATGGGGGCGAGGCTGCACTCTACACCCAAGGCCCACCTGCACCATCCAGGGCCCAGCCTCGGCAGCTCCGGGTGCACAGCAGGTAGCGAGAGCACTGCAGGTAGTGGGAGCACTGCAGGCAGCGAGTGCACAGCAGGGAGCGGGAGCACAGCAGGGAGCGGGAGCACTTCAGGGAGCGTGTGCACTGCAGGGAGCGGGAGCACTACAAGGAGCAGGTGCGCTGCAGGGAGCAGGAGCACTGAAAGGAGTGGGAGCACTTCAGGTAGGTGCACAGCAGGTAGCAGGAGCACAGCAGGGAGTGGGAGCACTGCAGGGAGTGGGTGAACTGTATGAGCAGGTGCACAGCAGGTAGCAGGAGCTCTGCAGGGAGGGGGAGCTCTGCAGGGAGCGGGAGCACTGCAGGGAGCAGGAGCACTGCAGAGAGCGGGTACACAGCAGGGAGCGGGTGCACAGCACGGAGTGGGTGCACTTCAGGGAGTGGGTACACAGCAGGGAGTGGGTACACAGCAGGGAGCGGGTGCACAGCAGGGAGTGGGAGCACTGCAGGGAGCAGGAGCAGTTCAGGGAGCCGGTGCACAGCAGCTCTGTCCTTAGATAGAAGCCCGACTGGGAGACCCGCTCCTCGTTCCCCTGCTCTCAACCGAGGCCCAGCCGACGTCCCTGCGGCTTCTGCCTTACATCCCGGCCCTGCTTCCCGCTCAGCGGCTTTCACCGCTGCCTGCCTCTCCCTGCGGCCTGGCTGAGGAGCAGGTGGGCTCCGCCTCCCATTAGCAGCATTGCCTCCGTCCAGCACAAAGACCAAGACTTGTCTCTGAAAAGCGTCTGCAGCACGCGTGGGAACCGCCGCTCAGCAGCTCTTCTTCTGGCACCCACAGGGCCTTCTGGGATTTACAATGTTTCAAATAAAGAGATAACATGAAAAATAAAATGCTGACCAGTAAATGACGCTATGAGGGCAACCACTGTCTATACTCAAAAAACCTCATGCTGTTTCTATAGTATTACATTTTAAATGTATAGACTTCATTTTTTTAAATCAGTTTTAGGTTTACAGAAAATTGAGTGGAGTTCCAATACTCCATCCAGTCCCAATTTCTCCTGTTACTTACTTATTGGCTTACTGCCCTGCATTTGCTAAAATCAGCAAACGTACACGGACACTCATCGTCCCCCAGAGTAACCCGTCGCTTCCATTAGGCCTCCATCTTGCTGTTGTACTTCCTGTGGGTTTGGACAAACGTGCAATGCTGCGTATCCCCCATGGTAACATCACACGGAGGAGCACCACTGCCCTAACAGTCCTCCCTGCTCCACCTGCTCCCTCCCTCCTCCCAACCCCTGGTAACCACTGATCTTTTTCCCGTCTCCATAGTTTGACCATTTCCAGAATGTCATAGAGTTGGAGTCACGCAGAGGCGGCCTATTCAGATTGGCGGCTTTTACCCAGAAACATGCATTTAAGGTTCTTCTGTGTCTTTCCATGGCTTAGTTTTTTTGACACTGAAGTATGTTCCCTTGTCTAGATGAATCATAGTTTATTTATCCACTCACTGAGGTTATTTATCCACAATTTTTATCCACTCACCTCCTGAAGGTTATCTTGGTTAATTCCAGGTTTAGGCAATTATGAGTAAAGCTGCTATAAACACTTATGTGCAGGTTTCGTGTGGACATAAACATTCAGTTCATTTTGGTAAATGTCAAAACATGTAATTGCTGGATTGTCTGTTTAGTTTTGTAAGGAACTGCTGGACTATATTCTTTCTTTCTTCCTTCCTACCTACCTTCCCTCCTTCCTTCCTTCCTTCCCTCCCTCCCTCTCTCCTTCCTTCCCTCCCTCCTTCTTTCCTTCCTTCCTTTCTTCCCTTCTTCCTTCTTTTCTCCCTCCCTCCCTTCCTTCCTTTCTTTTTTTTTTCTTGACTATTCTTGGCAAAGCAGAACATATCAAAACCATGAATGAAGCCCATCGGGCCTCACAGATGTAGGAGACATGCAGTGTGATAGCAGATCCACTTCAGACCACATGTGCTGTGAGCATATTTGAGAAAGGCTGGAAGACAGCAGGGTCATCATAGCTTTGGAGCATTTGGGTTTGAGGACCTGGGAAAATGGTGAAGCTGTGGGAATCTCAGGAAAGTCACAGGAAGGGTTGGCACGACCTGTGTGAGAGGAAAAGGAAATGAGTGAGGAACGTGGAAAGAAAAATGCAGGGTCTGGGGAATGGTTGGAGAGGGTTCTGTCTGTGGAACTGCCGTTAAGAACGAGTGTGGTTCATATGCGACCACCGACTCCCCTACCCCCCTCGACCTCTGGTGAAAGCCTGGAGGACAATGCGATGGAATAAGAAATAACATATGTGGACCTGAGATGAGGCCACATTTTGGTCTGTTAGACAGCGGGGAAAAAAAAAACAAAGAAAAAAATAGAGAGGGAGAGGGAGAGAGAGAGAAAGAGTGAAAGAAAGAGACAAAGAAATAAGAAAAGAAAGAGAGAGAGAAAGAAAAAAGAAGGAAAGAAAGATATGAAACAAAAACCTGAGGTCACCCCTTGCAGGACCCTTAGCTGGGCTCAGCTGTAGTATTGGGTTCCACACATTTCTCCTCTGAACACCTTTACAACATGATGAATGTTTTTATTTCCAAGGTTAATTTTCAAGTTTACATTCCAAATTATATTTCACATTCTATAGATGTCAGTATTTTTCTAGTTTCTCCAATTTTCTGATGTCAATGAAAACTATCCAGAAGGGTGGCAAAGGCACCCAGTCTATGGGTCTGAGACTGACTGCAGGTGGGGAGAGGAGATGCCTGCGGGGACACTGCCTGTGATCTGTGCAGGGCGCCCAGAAGTACGGACAGAGGGTGGCCTAATGACTTACTAGAAACTGAATAGGAATCGAGAAAAGGGATCCCAGCACATGGAGACTGCATCCCTCGGTTCCAGGAAATGCAGGGTGCAGAGGTTTGCTGTTGAGTTATCATCCCTGGGTACAGAGCTATGGGTCCTGGAGCTGCCGCATGCCTGGATGTGGCACAGGCTTCAGTACACGGCAGAAGTTGATTAATAAACGAAACTACAGGGATTAAGGATGATTTGGTTTTTTTTCCAAGATTCAGTTTGCAAATAAGTAAATAAATAAATAAATAAAAATAAGTTAAAGTTCGGTTTGGTTGTTTTTGTTACAACAACTGCACTAAGCAATAATGATAACTAGCAATTCAAAGCTTATGTCTCAATTGAAATGTAGATGATAATCCACACACCATTTCAGAAAAAATAATATGTTTCCATCATAAAACATGGAGGTTTAGTAAGAATAGTGCTTTAAGTTAATAATAATTTCTTAGACATTTACAGAGATCTATACACTAATGATTAATTTTATCTAACTAGTTCCACTCTGTTTGTTGAGAACACCTCTATTTCTAAAAATATTCCTGTAGTTGGTTTCTGGAAAAGCCCGTGGAAGGCGCCTACATCCCCAAGGCAGCTCCTAGTGCTGTTGATGTGGCGCCCTGGCACGTGGTCACCCAGTTGCAATCTCTCCTGTGGGCCATCGGATCTAAGTTATGCAAGCTGTAGGTGTTTACCCAGGAAGGTTTTCAGCAAGGCCTGTAGAGACCCAGCGGCCAGCAGGGAGGTGACCCAGATCCTCCCTGCAGCACCAGCCATGTGGTCCATAGAGGAGGCTGTTGAGAAATACAGAGAAAGGAAGATGAAAAATGTGGGTTTATTAAAATTCTGTTGATAAAGTGAGAAGATTCAGTACATATTGAATGTAATTACAATAGGATAGAACAAGAAGAATTAGAGAGAGACTATATTTGCAAAAAAATGAGTAAACAATTTGATTACAAAAGCATGCTGTCTATCAAGCAGAATAAATACAAAACAAAGATACATCTGGACATACTGGAGTAAAATTGAGAATAACCAGTCTAAACGTAAAATATGTAAGACAGAGAGAAAACTTTGGCACTGTCTAATAAGAATGACAATTCGGTAGACTGCAGACCTCCAAAAGCAATACTAAAAGTTAAGAGAAGTTTGGAATAATCCCTTAAAATGCTGATAGAAAATAATTGTCAACCTGGATGTGTGTGCCCTGTAAAATTATATTTCATGAATAAGAACAAATTTAAAACATTTCAGCTGAAGAAAATTGGGAGGGTTTACTACACACAGACTCCCTGAAGAAACTACTAAGAGATGTCCTCCTTTTACCAGGTGATAGTAAAAGAAGTAAGAAGTTATGGAAGAAAATGAATTGGTTATTTGTTTAAATCTAAAACACATTACAGAAAATTATGATGATTGTGACATTAATGATATTATAATAATAACATGCATTTGAGAGAGAGAGAGAAAGATAAAGTACTGGACAGCAGTAACCGATAATTCAGGAGAACACAATTGAACATAATCTAATTGTTCAAGCTCTTTATTCTTTACTTTTTAGGAGAAGACTACAGATATTGCTATGGGCTGGATCGTGTGCTCTCAGAATTTATACGTCCATTCCTAGCCACCAGTGGGACTGTATTTGGTGGTGGCTCCAATAAGGAGATCATCAGGGTAGAAGGAGGTCACCGGGCGGGGCATGGTCCCATCAGGCTGGTGTTCTGATAAGAGGAGACACCACTGAGCTCTCGACTTAGAAGAACACAAGGAGAAACCCTCACAGGAAACAAATTGGGTGCCTCCTTCCTGCCCTGATCTTCAGTGCCCAGCCTCCACAACTGTGAGAAAATAAATTTTTGGTGTTTAAGCCCCTCAGTTTGTGGTGTTTGTTAGAGCAGTCTGAGTTAAGACAGATACTAATTAACTTCAGGCCTTGTTAAGTAACTATTAAAGAAATATGAATGTAGTATATAACCATCAAATCTGTAGAGACAAGAAAACAGAAAAAGAAAACAATCCAAAATAAGATAAGAAAGAAAAAAACTTAAAAAATAAATACATATATATATAAAATAATGTTTTAAATAAAATTTAAAAATAAAAACATACACACAAAACCAAGTCCATTATTTAAGTTTATTGTGGCAAACTTGATTCTCAAACTAGACAAGAGAAGCACAAGAAAGAACACATAGAAACTTCTATAAATGCAGATGGAAAACTTGCCTATGTTAAGAAAATGAACCCAGCTGTGTATTGAAGAGAAAACACAACATAACTCAGTTTACAATTGTGAAGAGTTCAATGGCTTCAGAAAAAAACATTTGATAAAATTCAAAACTCATGAACTGAAAAACAAAATGAACTAATCGAGCAAAAACTATTGACAAAGTAGGAAAAAAGGAAAACTTTTGTAACTTAATAAAGACTATCTAAACAGTTAAGTAATCGCAGCACTTCATCCCTAATGTGGAAAATCTAGAACATCTCCTGTTACAGACACTTAAGGCCCTCAGGTGCCTCTCACTTCCCAGCACTAAGGACACATGCATTGGGTTTTCTTATGGCTGCACCCCAGTCTTGGTACAAAATCTCTTTTACTTACTAGTACCTTGTGATGAACAACCTCAAGCCTCAGCTAATGAAAACAGCAGCAGTCACAGTGTTGCTCACAGATCTGTAACTTGGGCAGAGATCCCAGGAGACAGCTTGCCTTTGCTTCATACACTTCAGCTTGGGGCAGCAGGAAGTTTCACTTTCCACATGGACTTGCCCTTGTGACTAGCTGGTTGGTGTTGATCAGCAGCAAGGGCTGTGGGTTGGGGCCATGGCAGGGCAGGCCATACAGGCCTCCTCATGGCCTCTTGGGCTGCCTCACAACAAGGTGGCTGGTTCCAAGAACAAAAGTCTCAAGACAACAAGGTGCATCACTTTTTCATCCCATGTCATCCCACTCACAGGGGAAGTCACAAAGACTGCCTGGGACCCAGGACAGGGACACGGCACCCCATATCCTGGTAGGTGTGTCAAAGTCAGAGTCCCACTGTGAAGGAGCAAGTGTGATGAGGGCTTGTCTTGTGCCGTCTTTGGAAAATGCAATCAGCCACTGCTGATTTTTTCTGTGTGATTAATTATGTGGTTTTCTCTTGGGGGAGGAGTGTCCAGGTATATTTTAATGGTTTGACAATGTTCTACTTGCCATAGACAACACAGTGTTCATTTTTTCTTAGGCTTTATAACTTTGATGTGTAATACATATGTTCCTCTGTGAGACTCAAATACTTCACTTAGAAAATCTCATCATCTGACAACCTCCTTTGCCTGTGCAGAGCTGTGGTGAATTTTCCATCGCTCTTAGGTCCTCAGAATAAAACCCAATGCCTGCACCACGTGTATGACAACCTTTGTGACGTGGCCTCCACGGAGAGCCTCATTTTTAGGATGGTAACTTACTCAGAGTGCTGCACCCGCACTGATCCTGTAGAACAAGTGTCTTTCCTCGTAGTGGCCCCAGCAGGCTTCCGCCTCTGCTCAGAGCGTGCCTCTGGCTGAGGCTTATGTTGATCTGCTTCTGCACGGCCATCACCTCCTCAGAGGGGACTTCCTGGGCCCCCATCTAAAGTGTCACCCACTCATCTCCACCCAGAAGCCCCACTTTATATTATATTACAGAAGTTTTATCTAAACTCATTCTGCTCCCTGATGAACTCGCTTGCACTTCCTTAAATGCACACTGGAAGGTGTGCATCCCGAGGGCAGAGCCTGTCCTCCCTGTGCCCCAGTGCTGGGAGCCATGTTTACATCAGAAACCTCCTGGGAAGTGGTTTTGAGTGAACCATTTCATCACAACAACCCTGTAAGGTAAATGATATTATTTCCATATTTTAGATGAAAAAAGAGATTTCCAGAAAAATGAAAAATTCTGCAGTCCACAGTGATGTTGGTATGGGATCTGGAGCTGTCGTGGCCCAAAGCCAGAGTCCTTTTCTCCTTCCTGACTCAGTGCTGTCAATCTCTGATGTCAGAAGAGCGAGCACCGAAGACAGAAAACAGCGTCCTACACTCAGCGGCAAGGAGAGTTTGAGGAACACACAAGGAGATCTGGAAGCCCGTGGTGTTGCCTCCTCACCAGGAGGCCATGGTGGTCTTGGGAGGTGCCCATGCTCTACTCTGTGTGCCAGCTGAGCAGGAAGTGGACAGAGAAGCAAGGTTGGGTCACATTCTCTGTGTAGAGTGTTTCTCCTTCTCATCATATGTTTATATACTTGGAGGGGATGGGTGGAGATTTCTTGCACGCATGGATTGTGTGGTGGTGAAGGTGGGGCAGCTGTCACCCGAATAGTGAGCATCATATCCCACAGGCAATTCCCCAGCCCTCAGCTACTCCCCACCTCCCACCTTCTCCAGTGTCTGTGCATCCGCTCTGCACATCCACATGTGTTCCCACCTTCTCCGGTGTCTGTGTGTCCGCTCTGCACGTACACATGTGTAAAGAACTTGACACTGCGACCCGGTCAGGAGACAGCGGCAGGTGTGTGAGGCACGAAGCCAGGAGGAGCCGGGGCTGCAGCACAGCAGGGAAATAATAAATTTGTGCTGGAAAAGGGTGCTTGGGAGGAGAATCTAAGAACCTCATGGAGAAACATGGTTTGGGTACGAGAAGGAATTTGTCCCACATTAAGAAGTAGATAGAGGCATATGTTTTGCGAACCCTGGGAAATGGATGGGAACCCCCAGGCCCCAGGTGCCCCATGCTTCCCACAGTGGACGCCATGAGGACAGCCTCAGCTCACTGTCAGGACCTCCACCTCCAGTGGGTCAGCTCCCTGGCACCCAAATATGCGAGGCTACTACACGCCAGGCACTGTGGCTGGTGTTTCAAGAAGCTGTCAAGGTCATACAGATACAAAGTCCACAAGCTGGAAGCAGAGACTGGGGCCGGTGATAGAAGTTGACCACCCCTTCTGTGGCTCCCCACCCCTAGCTGAGAGTCCAGGTGGAAGTGAACCAAGCTCCTAGACAATGTGGAACGTACCGTTTAGGCGTTGAAGGAAAGCATGAACACTTGTATTATCTCAGCCACGGGGAAGACTTGACAGAGCCACTGATTTACAGCAATCTTACTGTGGCCTGTACCCAGTCTGTGAGAAAACTATGCAATCATACAAGATTGTATTTAAGGTTCAATATGTTTTTAATTTTTCAAAAGACATCACTTGGGGGTAGGCCCAGATTGGAGAAGCAGGAGGTTTAGGAGCCGATGAAATGGAAGGTGTGGATGTGGGAGGACACTGCGGAAAGACAGCTGAGCCTGCAGGTCTCATTCTACGCACCTCAGGTCGGTTCTGTGGCCGTGCTGGGTTCCTTGGTCAAGGTGGACAGCTGAGCAGCTGTTTCTCTCTGCTTCTTCCAAGTCCCCATTAAAATTATGATAATAAAATGGAAAGATGGAGACCAGCAGTCAAGTGAGTAGGGCAGGGGTCATGAACTTGAGCCCAACACAGGAAGCTTGAAGAGCATGGAAGCCACAGAGAGAGTCTCCCTCCCTGCAAAGGAACAGCGACTAGGTGAAAGGCAAATTCTCACCAGCAACAGAGACAGGAAGCCTCCAGCTGCTCAGAAACCATGTCCATCAATTCAACTCTTGAGAATAAAGGTTGAATAAGGACATTCTCAGAAGAAAAGAAGAAATCTTATGAAAATAAAAACACTATCCTAGAGTAAGATAAACAAAACAAACAAAAGTTGTAAGAATTTGAAAGAAAGAAGAAAAAAATGTGTTCTTAATCGTAGATGATATTTTCTACAGAGAAATCCCAAAATAAGATATAGATAGATGATAAATACTAACAAGAGAGTTGGGGGAGATCACTCGATATAAAGATCAATGTACATCAATTTGTTTTTATAACAAAATAGACAGCTAGAAATGCATTTTATAAAAGATGTCTTTTACAATATCAACCAAAATTGTAAGTTTCCAAGAAACTAATCTAAAATATGTACAAGATTTTTATGAATAAAATTACAAAATTGTTTTAAAAGATGTAAAGATGGCTTAATGGAAACATATGCCATATTGACAGGTAAGAAAAGCTGATGTCACACATAAGGGGTTTCCAGATTGGTCTGCAGAGTCAAGCCCAGCCCAGTGTGACCTGAAAGTGACCCTGAGTGCAAAGGCCCTGGATCTGCCAAGAGACTCCTGAGGACAGGAGCAGCCCATGCTCTGACGGATACCACGGCCGCTCACGGATTCTTGGCAATTCCTGCACTGCGGTCTGGGTGAAGTGAAGGGAAGCACTCATAGGTGGCCCCACAGGCCCAGGTATGGCCCAGCGGGTGTGGGCTGTGGTGGGAAGGACGGGCTGCAGCCGGGGGACCAGGCCTTCACCGGGCACCGCAACAGCCCACGGTTCCTGGAATGAATGTACCTCGGACCTCACAGCTCAGCAGCCATTAATTCCCACACGCCCAGGTGTGGCCCAGCTGGGTACAGGCCACAGTGGGAAGGATGGGCTGCAGCTGGGGGACCAGGCCTTCACCGGGCACCACAACAGCCCATGGTTCCCGGGCTGAGTGTGCCTCTGACCTCACAGCTCAGCAGCTGTTAATTCCCATGGCTCAAGGACTTGTGGATGCTGAAACCCTAAACCTTCTACAGGAGAAATGAGAGAACAGATTTCTGACTTTGGTGCAAGGACAAATGTTCTAAACAAGATCTAAAAATCCATTAACAATACAGAGAAAATGGACAAAGTTGACTACATTAAAAATACGAATTTATCTTTTCAAAGTTCTATTGTTCCACACCACTGTAGGAAGATTATAGTAAACAAGAATAGACAGTTTCAAGTAGCTGGAAGGATACTGAGTGTTCCCTACACAAAGACGTGGTCAGTGTTTGCATGGCTATGCTAATTACCCTGACCTGAGTGGCACAGGCATGCATCAAAGCATCACTGTCTACGCCGTAAAGATGCACAAGAATCATGGGCCAGTTACAACAAAATCTACATCTTCAAGTCATTTGAAAACATAGAAACTGGTAGAAGGTTGGCAGCACACAGATTAATAATTAGCAAAGACATTTATGTCCAGAGTATATGGAGAATTTCTAAGAATCCACAAATAACTGAAAAACCAGGCAAGAGGGAACTGGGCAGAACCATGCAGAGCCCATGCATGAGGAAGATAGAATAAGACGCTCTGGATGAAAATGGACTCATACGCTCTAATTAGCAGCCCCTTGTTTGTTATTTAGTTCAACTCCTTATTTTCTGTAAATCCCAAAGGCTGGGTCCTTTGCCGGCAGCAGGTATGAATGGAAAGGGAAAAAAATGATGGTGGCTCCGAGACGCACTAGAGCCTTCTCCATGGGCCAAGCAGGACCGTCTCCTTCACGTCAGACCATGCCTCCAAGGTGATGGAGCCATTTTACGATGACATCTGCTGCAGCCACAAGGAATAAGAAAACTCAGGTATTGATCTTTCTACCTCATTCGCCTCTAAATGCAGGGACGTGTGGGGGTCCCGTTGCAGCCTCTGAAGAGCAATCTCCTGTGCAGTTCCTCACTCAAAAACAAAACCGAGCCGAGCCGCAAGTTCACTCTGCCAGGCCCTCTTAGACACAGATCCATGCGGAGTGGCCTCAGCCATCATGTGGTACTAATTTAGGTTATTGCAGCTCCATAATGACCCTCACTTTACCAACAGTCAGTCTGACAACACCCCACCCCACTGAGTTGCTAAAATATTTTAGAATCCATTCCAGAAAATTGCTCCTCCAGATTTCCGAGTAGCAACTGCTATTGATTTGATTGCACTCACCCGTGTAAACAGAATGTTTGGAATTCTTCATACGTTTCCCATTATTTAGTGTCACACAAACCGTATAACAGAGGCTTCGAGCAGAAGAGATTCGGTACTAAGCAGTGTTTGCAGATGGTCCTCAGTCCATTCCATGACCAGTCTCAGGAGACACAGATCTGTAGGACTTGCCATCCAGGAGCTGTCATCCTCTTAAGCTCAGCGAGGTCTTGGTCACCCTCCTCGTCAGCCCCAAGCAGTGCCGTGTGTGGCCAAACCCAAGTTGCTGGGTCAGGCATTTGGCCGCAGTCCTGGCCTTACCCCGCTGGTTGTTTGCATGGCCGGCTGGTAGATGGTCATAAATAAAGTTCTGAGCCTTCCCCTCAGGGGACAGAGAGCAAAGCCCATGGCCTGGGGCTGCAACAGGGATGCATGCAGAGACACACATCCTCCCTTCCTGCAGGGCTAGCACCACCTGAACTTCCAGCACCACCAGGTGCTGAGGCCACAGTGGGACAGAGCTGCTCCCTGTCTTGGGATGCCGAGATCACAGTGGATCAGAGCTGGTTTCTGTCATGGGACATCAAGGCTGCAGTGGGACAGAGCTGGTCCCCATCAGGAGACATCGAGGCCACAGTGGGACAAAGCTGGTCCCTGTCAGGTGACATTGAGGCCACAGTGGGACAAAGCTGGTCCCCATCGTGTGACATTGAGGCCACAGTGGACAGAGCTGGTCTCTGTTATGGGACGTTGAGGCCACAGTGGGACAGAGCTGGTCCCTGTTGTGGGACGTTGAGGCTGCAGCGGGAAAGAGCTGGTCCCCATCTTGGGACAGCGAGATCACAGTGGGACAGAGCTGGTCCCCATCATGAGACATCCCCGGGGTGAGCTCTGTCCCCTTTGGGGTACCGTGGGGTACAAGCAAGGAATGATGCTATCAAGATGCAGAGGCCAGCGAAGGCAGAGCGTGTCCTGAGCACACAGGGGTTCCAGGGCAGCTCCATCATCCCATGACCTGGGCCATGTGTGAACACCTTCAACAGGCAAACGCAGCATCACTTTACTCCTAATTTGCTTCTGTCCCTGGGTTTTAAATCTTAAAGCCTGGCACCAAATTCCAGCTAACCACTCAAATTAAACCATGAGAACTTTCTCAGCTGCCCCGCCGCGGGGGCCTTCCCAGGCGAGTCCATCTCCAGACCCCGAGTGTCTGTGGCCGCCACCCTCTCTGCACTCGCATCACCCCCACCTCTCCCATCCCTGCTGCACTCAGAAGCCACTCTGGAAATGCAGGAGGATGCTGCCCCTTCCTCGCTGTGCTCTGCCTTAATTCTGAGAGAAATGCAGGGTGCAGAGGGCCAGGCATCCCACCCCAGGCCCCCTGATGGCATCCCTGCCCACACTAGCAGGCCTGGCCAAGGGCTGGGATCTCCCCATCATGCTTGTGTCTCTCCTACAGGGACACCATGTCCTCCCGCAATTCCATTCCCCCAGACAGCCCAGGCACCCTGCAGAGGTTTTGCTCGAGTGAACAAATAGACTTCTGCATGGCTGTCGGGAGGGGCAGGCCAGGCAGCAGAGAGGGACTTGGACTGGAGCGTGTGGGAGAGAACTTCTCGTCTTCAGATCCTGACACCACCACAGGGGAGCGGAGCCTTAGGTCAGAATGGGAGTGGCAGGACTCAGCCTCCAGGCCAGACGTCTGCAGCCATCCATGCCCACGCTCCGGCTGATAGGGCCAGGGTGAATCCAGCACCAGGGGCCAGGCCCACCAGGCACTCAGCTACCTCCTGCTCACCCCTGGCTGCTGACTTGTCCTGAGCTCAGGGCTGCACTGACACCCTAGCCCTTCTATTTGGACTTTTGGAGGATTCGCCTCTGAGAGAGCTGCATTTCAGCCCCATGCAAATACCTGCTGGCTGCAGGGACCTGGACACGCATGTGTTGCCACTCCCAGAGCGTGTACGGTGTGGATACAGGAGTCCCCTGGTCTGCGCTGACCCTGCATCTATGGGTCCCTTGGTCCCGTGTCTGTGAGTTCACTAGTCCATGCTGACCCCGCATCTGTGGGTCCCTTGGTCCCGTGTCTGTGAGTCCCCTGGTCCATGCTGACTCCGCATCTGTGGGTCCCTTGGTCCCGTGTCTGTGAGTCCACTGGTCCATGCTGACCCCGCGTCTGTGGGTCCCTTGGTCCCGTGTCTGTGAGTCCACTGGTCCATGCTGACCCCGCGTCTGTGGGTCCCTTGGTCCCATGTCTGTGAGTCCCCTGGACGCATTGACCCCGTGTCTGTGGGTCAGCTCTTGCCTTTCTCTGCTTTCTTCCTTCACCCTAAGGGTCAGAGCCTCAGGACACCCACTATCCAACTGGTCTGTGATTATGATTTTAAAAAAATATCCTGTGCTTTGATTAGAGTTCGATTTCGTTTATTATTAACTCAATTATTTCTCACTCAGCCTCAGCTGACCCTTATGTGGGCAGCGTTCACGGGCTGCCCCAGGAGGCCCTCCCTGGAGCGAGGGCTGTCCCTGGTGCCCTGACACACAGAATGGTGCCAGGGTCCACAGTTAGGCTCAGAAGAGCTGGCCCCACTGGCTGGAATGGCGGTGGGCTTCTCAGCCTGCCTGCTTTGGTGAAGGAAGTGACCTGGTTGGGGGGCCTCCTGGTTGCCTCCACCACAGTCAGGAAGGACCGAGCCCTCCAGCGACTTGTCAGTGACCTCTGTCCACTGCCCTCGCCTGAGGCCTGGGCTGAGCTGGGCCTGGACCCACCCTCAGGGCCCCTGGCGTGGTGGGCAGATGTGCTGCTTTGCACTGGGACATCTCAGGACAACGTCTTACACAGATGCCATCACTAATCATGGCCCTAATGAGACTGAGCTCTTGTCTAAGATCCGTATAGAAACCTCGGTGCCAGCGACTGACCCCGACCCAGGCCGGGAGCAGCTGACAATGCAGCCATGCAGTGAGGCCGGGCATGCAGCAGATCCTGGGAACCTGGAAGGGCCGGTGCAGTGAGGCCGGGCACACAGCAGAGCCCAGGAATCTGGAAGGGCCGGTGGCTGCATGGCTGCCGTGATGGCATCAACCTTCTGTGAGTTTTGATGGTGAGTTTTGATAGGCGCCCTTCTTATCTCTAGAAATGGTCAAAAGTCTATCAACCACGAGTAATCTTGTCATTTAAAAAAGATTTTTTGGAAGAACTCAGTTCATGAAGACACATGCATCTCACTTGCCTCAATCTGGCTTCTGCTTCAAAACTATTACAATTTTGTTCTCAAAGCCACTTTCAGCAGACACTTCACTGGCCCCCGCACACCCCACATCCTAAAACCCTTATTCCTGGCCTGCACCCTTGTTCCTGGCCTGCTCTCTTCCCCTCCTCCCCATACGGTGCTCCACGCTCCTTTGGTGACTGTCAAAACAGACCTGGTCATTCTGTAATAAGAAATGGCCCCAGCTCTCAGTGGCATAAAACAGAAAATGGTTGTTTTGCTCATGCCAGGTGTGCCTGCAGGTTCCCGGGTTCCTCCAGTATCAGCCATCCCAGCCCCGTCCAGACCTACAGGGGAACTCCCCGCAGACATGCCCTATGCAGGGGGTACAGGAGGGCAGGGCCGTCCCCCTCCCATGTGCTGGGGCTCATGGTCAACGGCACTGGCTGGGCTGGAGTACGTGGCTCACTCAGGCTGCTTCAGAGTCTCCACCTGGCCATGAACAGCAGAAAGAGGTGTTTTGAATTTGACAATCTTTTCTTTTCTTTTTATTTTGAGACAGGGTTTCACTTCCGTCACCCAGGCTGGAGTGCAGTGGCATGATCTCGGCTCATTGCACCCTCTGCCTCCTGGGCTCAAGCAATCCTCCACCTCAGCCTCCCGAGTAACTGGGACCCCAGGCGTGCGCTACCACACCTTCTATTTTTCGTTTTTCTGTATTTTTTATAGAGACAAGCTTTCACCATGTTGCACAGGCTGGTCTCAAACTCCTGAGCTCAAGGAATCCACTGCCTGGGACTTAACAATCTACGTCTTTATCTTGCCTCTGCACTTTCGCTTATGAATTTTGCAAAATATTTCACCTCTGTGAGTCTCTCAGTTTCAGTTGAATATGGGGGGTCTCATCCCCACTCACAATGCTCTTGTGATAACGACGCAGAATCGTGGAAAACTTATTTATCTGGGGTGTGGCATGTTGGCATCACTTAACAAATAGTAGCCCGTGTTAGCAGGATCTTAACTATCCATTTAATGTATCTAGCCAGATGGTAATTTCCATCAAGGTAGGAACCAGATCATACAAAAAAATAATAAAACAAGGATTGATATAATTGCTATTTCAAGATCTAGGGCTACATCATGATTTTTGTGTCCTCCCAGGGCATGTAGAATAGTGTCCAGTAAATAGTTATTAGAGAATTAAAGAAATCTCTGGTTTTTATCTCAGGTAGTTCTATTGAAACACGGCATCTGCAGGGTGATATGCTGCAAGAAATAAGACCTTTTCACTGAACCACAGCCTCAAAAGGGTCTTCTACCAAACCAAGTGACATGAACATTGGGAAAAAATAATTTTCTTTCTTCCAAGACAGATGTGGCTGGCACAAAGCCCATGTTTTGGGAATACAAAATGGCAATGGTATTGATTGCCGTAACAAGCGTGTAGTTTCTGAGAGCTGAAGATGGAAACTGAAGGTACGTGTTACTTCAATTGCCTGCAGGTGTGCTGTACTTAATTCATTAAAGATACATTTCAGAGTCGTTTTGAAAAGATTACCTCACTGATGTGGGCCAGGGTTGCCAGGAATCATGAGCCGCACTGGACTAAACCCACTTCTCAGTGACTCCAAACACCACCTTCGAGGTTGTGCAGGTTTCCCCAGAACACTTGGGTGGACTGGAATTTTGAGTAAGGACATCTATTAGCTAATCAGTGACCAACTATTTTACTAAAACACCTTTGCCCTCAACTCTGTTCAGATTCCCTCTTTTTTTTTTCCTTGTTGCAAAATTCTTATTAGGAAAAAAATACCACCATTATAGTTAGCAAAGTTGCATGTATAAATGCATAAGGATTTTATTCTATTTGGCTCTAGTCTAAATACTTAAAGCCTAGTCTAAATACTTGAAGTTGAATTATGGTTTGGGATTTATAAGGGAGAAGTATACAGACAACCTGGAGAACTACCCTTTTTTCAAACTTACCTCTTCAAAAGACAAATGTGAGCATCACCAGGCTGCAGAGAGAAAGCAACTGTTCTATGGGATGAGAAACCTGCCTCCTTGAAACATTTTAGATGGGATTACTTCCCACGCTTATGGGCTATGCTCACAACTGTTCTACAAATAGAAATATCTTAATTAAAAAAAAAGTCAGGTTGAAACACAAATGCAACTGGGATTTGAAGCACTTCATATTGTCACCGCTTTTCACGTCACGGCATGAACGTGCTTCCATGATGTTCACAGCCTCCCTACATAGAAGCCTCCTTAGCTTCCTGAGCCACAATTTTCTCATTGTAAAGACTCCCCATTCCACCCACTTCTCTGCCTCATAAGGAGTCTCTGATAGGATGATCCTCGTGCCTTAGCAGGCGAGTGAGGCCGGCTGCTGGAAGATGCCAGCCCCAGGTGCCACCATGCTTAGCAGGCAAGTGAGGCTGGCTGCTGGAAGATGCCAACCCCAGGTGACATCACTGTAACACAGCCAGTGCACTTCCTCTGTGCAGGTGGCTGTGGGACCCTGCCCCAGGCTCCATCTGTCCAGACCGTGCATCTTCCAGGGCTCATTCACGCTTATTCTGGAGGTGAAAACAGAGCAAGAAAGGGGAGGATCTTTGGGAACTTGTAGGCAGATGACAGGAAGTGTCACTTGTCATCTCTGCCTACATCTTCTAAGCCAGTGCTAGCAGGAGACCTCACCTCTGGGAAGGGGCTGGGAAGTGTCCACAGTGAGCAAGTGTGGCCGACAGAGAGAATGTGGATGTGGGGGAGCCCTAAGCCTTCTTCTCTGCCAAACGCACCACGATAGTAATCACGACTTCATAAAACTGACCCTGCTTTAGACATTCATGGTAAAATACGCACCACATGTGCAAACACTCGTCGGGTTAGCAAGTTATTTTTTCTCTTGGAAAAATCATATTTGTAAAAAATATACATTACTGTGTTCCAAAAACTCCCAGTTGTAATTATCTTTAAAACTACAAGGATCTTGATGTGATGCAAATTCAGTTTGTTTGGATGCACTTACCTCCATCCATTCATTCACACTGCAATCACATACTGTATCCTCCAGCCCTTCATTCACTCTACAATCCCATACTGTATCCTCCATCCCTTCATTTACTCTACAATTGCATACTGTATCCTCCAGCCCTTCATTCACTCTACAATCCCATACTGTATCCTCCATCCCTTCATTTACTCTACAATTGCATACTGTATCCTCCATCCTTTCATTCACTCTACAATTGCCTACTGTAATCTCCATATCTTCATTCACCTATGATTGCATATTGTATCCTCCATCCTTTCATTCACTCTACAATTGCATATTTATCCTCCATACCTTCATTCACTCTATGATTGCATATTGCAGAGCTGCACAACTCTGTGCAGATATGAGCCTAAGAGGCAGACAGAGCCTGTGTCATGTGAGCTGGGTGTCGGAGGTTGCAATCTAACAGAGAGAAAGAAAATAAAACACCCAGAATTGTATTTTCTGGGAAAGAAAGAGCTGGTACGACAAACTCAGAGGAAAAATGGCTGCTGGGTAAAAATCCCTCTGAGCTGTTCCACCAATTTCATCACTGAAACTGCAGCGATGTTATCAGCACATATTTGGTAAATTACCTAAAATGACATAAATGCCAATCATGCTTTAATTGTTGATAACAAGAGAACCAAGATGTGGTGACCTGACCTCCCTGGATGAAACCCAACCAGTCCACTGAGTTCAAACTAGTCCCACTTTTGGGTATCCACAAATCACTGATTCCTGTTCTCTGAAATCAGATTTGGAAGTGACATGTACAAACTCGCTTTATAGAAACCACACATAGAAGTAAACTCCACCGTCATCCTATGACGAAAGGGGACATGGGGGCGTCAGTGTCTCCCAGGGGTGCTGCATACATCCGGTTACTCAGCTCCCTCTGGCCTTGCTATCAGGACATGTCCCAGAGCCAGGGGGCTCAAGCACACTTGCTGGGGCAGCTTACGTCAGCCTAAGTGTGCAATCCTCACCTCCAGGCAGAGCTGATGCAGAGGACTAAGGTGCGGGAGGGACACCCGTGTAGGCAGCGGCTCACAGGTGAGGGCCCACAGCCCAGAGCCAGAGAAGCCTGGAGCTCTCCCCACCCCATGGTAGCCCCCTTCAGCCACCTCTGTGCTTACCTCCCGCCTGTTCTCAACATTCCTGGCAATGCCGAGGCCCTTTCTCATCCTCTCTCTTCTTCTGGGTCCTTTCCTCCCCAGGCCAGTCCCCCTTGTATTCATTTTTACGTGGATACAAAGTGGAAGGTGGAGGGGAACTGGATTCTCGAATGGCGGGGCTGAGTGGGGTGGCTCCACCTCACCCTTTTAAAGGCTGTCTCTGATCTAATGATTCCTGTTACTTAAAACCTTCGATGACACATGCCTTGTTTTAAAACATCATCTGTGATTCCCAAATCTTCATGGGAGTTGGTGTCCACGCAAGACTGGCAGAAGAGGAAGAACAGACTTAATCCAGGGAAAGGGAAGAGAGCAAGTTGGCAGGATCATTCCTGCTGATGAAATGCGGAATCTGCTGGCCCCAGAGCTTGGGGGCTCAGGGTCGCCTCTGCGTCTCAGGGCCTGTCCACAGGGCCCTGCGTGCTCTTTTTCTCAAAGAGGGTTCTGCAAACTGTGTGAGTTCCAGCCCCCAAACTTCTGTATCTGCCTCTGCAAAGTGGAATCTAAGAATCATATAAGTTGAGCTCTGGAATGCAACATTTCATTTTTATGATAACCTCTACATTATTAGTTTGAAAGGCTCGTCTTTTGCAGTGAGAATTAGTAGCAGTGAGAATTAGTAGTTGATAGAATTCATGCAAGACACTGTTAGTCTTGTGGACGCCAGTTCTCAAGGTGAATACCCTGGGCACTATCGCGGAAGTGGGGGCTCCGGGGACCCAGGCGTCACTCGCTGCTGGCTTAACCCTGTGCTGCCCCAAGGACGTGGTCAGGCTGAGGAGCCAGGCTGATCTTGGGGTTCTGAACCACGTCTGGAGCCAGAAGACCTGCACGCCAGCCCCAGCTCCACCAGCCACGTGCACGTTGCTCATCGCACTTTCTTGGGAAAAATGAACAGTCAGACCTTCTGAGCTGGGGCAGAAATGGAGTAGAGAGCGTGGCAGTCACGGAAGGCCTCACACACCCTGGCTCTCACTTTCTGTGCTCTTTCTTATGCCTCAGAAAGCGATTTTCCATTTCAGGGTCGACCCCTTCCTAGTTAGGGGCAAACTTTGAAAAAGTCAAGGAGACCAGACCCCAAGACAAGGACTGTTTACGATGTGAGTGGAGATGTAGAGCATGGCCCACAGTGGAACCGGCTCATGATGTCCATTTACAGGTGCTCACGTGGTGCGTATCACGGAGCTGAATGACCATCACCTGAATGCAGCGCGGAACGTCAAACTGGAGACTTCTGAGTTTATCACACGTGGGGCACAGTAACGGCAGGTGGGAACTGAGGTTCTAACATGGCACAATCTCTTTAAATTCCTCACGTTAGAATTCATTTCCGGCAAGTCCTGGGTGAATTAGTCATAGCGTCTGTATGAAGAAGTGCCTGTTTGCATTGAGAGGAGGGTGACCGTCCTCTTAGCTCAGTGTGCGCTGTGGGGCCCCGTGGGGATGCTGCTTGGCAACGGTGCCTCCCCTGCACCTTCCCGCCAAGTTCCAGTGTCTCCTTCAAACCCAACCAGAGCCCCCAACTTCCCCAACTGGCCTTTAAGGTCTTCCCAGTTAGATTTCCTTCTTTCTTTTCTTCATGTTCCTCACAGGTGCTCTTAAACCTCCTTACATTCCTCGTCATAACCTTCATCAGGTCGGAGGCAGTGTTTCAAATCCAGCCTTCCCAGCGAGTCACGTGCTCAAAAGAGATAACAAAACCTGTTTCTTTCCTTGCGGTGCTTTGCAGTAATAGGCCTTCCATCCAAATGCATTGCACTGAACTAAATTTGCAATGATGATTTGCAACTCCCTAGGAACTCTGAAAAGCATGCATGCAGTTTTCAGAATTCCTGAGGCTCAGCTCTTTCCTGAATTTTCCCTGTTCCTATACTTGTTGGTTAAGTTCCCTGCCTATGTTCCCTGACACCACCGTGTAAACCCTTGTAACTTAGTAGTGGAGAAGGCTCGTCAGCCAACTCCATGCTGTTGTCAGTGCAGACGCTGTCCTGGGAGAAGTCACAGCAGCCGTCTGCCTGTTGAGTCTCCAGTGCTTGGTGCAGATCCAGATTCAATGAAAGGGAGTGTCATGGAACAAAATATCCATGCTCTAGTTGGGCTGTGTGTGTGTGTGTATATGTGAATGGGTGTGTGTACATGGGTGTGTGTGCACATGTGCATGTATGTATAAATGTGTACAAGTGTGTATGTGTGTGCATGTATGTATATATGTGTGTTCATGTGGGTGTGTGTATGGGTGTGTGCACATGTGCATTTATGTATAAATGTGTACAATAGTATATGTGTGTGCTTGTGTGTATATATGTGTTCATGTGGGTGCATATGTGTTTATATGGGTGCATGTGCACATGTGCATGTATGCATAAATGTGTAAAAGTGTGTATGTGTGTGCATGTGTAGGTAGTATGTATGTGTGTTTATATGGGTGTGTGCACACATGCATGTATGTATAAAAGTGTACAATTGTGTATGTGTATTTGTATACATACACATGTTCATATGGGTGTGTATATGTGAATATGGGTGTGTGTGCACATATGCATGTATGTATAAATGTGTATAAGTATGCATGTGCATGTGTGTATATATCTGCATATATGGGTGTGTGTGCACCTGTGTACAAGTGTGTATATGTGTGCATGCTGTATATGTGTTCATGTGTGTGTATTGGTGTCTGTGAGCTTGTGTGCATATGTGTATATATGTGGTGGGTGGTGTGCCTATGTCTATGGATATGTGAAATTTTCTTTGGGTAATTTTTGGAAGCACAACTTTAAGCAATGAATCTCTAAAATGTGCATAGATTCAGCCACAGAAATATAGCACATTAATATAGCAGCAGGCATTAAAACTTAATTTTAAAAGCTATTTGATTAGCTTAAGCTCTTTGAGCTAATTGCAATCCTGAGATTTTTTTGGAGACTTAGCTTGTGTGTTAAGATAAAACCATGTATAGAAAGTTTGTTTCACATGCTGACTAAATTAAAGACACCTGGAATTCTAGGACATTGACAACATTAATGTTCAGATGCATTTTCTTTGTCAAAATTAACTGTCTCTCTCATCCTGCGAGGTCTGGGGTTCACTCTTGTGATGAGGCCCAGTTACTAGCACCTCTAAATGTAGAGTAATTTATTAGAATTTAAGAACCTCATCCAAAAATGTCTTTGAACCACCTAGTTCCAGCCAAGAGTTCTGGGATTTGGTCAATTACCCTCATTTACATCTCCTCTGGGGCGTTTAAGACAAAGAACTGAGATGCCCTCACGGGTGCAGGTTAATGTGACTGTGCCTCACAGTTTTGTTTGTTTTCTAAGAGTTGCCATATTTTGTGAGCAGATCCAAAAGGCTCCGTTCCACTGTTTTTCTGTGGCTTGGTGGCCTCCAGCTTCCCTGGCAGTCACAAGCATGGCTGTGGGTGCAGACATGCAATCCTCAACAGCACCTTGGCGGCTCACTCGTTTGATTCTCTGCAGGTGAGACTGCCAATATTCTACAGTTTGTATTCTACAAAATCAGCACCTTGGGAATGATTCCAGCTAATACAGCAGACATTAAAGATACAAGCCCGGTGTCTCCACGGGTGAGACAGTCACGGGGGATGCTGGAGAGAGGGCAGAGCTCTTGGGTTCTTCCTGGCATCCATTTGAGGACTGTGTACTCACAATGTTAACTCACACAGTTGATGTTCTCATTAATTCAAGACCCTAGAACTGCCAGACTGAGAGGAACAACCAGGGTTTCCCCATCAAGTCAATGTCTTAGTTAACCTGTGCTTCTTTATTTTGAGCAAAAGTAGGGATTGTTTTCTCTGGAGATTAGAGGTTCCTAATTTTGTGCACACCTACTGACAGTTCGTCATATCTATACATACGCATATGTGTTCATGGGCCACATAACATTTCGGTAAAGAATGGGCTGCATATACTGAAAATCCCTGCTGCCCAGGACAGATGCAGCCATTGTAACCATGCTAAGGTCCCAATACAACACTTTCCTTACGTGTGGGTGCTGACGCTGGTGTAAACAAACCTGTCGCACTGCTAGTTGTATAAAAGTGTAGCACACACAACTATGTACAGTATGATTAATAATAAATGACTGTGTCGCTCTTTCATGTATCTATTATTCTACAGGGGTTCCCAATCCCCAGGCCGTAAACCAGTACCAGCCTGTGGCCTGTTAGGAACTGTGGCACAGCAGGAGGTGAATGGCATGTGAGTGAGTGTCACTGCCTGAGCTCTGCCTCCTGTCAGATCAGCAGCGGCACTGGATTCTCACAGGAGAATCCAGTGAGAGCCCTGTTGTGAAAAGTGCATGAGAGGGATCTAGGTTGTGCACTCCTTATGAGAATCTAATGCCTGATGATCTGAGCTGGAACTGTTTTATCCAGAAACCATTCCCCTCAACTCTGGTCCATGGAAAAACTGTCTTCCACAAAACCAGTCCCTGGTTCCAAGAAGGTTGGGGACTGCTGCTACACTATATTTTTAGCATTATTTTAGAATGTACCCCTTCTACTTAAAAAAAAAAACTGGTTAACAGTCAAACAGTCTGCGGCAGACCCTTCGGGGAGGATTCCAGAAGAAGGCATTAGAGATGACAGCGCCATGTGTGTTACTGCCCCTGAGGACCTTCCAGGGAACAAGATGTGGAGGGTTAGGGTTAGGATAGTGATGTTGACGATCCTGACCCTGTGTAGGCCTAGGTTAATGTGTGTGTTTGTGTCTCAGATTTTAACAAAAAAGGTTAAAAAAAGTAAAAGTAAAAATAAAATTAAAAAAGCTTATAGAACAAGGATATAAAGAAAGAAAATATTTTTGTACATCTGTACAATGTGTTTGTGTTTTAAGCCAAGTGTTATTACAAAGAGTCAAAAAGATTAAAAACTTAAAAGTTTATAAAGTAAAAAGTTATTTCATTAAGGTTAAGCTAAGCTTAATTTATTATTGAGAAAAGAGAAATATTTGCGATGAACTGAGTGTTGCCTAAGTGTACAGTGTATATAAAGTCAACAGTAGTGGACAGAAATGTCTGAGAGTCTAGGCCTTCACAGACACTCACCACTCACTCACCAACACCCAGAGCAACAACTTCCATCCTGCAAGCTCCTTTCGTGGTAAGTGCCCTATACAGGTGCACCATGTTTATCTTTTATACCATATTTTTACTGCACCTCTTCTACGTGTAGCTATGTTTAGATACACACTCTCCACTGTGTTACAGCTCCCTGCAGTTCCAGCACAGCCATCTGCTGTACAGGTTCGTAGCCTAGGAGCACGAGGCTACACCTTATGGCTGAGGTGTGTCATAGGCTGTAACTTCTAGACTCTGTTCACATATACCCTATGATGTTTTGATGTTTGCACAATGACAAAATTGCCTAACAATGCATTTCTCAGAATGTACCCCCAGCGTTAAGCAATGCATGACTGTACACATAAAACCTATACAACCAGGAATCAAGTGGCCAAGGCTAGAAGCACATGTGTCCAGCCATGCGTAGAAGCAACACAGAGTTTCTACTGACACCGAACTTCACTTGAGTTTCGAGGCCCTGCAAAAGGATGGTCAAGAAGCTCCACCCTCCACGTTCCAGAAATGGTTCCCTGCGAAGATCACCTTCCTCGCAGGTCGTAGAGGAGACCCAGGGGTCCTCTTTCTACCCGGGCAGGCCAAGCTCAGACCTTCCAAATTCCCTGTTCTTGTCTCACAAGTAACTGACCACGGTGGACGAGACACCCACAGTGACGGAGCCATCCAGTGCTCCGTACAGGGAGTAGCAAGCCCTGGCCTGCTTCTCCAAGCGTCTGCTAACCCCAGCCTAAGACCCCTCCCGCTGACCATCTCGCCCATCCTCCCCCATAGGGCGTCGCTCTGGCGGTGGTCATTCCTTCTCATATCAGAGAAGCACATGTCTTCCTGAGTGGGAGACGCTTCGGGGTCTCCTGGCTGGAACCTCTCCCTGTTGAGAGAACCCTTCCTTACCTGAGTTCAGATGTGTTATTTTATTGGACACAGCACCACCTAGATATGTCCTATTTATCTGCAAGGCAAGTGCAAGAAAACCTGCTAAGATAATATGTGTGATGCAATCTGCATATTGCAATGTTTTAGTTTTTTCCCATTTTATAGTCAATAACTTGGGCTTCATTTTCCGTTCTCTAAAATGAGGGCTGAGAAGAGTTAGGCAGCATGTCAGCGCTAGGTGGCGCCCGAGGATTTTTCTTTTAACAAATGATCCCAAATGTTCTGGAATTCGCGGTTCTTCCCGCCCAAAGCGCCGCCGCGTCCAAGGGCGGTTACCACACCGCGTGCCAGGGCGCGTCTTCCCTCCCGTGGGCCTCGCAGCGGTCCGGGCAGGTGGCTGAGGGTGGCCCGTGTTCGTCTTTCCCAGCTTTGTGGAGGTGTAGCTGGGCCTGTGGGCACACGGACGCCCTCCCGATTGCGCTGATGGGCCCGGGGACGGTCCCTGTGTCCCTGGAGCTGACAGAGCCGCCATGCGCGGCCGAGGACTCTGCGGATTCACCCTGTTCCAGGCTGCGCCGACTCCGCTCGCTTCACGTGTGCTGTTTCCTCACAAGTCGGGCCGGACGCGGATACACCCGCCTCCGTAGGCCTGAGCGAGCCTGAGCCCCTGGGCGCGCCGGGTCCCCGCCGAGGAAACGTCCCATGTGGAGACACGAGGCTGCTGTGGACGCGCCTCCTCCCTCTTCCCCGGCGCGGCTCCCCCGCACTGGCGCTGTGGACTCGGTGCGGCTCCTCCGCAGCGACAAAATGGAGTCATCAGGCCACGCTGCTGCGATGGAACCCGAGGCCTGCGGGGCCGGCAGAGCCCGCGGCGTGTTGGCCCTGCTCCTCAGAGGGGCCGGTGAGGGGCCTGTCTCCCCGGGGTGGGCCGGAGCCAGGATGACCGAGCATCGCAGCCGCGTGGACGGACCCGGGGTCAGGGCCCCGGCTGGACGGTGAATCCGGGCGCCTGGAGCAGCGCAGACCCCACGGGCCTGTGGGGTTGCTGGACCTTTTAACCGCGTCCCGGGCCGGGGGTCCACATCCCAGTTCCGACTGCAGCGCCACCTGCGTCCCGGCCTTGGGGGCCACCGTTTCCCTCCTGGGACGGACGGCGCCATCCCTCCGCCTCGGCTCCAACAGCTGGGGACGGCGGGGAAAGTGGCAGCCAGCGGCGTCCGGGGCCACCTGGGACCGGGCTTGTCACCTCGCATTCCAGAAAACACAAAGCCCTGAGCGCCGGGGGACTTTCTCTAAAAACACAGTTGGCCACGCCTCACTGAGTAATTCGTGCTTCTTCATTTTAACAAGACGGATCATTCGTACACCAGCCAGACCTCACTCCAGCCCTAAAAGTAACCGTAACTGTAAAAAATATCCAACAAAGCTAGATGTGAAAACTGGTATGAACTGTTAAAACAAGCATAATTTTATTTGGCTTAATTGCTAAATACACTTATATGTATTGCATAATATGCTCGATATTATACAAATATGTTTACTGAAGAGATAGCAAATGTCATATGCCAAGGCCAAATCAATTGGGGACATGAGGTATTATTGTCCATGTTAACTTTTTAAGCAAAATATATTCACCTTCAGCTAAAATTTTCATTTAAAAAAGTTAAAGATACCGTCAATAAGAGGATTATAAAGCTCTTTTGACTCATGAGTAATGAAAAGCAACCTCAACATATAAAAGGAATTTTAGCCATTGTGAAATAATATAATATATATTTAAAGCTGTGATTTTTTTAAATCAGCTTTCCTGCAATAGCATATTTAATGTGTCAATGATAGATATTTAAGGTAGCAGAATTAAAATATTAGTAATATGGACGTAATCATGCTTAAAATCTTAATGTTTTAAGACATTTTTCATCAAAATAGGTAACCTCAGTACTTTGCAATTATAAACAATGAGGTGTATAGTATGTACTTTGTTATTATTGTAATAAATGTTAGCTAAAGGATAAACCTTACTTATCTTCCCACCTAATATATTACTCATGAATTGAACTTTCAAGCAAGGGTGGCAGAAAATAAAACAGAAGAGGCGAATGTTAGCTTCCTGCAATCCCATGTGTGTGGGAAATGTGCGTCTAGCGGCAGGCTGTGATTACTGCTTAATGAAGGCTGATATAAACCTCACCCCATGCCTGCCGGAAACAGATTCATTCACACGATGCTCCAGCCTGGGACCAAGGCACGCAGTGCACAAGCAGCAAGGTTGGGAAATGCTCCTGGAAGCAAAAGTCTAAAAACCTGGGCACGAAATGGATGGGATATTCAGGTTTGTCACACGCAACTGGATGGAATTAAAATAAGTGACGTGAATTGACATACTGAAAAATTCAGCGTGATGTGTAATGAGGAAGATGATGTCAGTAGGAAAACACAGAGACCTGAGCCAGTTGTAGGGATGAACGAGAAATAGGCCCCAGCATAAGTCACCCGAATCCCTGTGCTCCCAGCTGTGGACTTCTGCCCTTCCCCTCCCTTCTCCTGTCTCTTTCTCAGTCTCGGCCTTGGTCTGTCGCCTGTAACAAGAACTTTCAGTCAACTTCCAATCAAAGGCACCTAAATCACAGTCACTGAAGCAAGGACAAAGTGCCTGAGTCATACATTAAAGGAGTGGCAGGAATCTTGGCTAAGGGAGTCACTTCGAATTAATACAGAAATGCACATAAATATAAACACATAGCTGGGCGCAGTGGCTCACACCTGTAATCCTAGTACTTTGGGAGGCCGAGGTGGGAAGATCAGTTGAGGTCAGGCGTTCAAGACCAGCCTGGCCAACTTGATGAAACCCTGTTTCTACTAAAAATACACACGAAAAATTAGCTGGGCATGGTGGCACACGCCTGTAATCCCAGCTACTCAGGAGCCTGAGGCAGGAGAATTGCTTGAACCCAGGAAGCAGAGGTTTTAGTGAGCCGAGATCGCGCCACTGCACTCCAGTCTTGGCGACAGAGTGAGACTCTGTCCCAAAATAAATAAATACAGATAGATATGCATGCAGATGGTCAGAGTGCCTGCTGCTATCCCTGGGGGCCGGGCTCAAGTCTCCCTGTGGTATCTGCCGAGTCTCCCAGGCGCATGCCTGTGTCTGCTGCTTCCCCGCTCGGCTGCCGACCCTCAGGTGCTTTTCTGCACCATGTGCTGTGAGAAGCTGGGGCACTGGGGGTCAGGACCAGACCCATCCATGTTCCTAGGCCTCCCTGGAGCACCCAGCACCCTACATTGATGATAAGGAATACCTGCATCTGCATATTTCTATAACTTCATGATGTTCTTCTGTATCTGGCGATGTCATTAGCAGCTATCCCTTCAAAGGTGAACTCACTCAATTCAGTAATTACAGAGGAAGAAAACTGAGACGAGACCGTGATGGGACTGGTGGGTGAAGAGACGACTGACAGCACTGTCTGTGGGCACCAGGCCCTTAGACCCCTCAGACACTGCTTGGCTTCATTCATTTATCCCATCAGCAAATGCTGACTGACATTTTATTTTTCTTACCTCTGTTTCTCTTACCACATAAGAGGTGGTAAAACAAACAGAGGTAAGAAAAATAAAAATGTTTTCCTCCCTTGGGAGCAGACCTTCTCTAAGAAGGAATTAAATGATAAAGACACACAAACACAATGAAGCAGGGTAGCTGCGGATTGTGACAGCTCTCTAAGAAATAAGCCGGGGCCATGATGGAAGGGGGTGGGGATCCTTGAGATGAGATCAAGGACAAAAAGGAAGTCGTGGGACAACTAAGTGGAAAACAGTCCAGGCCAAAGGAAGCCAAGGGAGAGCAACATCCCCACCACAGCGGGGGGTTTCAGGGACACTGGAGAGGGGGCATCATATGATCATGTAGGTTTCTTAGGAAACGGAAGGACATTGGATTATATAGCTCAAGAGAATTGGAGAAAACTTGGAGGGTTTCAGTAGGGACAGGACATGATTATATTTAATTCAAAAATGCCACCCTGGTTTGTATCAGGCACAGATTGCAGAGACCTAGTGCAGGACCAGAGGTGACAGATGGGGTGAGGTGCACCCGGTTATGTAGATGGTGATGTATGGTATTAAAATGTGTGTAGTAGAAAAGAAGAAAGGCCGATAATTAATTACCGTCATCTCAAGAAGTTAGAAAAATGTCAACAAGTGAGCATCAAGAAGGAAAGAGTTGTAAAGATTAGAGTGGCAATTAACAAAATAGAAAACATCATAATATAGAAAACCTGAAGATGAGAATAGTCATTTGAAAACAGTAATAAAATTGGCAAATCTCTACAAGGACTTGCAAAAAAATTTACTTCAGCATGAGGATATCAAGAATAAAAGTGTGTCTAACATTATAGACTTCAGAGTAAACAAAATAAAATATTTAACAAATTATTAAAAAACATAACTTACTAAAATAGACAATATATTTCCCCAGTAACCATTAAAATAGAACTTATTGCCAAAAATCTTCCCCCCAAAAACTGCACTTTAGGACTTTAAATTACCTTTAGACAGTGTTTAGATTCATGTCAGTTTCAATAATGGTTACTTACAAAATAAAAAGTTAACAAGAAAGGGAAAATGTGAACTAAATCACTCAATCTAATAGGAGTCAGGATAGTAGAATATGAAACACTGTTAACAACTTAGATAAATATAAACCATAAAATAAGCCACTAAACATCAACTCAAATATATCTCCCATCAAAATGAAAATAAATGGACAAAACATGTTAAATCAAAATCAAAATTGAATTGATTGTTAAATCAAAAATAAAAAAATACACATAGTCAAATCTGCTTACAAAAGGCTCATCAAAACTTTAAAACAAACATTTTGAAAGTATTACTTTAGCTTTGTTTTTACAATGACTTAAAATTTGGGATTAGCTATACTTTGATATGTTGATGTAATTCATGTAAAACTTTTTTTCATTTTTTTCTCATAAAATTGGACAGGTCCATAAAACTATTGACCCTGATAATATTTTAAACTGCTGATTTAATTAATTTAGTGGCATAAACCTTTAGTTATATACTTAAGGGATTTTTTTTTAGCCCTTTAATAATGAGCTCCATTAGGAGCACCTATGACTATAAATTGCCCTCTACATACTGCTTTAGCTGTATTCCCCAAACTTAATGTATATTATTTTCATTATTATTCATCTCTATTTTATAATTTTCATTTGATATTTCTTTTATTCAGAGTGAAATGTAGATTTAATTTATTTGATAAATGTATGCTGTTGTATATTAGAATAACTTTTTTTATATATCTAACTTAATGCTACTGCTATCAAGGAAGTTTTATGTCTTACACTAACTTTTTGTAATGACATCAATTTGTTCTCTGGCCTGATACATGGTTGATACTGGGATGTTTCACATGTGCTTGAAGAAAACATGCATTTCCCAGGTCTTTGATGTGAAACTGTACATCTGTTAGATCAAGACTGTTAATTTTGTTGCTCAATCATCTGTAGCAAAATATAAACACAACACACACACAAGTAAACAAAACATATTAAGACAAATTTACGATAATTTCAAAAAGGAAGAGTTTTAATATTACAACTACATTACTGTCATAAAAGTTACCATTAAACTAAAAATCAAAACCATATGACCTTCCTAATAGATATAATAAAAAGAGCATTTCAATAAATTAAACACTCATTTCTGATTTAAATAGTTAACTTTTAGGAAACCAAGAGAAGTAAACATTTTAGAAAACTGATGAAGGTTATTTACTGGGAAATAGAGCAAACATTATACTTAATTAGAAGAGAACCAAAGATGATGACAAATAGCATTTTTATTCAACATTGTTATTGAAGTCATAATGCATGCTGTAAACCAAGAAGATAAAAGCTATAAGAATTCAAAAAATAATCCCTGTTATTATTGACAGATGATATGTTTGTCCACTCAGTTTAACTGAGAGAATATAATAAAGAAAATATCACTTTGTATTGAACAAAATTAAATAAGAAAGGACTCATATACAATATCCATGGATAGACACATGTATTATCATAAAGATGTCATCTGTCCTCTAAAAAATTCTTATATTCTGTGTAATTCCAGTAAAAATCTTGACAGAGTTTTATATAAACTTTGAAAATGTTATTCCAAAATTCATGTAAACAAGGCAATTTTGAAAAAAAAATCACAGGATGGTGATTTTTTTTTACTAGATGTCATGATATATTACAAAACTTTAGTGATTCCATGTTCTCTAAAAATAAGTAGCTTCTGGAACGTATAAGGAAAGGCTAGAAAAAAATACAAAAAAGTAGAAAAAGAATGTGTTCATAACTGGAGACATTTGGAAGCATCTAGAATCAATCCCAAAGGAACAGAAACATGGGCAGTATTGCAATTCCTGGAATTTATTGTGAAATGAAATATTTATGAAGTTTGACCAAAATTATCTCAATACTTAAGACTTTTCTTTGTGCTGGTATATCTTTTGCTTCATGTAAATAATTAAATAATTAAATAATTGTTTATTAAATAATTAAATTTTTAATTAAATAATTAAATTTATTTAATTATTAAATTATTAATTTAAACAATTAATTAAATAATTAAAATTAAATTAATGAAATGTCTGTTAGGTTCCTGGTGGAGGACTGACAGATCTGGGAGCATCTTTCAGCAAACATGACTGTGCAAAGATCATCATTGAATTTTCAGAAAGCATTGAGTACTTTGTGAAAGTTAATGCTTAACAATAGAAACTGTGAAGTAGCTACCCATTACTGTGAAGGACCAATATTTAATACACATTTAACCTTTTTTCAAGAATTATGTCAATATAATTAAAAGTATTAATATATTAATTTACCCTTTTTGTTCTATATTGCTTATTAATTAAACAAGTAATTTAAAGACATAATTATACAAAGTCCAATGAAAGAAAATTTTCACTGGGTGCATTTCTTTTCTGACCATTATTATTTGTTATATTTCGTAACTACTAGGGAAAGTAACTTTTTGTGTGAAGGAGGAGTGTTTTAAAAATCATCTACGCTTAGTACCAAATAAATATCCTAAGCCACCAGTCCAAAGGCCTTATGGTGTTATTTGATACAAATTTCAAATGACATAATAGTTTGTAAAAACTTTTTTAAAGCATAAATGGAAGGTAACCAACTTTTAAGGGAAGTTTACCTTTAAGGGGAGCAGAGAAGCAGGTTATTAGGTCTACAGAAAAATGATCAAGATAGATAGATAGATAGGGATGATAGATGGTAGCTAGTAGATACATGATAAATAGGTAATATATAGATGGAAAAACGATAGATAAATAGATGACAGTTGGTTAGGTTGATCAATTGCAGATGGTAGATAGGTAATATATGATAAAGAGATAATAAATGGTGAATAGATTATAGAATAGATAGATGACAGATGGTAGAGAGATGATAGATTATAGATCGTAAGTAGATGATAGAATAGATGAGATAGATGATACGTAGGTGATAGATGATGACAGACAGTTGAAACATATATAATAGATGATTGATAGATGACTCGTGATAGATGATTGATTATCTATCAATTGGTATAATTGATAGATAAATATATAGATGATAGACAATGATAGATAGCTAGATCATAGATAAGTAGATCAAAGGTAAAATATATATTGCCTAGTACTAGAAGTTTAAAGTTTGTTACAAATTAAAGCATGAACAATTAATTACATTTAAAATATTTTTACTTTAAGGTATAAGATAATTAGTAAATATTTCATTTTATAAATCTCTATATGTAAGTTCATATTTCACACTTTCTTCCTGAAAGTCCTTTTGAGAATGTTATGCTATAAATAATGGTACGCTCCTACTGTAGACTATTTTGCAGTAATTAAAAAAGGATACTATAGATCTTTATTTTCTGATATGTGAAAGTGTTCACACTACACAAATTCCAACAGCTTTGAAATTATGTGATTTTTATACCTTGGGAGATTTGAATTATTTTAAATTCTGCATATAAATTAGAACTTTTAAAATATATTTTTATCTTACTATTTCACATTTGGTTAATTCAAATTCACGTATTATAATTGCGCTGCGGTTTCAAATCCTTTTGAGTTATCTATTTTTATGCCCCAGTAACTCGGGCAGCTTGATGGCTTTTCTGGTGAGGTGAAAATCGGAGCGCCCCCAGCAGAGGAGCCGTGGCTGTCCCGTGCGCCTGTGTCAGCGTTCTGTGTGTTTAATACGCGAACATCATCCCACCTCTTCCCGTGTGAACTTCGGTGCCCCCGCACCGTCTAGTTCCTGCTCACTTCCAATTCGGGGGTCTCTAACCTCAGGGCAACGTGGGCGTCAAGGTCTCTGTGGGATCTGTAGATGCTGGTGTTTTTCAAGAGCTGCCCCGGGGCCGTTCTGACCGAACCTGCCGTGCCCTGCTCCGGTGACGCTGCCTGCTACGTTTCCTTCAGTGATGGAAAAGCTACCTCGCTGGAGTCCCAACAAGCCTGCCTGGGGACTTGTGTCCTAATTTCAAAAAGGAACAAACCTACGCTGCCAAACACAGTCACGGCCAGGCTTCTTCCTGCTCGACAACAGTAAATCCCTGGGCACGCAGAGGAGGCACACAACAAGGTTGAGTCACTCGGCACCGAGCAACCTGATTTAAACAACACCCTTTACTCATCTTTCAATTGTTCATTTACTTAGGAAATAGTTATTGCATGTCTCCTATATGGAAAAAATGGAAACATAGTTACATAAAAAAATTTAATCTCACGTTTAATTGGATTGATTGGAACGTCCAGAATCATGTTTTAAAAATAGTTGTGGTTGTAGGAATTACTTGCTTACGGCACTGACCCCTTCGAGTGGCCTGTTTCAGAAAGTGTTTATTTGAGGGTCGGGATGCCCAGCAAGAAGGGTCCTGGCAGGTAATGAGCAGTAAGAGGCACTCAAGAGTGACCGGCCCCACTGTGTGCCCTGGCCCAGCATTTTGTAATTCGGTTTCTGTTTTGGATATTTGGACTTCATTCTTGTTGGTTGTGCCACACATCATTTTCTCTAAAATTACTTGTTAGGGAAAAACTATGCAAATGATCCGGACATCACTACCAGGGCAACACCCGGTCTCACCCCATCAAATCGACTGAGACTCTGTTGTAAATAAATATAATAACTTACACACAGCCCTGCTTTGAGCGGGAGGGTACCCAGCATTCCGCACGCGGTGCTCAGCTAGCCTGTGGGTGGCAGAGGACACCCCAGCACCTGTTCCTTGATGACCACAGACATCACTTTCTCAGTCCTGTGTTTTCTTAAGCCTTCACAGGAAGTGTCAAATATAACAAGGTTTGTTCAACCAGGAATTTAAAACTCAAGAATAAAGCCTTCGTTATCTTAGTTAATAATTTGGGTAATGATAATAATAGCATTTACATACTCCATGCTTACCTAGAAAATACAATAGTAATTTGCTTTATTTGGTAATCATTAATAATTTATTTCTGAGCATGATATAAACTTTTTATATTAGAAAGTTGGTCAAGTATAATTAATACAAACAGGAGAATTTAAAACACAAGGGAATCACAAAAAGAAATTCCATCAGGAAGGTATGTTATGTTTACTGTTGGCGCTGTGAATTTTCCTAGCACCCACTGGTGGGCCTGGCCTCCTGGTGGAGTTGGAAGGAACATGACCACCACCTGTGGCTGTTCTCTTCTCTTATTTTGGGTTGACGACAAAAGGAGTTGGGTTCTTTCATTCCAGCAAGATCAGGAGAGGCGGCTTCTGAGCAGCAGATGCCGCCATGCACAGAGGATGGAGAGAAAATGATGGAGATCGCAGCTTCGCCTATGGAGAGTGAGTTCCCGCTGTAAAAAGCTTTCATGCTGGATTCCACATCCTCACTACAGGATCAGAGCCCATCAGGAACAGTGGCCGGTGTTTCCCGAAAGGCTGCCTATCTTACAGCGTGTTCTGAGACTGTCTCCTTAGTGGGTTGCTTTTCCTGGTGAGCCTCAGTTTTTTTACCTGCAGAATTAGATTGTAATTACAGTTGTGTCGAGGCAACATTGAAGTCCGATCCCATTTCCCATTTTATTAAAGTCCTTTGTTTATGCCTTTGCTGCAGGCCGCACAAAGAAAGACGGGATCAAGGAAACAAAGGCTGCAGACTCCCCTCTGTGAGCAGCACGGGCTCTCCTCATGCACCTGCATCTAGCACCTCACTTAGTGTTTCACCGATAACTGCATTAGTCCTGCCTCTGAGTCAGGAGGTTTAACCCAGTGTAGAATCAGCAAGGAAGAGACAGTGCTCGTGGGCATGCTGCAGTTCTGTAGAAATCTGGACAGGGATGCAGGTGGCAGGAGGTCTGTATCTTCACTCAATTTAATCAGTGCTAATTGACTCCATGCAGGACAGTGTCCCACTTAATCTTACTATAATTATATCTGAAAAGCAACAAAATTTTTGTGTGACATAATCAAATTTAAAACTGTGAAGTTTTAGAATCGCTGGTGAACAGTCACTGTGTACCCCCAAGATGGGGCTACAGGGCTGAGCGTCCCCGAGGTCCCTCTGTAGATGGCTGTGATGGCAGCCCCTGGCCCAGGTGACACTGCTGGCTAGGCAGCCTCCCTCCTGAGGCTCAGCGCAGTGGAGGGGCAGAGGCACAAGGGTGCTGACCCAGCCTTGATGGGACCACTCGGAAGGTCCCAACACCCAGACGGCCGGTGCAGGTCTCCAGCAAACTCCCTGGGCCTCCATCTCAGTCTCTCTCTGGGGGAAGCTAGTCTTCAACAAGTGGCATTTGTTTCATTCTGGGAGACAGTAGACACATATTTACAGAAATTCACAAACCTCTCTCAGTTTACTCATAGAGGCCCATACGTGCTGCCCAGAAAGGCAACATACATGTTTATGCACACACACACAAATACACACACACACAAGTGTGTCTTAGTGCCTTGGCCCTGGGGAGTATTAACAAAAAATATAAGATACATACACACATACATGCATGCAGACACGTGTATATATTTATATACATTATCCAATTCTCATTGCTTATGAACTCACAGCTGCTGGTGGCTACCTCACCCTTGAATTCCGACAGGTGTTTCCAGAGCAGAAAAGTCAAACGAAGCCAGGTGAGGCCCCTCCGTAGAAGGCTGGCTGCTTGGTGTCTCTGGATCTCACGCCAGCAGTGTGAGTCAATGCAAAGTTTAGGGTCAGCTGAATCTCTCGATGAGCATGCTGTTTCTGTGGTGCATTTGCTTGTTGATGCACTTGAAGAAAAGGGAGCTTATTCATGGTTCGTTTGGCAAATACCAAGTCTTTTCTGTGAACTGGAAAGTCTTCTTGGTGGTAGGGCCACATTTACAACCAAACCCAGGGAAGGCCCCACTGCATGGACCTCATTTCTAGTGGGAGAAGGAGAGACAGACAGTGAGAGCAAATTTAGTAATAATGAGAAATAATCTGTCAGATGGTGTAAGGGTTGTGCAGAAAAATGGAGCAGTTTCTATCCCAGATCTCTTCAGCTCTCTGCGGAGAGGTACACGCCCCTGGGCAGGCATCATGCCAATCTCAGCTTTTGTTTTCAGTTCTCATCTTTGCATCCATCCTCTTCCTTCAGTGATTTTTCATTCTGCAGTTTCTAAGGGCTCGTTTTGCGCATTGAGAACTTGGAGGTTATCATTTCAGCATGTTTTTTTCTGAGCAGCTTGTGCTGTGCTGTGGAAACTGACCGTGAGTGAGCTCCTGAGGAGAGGCCACTGCTGACCACAGGGAGGGCTGCATGGGACATGGAAGGGGCAGTGGTTACTGAACCTGTTGGAGGAGGATCTCCCATCAGGGAGGCCGGCCACAGAAGCCCCTCTGAATGAAGTTAATCCAGGAATGAAAACTCTGAAGTGGGGAAAAGCATTCTGGGCAGAAAAAATAGGAAAAGAAAAGCTTTGAGGAGCAAAGGGCTGTATCATGGAGCAGATGGGCCAGCAAGGCCGTGGTGACCAGGAGAGGCGATGCCTGGGGCTGGGGTGGGCAGGACCAGGTCGCACAGGGCCAGAGGCTCAGGCAGAGAAGGAAAAGCCCTTGGTTTCCTTCTATGTTATATGGAGAAGTCTGAGTGGGGAAGTGATCAAATCTCAATTATGTTTTGAAGGATTATTCAGGCTTTTAGGTGGGGAGCATGGTCCAGGCTGGGGAAGGGAGCAGGGGGCAGTGAGGGGCTCTGGCTGTCTCTAGGGTCTGCAACCTGGCTGGGAGGTGTGGCGCGGAGGAAGGTGGATGGGTCTGACACGCACCGGGAAGGACGGGCTGCAGGCTGTGTGGAGAGAAAAATTCAAGGAGGAAAATGACATTATTACTTTGAGAAACTTGGCACATGGCAGTGTCATGAAGGGGAAGAGAGAATATTCCTGAGAATGGGAATCAGGGCTCTAAACTGTGAGCATGCATTGAACATACTTGGGCAGAACCCACCCTTTGTTTTGTCTTTTGAGACCTCGCACTGGTAGGTAATGGACAGAGGGGCATGGTGCTGACCCCCAAGTGCCTTTCTGGCTGCTCCCTGCCAGCTCCTCCCTGCAGAGTCAGACGAGGTTACATTTGGGATTTCAAAGTCTAATCTCATTACTGCTGCACTGTGACCAGGGTCCCCTGGCAATGTGATTAGTCTTCCTGACCAACAGTAGACCTTCAGCATTTAACTAGTAAATAACTAAATTTGATTAATAGTCTACAGTGCTGGGAAAACTTAATGTCCCCCGTTCTCTCCACTTTTGTACAATTCCATTTGCTGTGCTATTTACGATTTGTGAGGACAATATGTAAAGACACCAAATTAAGTGAAAATATAAATGAAACTGATTAAAAGTATATCGTGGAGTTTGATGTCTAAATCCCAGAACCCATCTTTTTCCCTAGGGTTCCGGCCGACTGGAAGGACGTGAAGGCGTGCACCTCTGCCATTGCAAAGTGGAGCTCCAGGCAAGTTGGCTGGATAAACAGCAGAGCCTCAGGGTCCAGGCCTCAGGACCTCAATCGCCCTGGCTTTTCCATTCAGTCACAGGTGAAAGGGCTGAGGCAGGTGGGTGCAGTCCCCGCCTGGGGTCAGCACGTGGAGTGCAGACACTGCAGCTCACCTGGCCGCCGGTCAAGGGGTGCAAGGCCCTCCCTAGCTCAGAGTCTTCCCACCAGGCACTCCTCACCACAAGGGGCTTTGCAGGGAGAAACAGTGGCAGAAATGACCTAATAAAAATGTTCCCAATTACCCTGGCTTGATCATTACACATTGTAGACATGTATTGAAATATTGCATGTACCCTGCAAATATACAGCTATTATGCATCAATAAAAAATGAAAAAAAAAGGTCCCTTCATGGAAACAGGAAAACAAACATGGAATTTCTCCTTAAACTGATCAGCGAGGCCTCTCCGTTGTTTCAATCTCTAGTTATCAATGGACAATGGAGCTTCAGGGTTCTGCAGGAAGAAGAACTTCCTTGGCTGAAGAAACTTCTAGAAGCCACGTTGTGAACGGGTAGCTCCTTTCTCCTCTGCCTACAGACTCAGTGCTCCAGGGCCCCAGCACCATCCTCCATTTGCTTTAGAGGGTGACACTCACACAGCACCCACGCCGCCCCAGCCCATGGCTGGTGACCTCGGTTGACTGTGGCATCACCTAGACACCATACCTTCTGCTGATGTCAGGAATGAGAATAATCTATCATTTAGGGTCCCAGGAGATGGAGAGTTCAGCTTTTAATGAAGCACAGAGCTGAAGCAGTCATCAGCACAGCCTGCAGTGTTGCTCCTGGCCCCAGCGCCTGCAGCTGGTTGGAAAGCCGGTCTCACGTTGAATGCCCAGCATGCCTCTGGGAACACAAGATCATCTTCCTTTACCTTGTGACAGCAGACATTTTCCCAGGAGCAGGTCACATCATGGTTTAGGGTTGGCATCATGGAAATATGGGTGGGCTTTAAAGGTGCGTGTTGAATCAGTTCTGTGACGTCTCTTGGCCTTACTTCCCTCACGTGCACAGCATGAATAATGATGCCTCTCCCAGGCTGATGCCAAAATTAGTAAATGAAATCATCGGTAAAGACCCTCACGCAGGGTCTTGCACAGAAAGATTGGTCAACAACAGCAGTGACTTTCCTTTCCTTTCTGGCTTTTAAAATTTTTAATATGTGCTTTCTCTGTCCAAGGGGATGTCAATGCTACCAGTGACTGGAAAGCTGGTATTAGGCCTGGACAAAATGTGACCTCTAACTTGAATTCATGACTTAACACAAATCTGAAAATAAGTTATTTTATGGGGCATATTCCTGTCCTGGTATTTCACAATGCTTCTATTGAATAAATGTCATCTGACCTTTACAGATGAGCCCACTCATTTTTTGTTTCTGCATAAATAGCTCAAATACAACCCAAGATTTATTTCATTATGAAATATTGTTAAAGTATCATAATGCATTTTCCTTCCAACATACTTCTAGTTTGTTTTTATCTGGAGCATGGAAAATAAGCAACAGTGAAAGTCAGGACTAGAAAATGACCTTTTATATTGCCATAAATGCAACCCCCAGAACTAATAAAGAAAAAATTCAGGAGGGAACAGCACAAAAAGAAATGCATATTTTATTTCCATGTTAGTCTCAAATATAACAGGCCTCAAAAATCCCTAACGGCTGATGCATACAGCTCTGGGTGAGTGACTCCAAAGTAAGATAATGAGTTGAGCTTGGCTGCCGCTCCATTAGGGAGCTGATGAGATGCAAGCTGCTGCCCCTCTTCCTCCCATGAAGTTTGAAGCATCATCGGAAACCGTCAGGTGAAACTGCCTGGAAGATGAAGCAATTCATCAAAGGCCAGGCTGTGGCCGTGTACCTTACGTAATGCTAATCAAAATAAATTAGAATTGGAAACAGCGTTTCCGGTAACCCTGCAGAATGGTGAAGGTGTTTTGCTCCCAGCTATTTAGCGGCAGTATGAACATCTACGTAACCTTGCTGACTTACTGTGAGAGTCATTCTCCTGAAAAGAGGCAAATCAGCTTTGTGAGATTCACTAGAGTCGAGGCAAATTGAGATTTGTTTGTATGTAATACTGTTCTTCATTTTGACATCATGGAAAGGTCTTTAAAATCTTCCTGAACTTTGATGGCAAATAAGAGGCTTCAACTTTCAGAAATCTATGCCATCTTTCCATGGCACGGGAAGGGCTGCTTCCTGCATTGTGTCTGTTTAAGCTGTGGGAATCTAAATGCGTGTACGCAGAGGGACCTGAGAAGGTGGCCGTGCTCGCCTGGGAACACGCCAGGGTGAGTTCACAACAATTGCCCTAATGTGCAATAAAACACAGGGACGGGCTCCAAGAAGGCCGAGAGGGACGCAGCCACCCGGGAGAACACACTGTTCGGGTCTGCGGTCCCAGCGCCGGATCCCAGCTGGCCTGGGCTCTGCCTGGACACTACCCTAGCAGAGCTCTGGCCACGTGGGGTGGGCTGCCTGTTCTCAGGACGCGCTCTCCCTGCCTGGGCCGCCGCTTAGGGTGCTGTCTCCACTCGCCAGGACGCGGCCGCAGGACCGGGGCGAAGGCACAGCTCCGCTCTGGCTGGTCCCCAGGGCCAACCCCTGTGACGGTCTTTTGTTCTTAGCGCTCAAGACGTTTTTCTACAGTCCTCCTTGAGAGCGCAGAAGACATCCCACTCCCCCAGTACCTCCACGTAACCTGGGAACCGATTTTAGGAGACGCCCCCTGGAAGTCAGGCTTTGCCCCAGGGAGCGGCCCTATCGGGTGGAAAACCAGGGTTTCTTCAGTTCTCAGGGTCTGGATGACCGTGTTGCCTCAAGCAAAAGCGGGGTTTACTTGCTGGAAAGGAGAGTTGGAGACAAGGTGACAGCTGGACTCGGGGCCTCAGATGACATGGCCGGGCCCTCTCTCCTCTCCCCGGCACCGGCGCTGGGTCTGGTCCCTTGATGTGAGCTTTCTCCAGGGACACCTCCGCCTTTGAGTCGCCAAACCAGGGCTCCCGGGAGAGAGGGAGGCTCCCGACTGCGCGCGCCCCAGGGCGGAGGAGGCTCAGACTCGCCTGCGCGCCCCCTTGACCTCGGAGCGCCTCTAGGACCTGAGCCCAGAGCGCACGGACATCCGCGGCCCCCAAGTGGCCTCCAAGGACCGGACCGCGGAGAGGGGCGCGCCCAGCCGGAGGCTGGGAAGGAAGTGGAGCAGGCCGACCTGAGGGCGTGGCTCCCTGTGCTCCGGGGATGGAAGCGTTTATGTGGCACCGACTGTATGCACGGTGGGGACTGAATCCCTGGGCAGCCTGCGGGGAGGCGTCGTACCTGCCGCGTGAAGGTGGAAGCGGCCGTGGGAGGCGCAGGACCAGGCCCAGGGCAGGCAGTTGGCTCCGGAGCGCGCGTTCTCACAGCTGAGTTTAGGATCACCATATCATCTCTCACCCAAATCAAGAAACTCTGGGAGCACAATGGACCCTAATTATAATGACAGAGGAGCCGCAGGCCTGGACCGGGCAGCTGCGGCCTCTCTCAGCCCCAGTCCCGCCTTCCCGCGTGGATCCGGGCAGCCTGGCGTGGCCTCCGCAACGCGCAGCGGGGACGCGGTGACCCCAGAGCTCGGCTGCTCGCAGGGTCCACACGTGAAGAACTCGGGGCTCCTCTGAGCTGCAACCCTAGATGTCTAGCGATGACGTCACCCGCCCAGCCACATGCCACTAATTTAGAAAAGACATTCAGCCACAGTTTTGATTTTCTCTGAGTCAGGATGGAAAATGAAATGAACTACTAATTTTTTGTTGTTTTTCTCTTATAAATATGAATGCTGGAATCTGGTGATGATCAAGGATTTTAAGATAAATGAGCAATTCATTTTTAAGCTGAACGGAGCTATTTATTCTAAAATAAGTTTCTGTTTCTTTTTTCCCCCCAGATTCCTTGTAATTTCACAGTTGAATGATTACCTTTTTCCTGAACCATTTATACCCTCGCTGGTCTCGCTATGGCCATTAACCCTGGCTAAAATGTCACCGGTGGGCTACCTCTGCCCCCCTCCTCATGGTCAGGGAGGAGAGACGACTGTGCCGACTCCGAAGCCAACTCCTGGGCACTTCTGGGCGATCGCCCTCCCCGCAGAGCGTCTCCTCCTGCGGGCTGCAGACACCGCCTTTCCCTGCCAGGTTGTGCCTGTCCAAGCAGGAGCTGAAGGGCTGTGGTGAGAGGCTCACACTCCTGCGGCATTCCCACCTTGGAACACCTTTCTGAAATTCTGCAGTACCCTGAGCATGCTGATTTTTCGTGGTTTTGTCCTTGTTTTTCTAGTTTTCAGGGAGAGGGAAGTTTGCTGAAGCCATGGGCACATCCCTGCTGCAGGCCCCTCTTCCTGCATGCCCACAGTCACCCTCCCGGGAGCCTTTGCACCCAGACCCCACCCTGCCCAGAGAGGCCTCTCAGGCACAGGGCCTGGCGAGGGGAGGTCCCCATTGCCTGACTCTGCTGCCAGTCATTAAAGTGTGACCAGAAAAGGTAGGATGTTTAACTGGAGTGCAGGTTCCCAGGGCTAGCAAGTTACTGCAACTTCATAGGTGCATCTAGCCTTGAACTTTGAGGGAGGGTTCCTAAGCAAAACGAAATAGAAGCAAAACTCTGCCCTGCATGAAAAAGGGGACCCTGGGAAATAGAAGGAAACGTAAAACACAAAGCATTTAAATGTAAACCTTTATAATACTTAAAAATACTTTTAATTTGTGCCATTTTAGATACACAATGTATAAGTTCTCTCTTAGTGGATACGTATTGTTTAGTAACGTAGTGCGGTGCTAAATAGTGTTGATTTAAGATCAAAACTAAGATTATATTAATTAATGAAAGCACAAATGACAGGCAGCAGTTTTGAGAGAAGCGCTGGATGAAGCCTGCCTGTCATCCCTGCCTCTCCTCACTCCACTCTGCTGCGTTGCTTTGCTTGGCCAGGTTGGTCGCAGGGGCAGACAGGAGTGGACGCCATCTTTCCCTCCTAGCACATGGTCCTCCTTGCTCTTTTGAGCAAAGCCTCTGACCCTTTTTCTTTCCTCCACCTCACCTGATTTTCCTCTTTTCTGCTTTCCTTTCTTCCTTTCTTTCCCTCTGCCTCCATCAGCCATTCCATAGTGTTTACTATGTGGCTTTCCACAAGTTATATAAAATATGCATTGTCATCTTGTCCACATGTATTTTTATTTTGAATTTTTCATAAATAGTAGCATTTTACAAATTTCATTCAGTTCTTTGCATTGATTCCTCCACACTGTGGTTTTAACATTGCTCACATACAAGTGTTTTAAAATCCCTCACTGTGCACCTGGATCTATCCTGTTCTCCTTTAGACACAGGGCAGGTGAGCCCCAAAGCGGAGCTAAGCCCACTGGGTTATTGGCTTTGCCCAGGATAGAATTCAAGGGCAGGCCAGAGGTGGAAGAAAACAGCTGTACTGAACAAGCAGTGTTGCAGCTGTGTGACGGCTTTTGCAGAGCAGGGCTACCCCAGAGGCGGAGAGCAGCAACTCGGGCAGTTCTGCAGTCACGCATATACCCACTTTTAATTGCATGCAGATTAAGGGGTGGTTTTTGCAGAAATTTCTAGGGAAGGGGTAGTAACATTTGTGTCACTGGGTCATTGCCATGGAAAGTGGCAGTAACTCCTGGATGTTGCCATGGCAATGGTAAACTGACATGGCCCACTGGAGGGCATGTCTGATGGAAAACTGCTTCCTCCCTAGCCCTGTTTCAGCTAGTCCTCAATCTGGCCCGGTGTCCAGCCCCTGCCTCTGGAGTTGAGTTCTGCCTCCTACTTCACTGTTACTTCTATTAATCTTTGCTTGATACATATAGAGACCCTGTTATTAGGTACAGACAGTTTAGAATCATTACATCTTCTGGGGTTGATGCTTTGTCACTCTCAAATGTCTCTCACCCTCTGCTCTCGACACTGACAGAGTTTAATCTCCATTCTCCTAGGACTTGCCTGGCGTGGACTTCCTCCATCCCTTTGCTTTCAGCATTTTAGGTGTGACATTAAGTAGAATATCATTGGAGTTTTAAAACATTTATCCAATCTGATAGCCTTTGTATTTTATTTGACAAATTTAGCACATTTATACTTATTGAAATTTTTGCTGCCTTTAAACTTAAGTCGACCACCTCAATGTTTCTATCTGTTCAATTTGCCATGGTTTCCCTTTCTAACCTGTCTGCCTTCTTCTTATCAAAGAAGTACTTAGATCTTATTTTTCAATTTCCCACTCTCAAAGTTAATTGGTTATAAATCTTAGTCTAATACTGAAATAATATGGTTATCCTCGAAGTTACAAAGCACTTCTCTGAGTTATTTAAGTCTAACAGAATTTAGTGTGCTTAACACCCTCTGGACAAAGCCAGGAGCTGAGGAAATGCCCCTCCATTGTCCCTCGTGCTTTGTGTTACTGCTGTTGGCCATTTTTATTCCATACAGGTTACATCGCCCAGACAATTTGTTTTGATACAGACAATACTCTTTTGTTTTGATCCTCATATTAATGATTTGTGGTTGCTCTTTTCTACCTGCATCTCCAAACTACTAATAAAGCATCATTTCTTCCCTCCTGGAAAATCCCCTTTGGTGTGGTTTTGCTCCTAATGAACTCTCAACTTTTGTTTGAAAAATAACCTATTTCTGCCTCCTTCACTTATTTAAACTTTTTATTACGAAAAATGTGGAACTTTCTCTAAAGCCAAGAAAATATAATAAATTATATAATAAATTATATAATGTATTTATATATAATATATAATATAATAAATTTGTTTATACTTCCCTCCATGCTTCAATAATTATGTACTTACAGGGGTTTATCTGTACCCCACTTCCTCTCTCACGTTTTCTTGGATCCAAATCCCAGACATTTGTCATTTTATCGCTAAATGTTTTGATATGTCCTCTAAGAGATAAGAATTATAAAGAGTGTAATCTAATAGTATTATCACACCCTTAAAATTTATATGTATACATATGTGTGTGTACATATATATATATAATTTTTTTTTTTTTTGAGGCAGAGTCTCCCTCTGTCACCCAGGCTGGAGTGCAGTGGTGCCATCTTAGCTCACTGCAACCTCCACCTCCTGGGTTCAGGTGAGTCTCCTGTCTCAGGCTCCCACGTAGCTGGGATTACAGGCATGCACCACCATGCCCAGCTAATTTTTGTATTTTTAGTAGATATGGGGTTTCACCATGTTGGCCAGGCTGGTCTCAAACTCTTGACCTCAAGGAATCCACCTACCTCGGCCTCCCAAAGTGCTGTGATCACAGGCATGAGCCACTGTGCCCAGCCCCTTAAAATTTATTTTTAAAAATATCTTATATTCTGAAATATTGTCACTGTCCAAAGTTCCCTAATTTTCTCATAATTTTATTTTCAACAATTTTGTTGTCTGATCAGAATCCAAATAAGATCCATTGTTGCAAATTGCTGATACACTTCTTAAGCATCTTTTGATCCATGGCACTCTCTTAATCTCTTTTCTTTCCCTTGCAGTTAATTTGTCCAGAAAATGTGGTTATTTGCCCTGCAGCACTTCCCAGTGTAGAGTCATTCTGATGCCTTTTCACATATTTTTGTTTCCTGAATTTTCCATAAAGCAATAGATATCAGGTTTGATTTTGATTTTCAGCAAGGACATTGCATACATGGTATTGTTTACTTCCCTCTGAAGGCACATGATGTGTCGTTATGATTAATGCAGGTGGGTTAAAGTGCTTTGTTTGCTTTTTGTTTATTTTGTTTTGTTATCATTGCATTTTTTGTTTTGCTAATATCACTAATAGAGATGGTCCAAAAAGCAAATGCACTATCCTATTTTGAAAGTTTGTCTTTCATGTTTGAACTTACTTTTTCACTCTTTATGTGTTTTGAATATTATCCATATGTGTACCATTTGTCAGTAAGAAGTTAAAATATTATTGTCAGTTTGTCATTTGTCTTTTACTTTGCTTAGTGTTTTTGGTATAAAAATATTCTATTTATTAACATTTTATTAAAATTTTCATATTGCTTTGGGACTTTAATTTTAATTTTTACTTAGGAAAAATTTTCTAGTCAAAGGCTAAATTAGTCAACCATGTTTTACTCAATAACTTATGTGATTGTATTACTTTAATCCTTAGATATCTGATTCCTTTGGACTTTATCCTTATGACTTTGTGTGAATGAATGTGGTTTTCTGAAACAGCTAACAGGTTCTCCGCGTGTCCCCGGAAGGAGTGTGT